>NC_000007.14:101597688-101900718 GCF_000001405.40 Homo sapiens | reverse complement strand
TACCTGTGGCTGTGTTCCCTTCTCACATTTTAATTAGCAAATAAAAACTCCAGAAAGCTCTCAAAATGTTTCTGCCTGGATTTTACAAGGAAAAGTTAAAAGATGCCAACTGGCTCCTGGGAAAAAACCAAACTAGTAAGAGGCATCTATCAACAAGGCAGAGCAAGTTCATCCGGAGAGCTTATGCCAGGCCAAGAAATACCATCTCGGAGCCAGCTTTGATTTTATTTTTGCAGTTAATTTTCAAGATTTTCGGTGCCGCATTCAGCGAGTGAGGTTTACAACATCCTGCCATTGGCTGAGAGCTGCTGCCAGCCAGATGGCCCCGCAGAACGACACTCGTATGGCAGAGAGAGCGGGCGTCGCAAGTGATTCCTTCGCTGCCTCCTGGCACCGGTACCGCTGGCTGCCACCAGGAAACCTGGGTTCTGGGCACCAACAGGTTACACTACATGACAGCTCCTGGTGCCAAGAGCGGAGATGCGATTTTAAAGGGGCCGCGTCAATCCTCAGTGAGTTTCACTTCTAGCTCTGCTGGACATGAGGGACACCGGCAGAGGGAAGAGGCTGCTTCATGGGCTGCCCAGAAGTGCTGCTAGTCTCCCCATTCTGGGCGCTGGAACAGTGACTCCAGCTGTCAGCATCACCCCATCCTGTCCAGGGCGCTTTCTACAAGATAGCTGAGGGGCTCTTTAACTTAGACTCTGTAAAGCTAGCTAAAGAGCTATTGCTAACCACCTAAACTCGCACTAAATGAAGATACACAATTAAGAAGCACAATTACAGCTCCTGCCGCTATGTGATGGGGTTCTGGCATGAATTCCCATCCAGTGCCCTCGGCTGGGGCAGCTCCCCACACTCTCCAAGTTCACACCATGCTCGATGGCCCCCTCTTCATCCTAGGTCTCTGTGCCAGGCCCCTGGAGGTAGGAAATTCATGCCAATTACCAAGCTTTCCTGATCCCCCTGTGACTCCTCCAAGTTCAAGTTCTCATCACCGGTTTTTCTCGAACTCTAGACGTGAGTTCTTATGTACACAGACATCAGGACTTTTTCTCTATCAAACTCAGCAAAATGACACCACCTGTTTTGGCCCAGGAAGGACATCTCTCTATACCTGATGTTCTCTGTATGCTGGGCCTCCTGTGACTTCTTTATTTTTTTATTTTTTTGAGACAGAATCACTCAGACTGGAGTGCAGTGGCACAATCCAATCTTGACTCACTGCAACCTCTGCCTCCTGGGTTCAAGAGATTCTCCTGTCTCAGCCTCCCGAGTAGCTGGGATCACAAGAGTGCACCACCACACCTGGCTAATTTTTTTTGTATTTTTAGTAGAGACCGGGTTTTGCCATGTTGACCAGGCTGGTCTCGAACTCCTGACCTCAAGTGATCCACCTGCTTTGGCCTCCCAAAGTGCTGGGATTACAGGCGTGAGCCACTGCGCCCAGCCTCCTGTGATTTCTTGAGGACCAACTGGCAGGGAGGGGATTGTGATCTGGTTTGAAGGGCAAAAGGCCGCTCAGTAATGTGGGATCTATAAGGACCCACTCCACCCCATCACCATCTTATCACTACCACCCAGGGTCTGGACCCCAGAACACTGCCCATGCAGCAACAGGAAGCAACTTGGACCAGGCAGCCTTGGTGATGCTCTCCAGCCACTTCTCTGCCCACGAGGTTCCATCACAGATAAGAAGCCACAGGCAGCCATGCACAAATAGCCGCCAGTGGACGGGGCTCTGGGATGCTGCACCTATGTGCACCAACGCCTTCCACGCCACTCAGTATGTTATTCTTCCAAGCTAGTGTAACTATAAAGGAAATTAGCCGGGTGCGGTGGCTTATGCTTTGTAATCCCAGCACTGTGGGGGGCCGAAGCAGGCAGATCACCTGTGGTCAGGAGTTCGAGACTGGCCTGGCCAACATGGCAAAACCCTGTCTCTACTAAAAATATAAATATTAGCCAGGTGTGGTGGTGCGTGCCTGTAATCCCAGCTACTCAGGAGGCTGACGCAGGAGAATCACTTGAACCCGGGAGGCGGAGGTTGCAGTGAGCCAAGGTCGCGCCGCTGCACTCCAGCCCAGGCCACAGGGCAAGACTCTGTCTCAAAAAAAAAAAAAAAAAAAAAAAGACACAGAAATGGAAAGAAACAAGAATAGTCTCTGAAGGAATCCTGAAGCAGCTTCAGTGAATAAAGTACATACAGGAAGCCGCCCCAAGAAGAGAAAATAGGATAAACTAAGAGGGAATTACGAGCCTGGCACTGAATGGCATTGGAGACTTCCCCGTCCCGGCGGCTGCCAGTTCTTCTCCTCGTCCCCACTGCTTTAAACACGGGGAGCCCAGAGCCAGTGAGCTGCTGACCTGTCAGATCTGACTTCTGGAATAAAAATGAAAAGGCCGAGTGGCAGCCGTAACATGGAATTTCCTTGTTTTTATTAGTTTAAGGCTCTTAAAGAGTGACTTTTACATTGGGGAAAACTTCTCAAATATGTACTACTTGAGACTTAGATCCAGTTACCTCTCACATGTTTTCAATCATTCTGCTTGCCAATTTTACTAGATATCAAAAGACATTTGCGGTTTAAAGCAGGGGAATGGGTCCCCCCCAACCATTCCCCACTCCAAGTACATCTGCGCTCCCTGCGGTGACTCTTCCCCCTAGATCCCTGACCCCTCGGGGCTGCCAAAAAGGCCCACCGGGGTACCGGGGGTGCTACTGGATCCACGCAGGCAAGCTGGGTGGGGGTAGGAGGGTGGTTTATTTCAAGCACTGGTACTGCAGGGGAAGAATTTTTTGGTTTTGGTTTTTAGACAAAAACTATTGATAAAATCCAGCTTTTTACATGACTTGCCACTCACATCAAGTCCAAGGAACAGAGGTTCCTCTTGAAACACACACACCAATAAGCAAAACCCTAAGACTACCACACTGGAAAAAAAATGGTTATTCAGTCATCCATCCCAAGAGCTGAAACTATAAAGATTTGGGGATGATAATATCAGACTGGTCACGCTATAGTCTGGGGTTCATTTAACATTGAAGCTGGGTGTGAAAACAGTAAACTGTTGCCCATGACCTGCGCTGTGATACTTACATCAGCAGAAATAATTATGAAAGTCTAACCAATTGTGTTGTTAGATATCTTCTAACTAAGCACAGAACCTCTACTTTTTTCTTTTCTTTATTTTATTATTATTATTTTTTTTTTTTAAGAGACAACATCTCGCCCTTCACTCAGGCTGGAGTACAGTGGCACGATCATAGCTCACTGCGGGCTTGAACTCCTGGGCTCAAGCAATCCTTCCACCTCAGCCTTTCAAGTAGCTGACACGACAGGTGCATGCCACCATGCCCAGCTACTTTTTAAAAATTTCTGTAGAAATGAGGCCTCGATATGTTGCCCAGGCTTCACTTGCTGTATTAACCAAACACACCCAGGGGTGGCTGAGCCTTCGAGGATGTCAAGCCACAAGATGTCTAATAGCAAATGACGTAAAACTCTGCGCTGTCATCCAGGGACAGAGATGGGAAGAGAGAGTTTGAAACCTCATTAAAAACAAAATGAAACACACTTCCTGCTTCGCAGATGCGTCCTAAATAGTTTGCTTGATATAAATTCAGAGGAAGGCCTAATAAGAGGGAGTAAATGGGTGCTGGCTGAAAGGAGGCTGCCCTTCAAGACAGTTGTGTGTGCGTGACTTTTCTGCACATCAGATAGGCTCAGGGGGGCCACTGCTGAGCCAGGCTTGTATCTTACTCTTCATAGGGACTGACTGCTTGCCTTATACAAAAAGGATAATACTGACTGCTCGTAAGAACTTACTGGGAGTGCGTCTCTAAATTTCTGGTACAAACGTGCACTTTCCCTATGAATACTCAAAGGCAAACAAATCCTCTAAGATGAAAAACTTCATATTTAGTTTGTTAGGGACAGACAGGCTCCACATTTCAGCACAAACATTTATTTTTAATCAAGCTAATTTTTTATTTTTCCCATTTAAGACCTGTTAATTCCATGACTGAGAATTCATCAAGTTTCAGACTGGAATTAATTTTAGCAACTGCTTTATACCAAAAATATTAGTGACGGTAGCTGTGTAACTGGCTTTGCTTCACAGTCTGTCATGGGAAAGTCTGAGCATTTGTGTTCCTTCCAGAGTCTAGTTGGAGCTGACAAAGGCGAGTTCTAAAGTGAGTTCACCATTTTCCCCTGAGGAGCAGAGCTGTCAGAAGCAATACCAGCAATCTGTTCACTGGTCTACTTTACACAAAGCTGACTGTGGCGTTCCTGTGTATACCTTCATACACCCCTTCATTCACCCATTCACGTTTCTGCAAACGCACACCGATTCGACGCTTACTGTGCATGTCCCCACGGTGCCTGCTGTTGCTCTGTTCCCACACCTGCTTCCTGGCCTACCTGCTGCACCTGGGGCAAGGCTGCCCACGACCTGCAAGAGCTGGAGGTCGGAAGACTGCTGGCTGTGGTCTGCTCTTTTCATTTTAATTTTATGGGTGAGCCAGGCATGGTGGCTCACACCTGTAATCCCAGCACTTTGGGAGGCTGAGGTGGGCGGATTGCTTCAGGAGTTTGAGAACAGCCTGGGCAACATAAGGAGACCCTGTCTCTTCGAAAAAATAATAAATAAATAAATAAATACGCCAAGTGCAGTGGTGCATGCCTATAGTCCCAGCTACTTGGGAGTCTGGGGAGGTTGAGGCCGCAATTAGCCGTGATTGTGCCGCTGCACTCCAGCCTGCATGACAGAGTAAGACCCTGTCTCCAAAAAAAAAAAAAAAAAACAAAAACAAAAAAAAAACTTTACAGGTGATACAAGGAAACGTGGCCCCCAAATCACCAATAATCCGCCCCCTTCCAGTTTACTCCCACTCTCACCTCTACAAGAATTAGGCAAATGTGACAACTTCTCCCTGCCTCGCTGAAAACTCAATCTCTGTGACTTCTTTTGGAGGGCAAGGTTGGACTGGCAGCTGACTACAGGCAGCCATGAATTCCTTCTGAAGGGATTCAGGACTTCAGGTGCTCTCTTAAATCTTTCTTCCCCTAAAATTCTTTTAAGAATGCAGGCTCCTTTTGGGGCTGCAATGCAGAGCTGAGTCTATCTATGGGACAGACACCGGCAAAGCTTACTGACATCCCACCCCTATGGACAGGTGAGAACACCCCCATCACAGCAATTTCAAAGTCTCAAGTTCCTTTATTTCCAATACTGTCCAGACCAAGCTGCCCATCCAAAGCCTTCAAGTCCAGTCTCTTCCCCATGCCAGGGTCCCAGGCCAGACTCACCCAGACCATTGGTTTCCCAATGGCCCTTACCATTGGGATCCAACTGTGGCTACAATGGGGAAGCCTGGTTGATTAGTTCTGCCTTTTTGAGGAGCTACAAAACTCTAGGAAAAGCACTTCCCACATGATTTCCAAAATACCCAGTGTTTGAGGTCAGGAGTTCAAGACCAGCCTGGCCAAAATGGCGAAACCCCGTCTCTACTAAAAATACAAAAATTAGCCAGGCGTGGTGGTGCATGCCTGTAATCCCAGCTACTCAGGAGGCTGAGACGGGAGAACTGCTTGAACCCAGGAGGCAGAGGTTGCAGTGAGCCAAGATCGCACCACTGCACTCCAGCCTGGGCGACACAGCAAGACTCCATCTCAAAAATAAATAAATTAATTAAATAAAATACCCAGCGTTTTAAGGAGTCTAGGAAGCCGACCAGTACTCAGACTTGGAGACAGGCTGGGGAGGTCACCATCCCAGCACTCAGGGAGCTCAATCATACCTAGGGAAGAACTCCCTAGGGTTACAGAAACCACACTTTAGTTCAACAATCAAACCAGGTACTCCTCTCCAGCGCTCACTTTGAGAAACATCTTTCAGGAACCCCCAAAATGCTTAAACAGTACCCTCCTCCACAGCAGTGCTGTCCCCACCATATGATTTATTTACTCCATGAGAGTTTTATTTAAGACCAGAATTGAAGCGTGCTGTTATGAATCTGAGTGGCTGCAAAAGCCTAAAAACTGCTTTGTACTGGGCATTCCATTGTCAAAGCACTTCCACTCTTTAAAACCTGCGCCATAGGCCGGGCGCAGGGGCTCACGCCTGTAATCCCAGCACTTTGGGAGGCCGAGGCGGGTGGATCACCTGAGGTCAGGAGTTTGAGACCAGCCTGGCCAACACGGCGAAATCCCATCTCTACTAAAAATACAAAAAATTATCCAAGTGTGGTGGTGGGCGCCTGTAATCCCAGCGTCTTGGGAGGCTGAGGCAGAATAGCGTGAACCCAGGAGGCGGAGCTTGCAGTGAGCCGAGATCGTGCCGCTGCACTCCAGCCTGGGCGACAGAGCGAGACTCCGTCTCAAAAAACAAACAAACAAAAAACCAAAAAAACTGCACCATAATTCAGTCTTTCTGCAGATTGGAATGAAATTCTGGTCAGACCTTGCATAACTTTCTGAGGAATTATAATAGTCCCATCCTTGTTAGCTAATTTAAGTTTTTTGAAAAACCACCAAATCCCTACATAAGACATTCTCCTACTTGGCGACCCACTATGGTGATGATCAGACACCGGTACCCGAGGCAGCTTTTCAGGCGTGCAAAGCCAAGATGCGGGCCCAGACAACACAGTGGACTTTGGAGCAAGAGATTTGCCACTTATTTACAACATCTCCAAAGCATTTCTAACTTGAATATATATTTCACACAGTACCAAAACTTTTAAATATCCACAAGAAGATTTCATTTTTATAGGCAATAAACATTAAATCTAAAGGACTGGGACATAAAAAGTGTTTTAATGCCGTATAAATCACCTTTCCCTAGACAGACTAAATCTCCGAAGGTTTTAAGGACTGCAATATAAATTTTTATGGCAAATTATCTACATAGAAATTATCTGCATGAGATGCACTTTTACTTCTCATTCTCATTTACATAGTGCTGACAATCTTTTCAATCACAACAGCCAATCCAATTTGGGAAGTCAAATAAATGTGGGGAAGAAGCACAAGGGCTTAAGCTAGGCAAGGATCTTTCCTTCTTTCTCTCTGCCCCTAACATCAGCATGCAACTGGGTCTGTCCACTTCTCTACGTTAGAGTCTTTGGCAAACTTGGCCCAAAAGGGATGCTTGGCTGCTCAAATGATGAAAGAACGCTCGCAGGGGGCAAGGTGACCCTCCGTGCCCCAAACGCGCTTCTTACCAGGCAAATCAGCCCGACAGCTTCACACCACAGCCTGGAGCTGATGTTTCCAGAACTTTCCGTCTACAAGGCAAATCTTTCACGTGCAGTTTTGTTTCCTAGATTAAAATTTTAAAAGGAATCCTGTCGAAAGTAGAAATTAGAAACAAAAAGTAATAAAAATAAAAAGTAAAACAAACTTGCCAGGCGCAGTTGCTCATGCCTGTAATCCCAGCACTTTGGGAGGCTGAGGTAGGAGGGTTGCTTAAGCCCAGGAGTTCGAGACCAGCCTGGGCAACACAGCAAGCCCTCATCTCTATTTTAAAAAAAAAAAAAAAAAAAAAAAAAAAGTAATAAAAATAAAAAGTAAAAAGAAAATAGAAATTAGGACTTTTCTATCAGAAAGCAAAATATGATGTTATCAACAAACATTTCATTATATTAGTGAGTTATAAAATGTACAGCCTGCCCCCCAAATACAAGAAGACGGTATTTCTCTCCTCTCTTAAGAGTTATTTTCTAGTAATAGAACAAGAGAAACTAGCAAACATGCCCACGTTCAGGCCTGCAATTAATCTTAGCCAGCTGTCTGAAGAAGGAAAAAGAGAAAGGGTTTCTGGAAACGTTTTCCCTATTGGTTTTATTCATATAATAAATATTAAAGCTAATTTTGGGGGCCTTTCATCTAGGATAGTTTTAGGCCCTTTAATGGTCTAAAAATTTAAATACAGCTCTCCCTCATTCTCTTGCAGGGCCTAATTAAACAAAAATAGACCTAGCTCACAAAATTATACACAAAAATGAAAAAAAGTATTTTGGCAAAGGGCACCAATTTTCACTGACTCGAGCATGGCTATATAAGCACTAACAACATACTGATAGGAACAGAAAGCACATTTTAACAACATTTTTCAATTAAACAGTCACATTCTTGTGAAATAAAAATCCACGCAGACTCTCAGACTGCGTATAACGTAGTAATGATGAGACCATTTCCTCCGGCTCATTACAAAATTTTCTTGTTGAAGTGGCAATTTCTGTCCTGGATGTCTAAATGAGGGTAATTAGAAGCCCACAGTAACTTCTGAAAAACGGAACAACCAGAAGACACTTTGGGATACGGTGCCAGAAACACTCTGTTTTGCAAATGAAGGAGGTAACATTTTCTTTCCAGATTAAAAGATTCTTGATGCCAACTAACAGCCGCTTGTGTAATCTTATTTAAAATGTGCTAAAGCATTACACCACTTCACCAAATGGGAGAAAAAGGAACGATACTAAACCTAGCATTGAAAGAATCTGACCAGCATATTGCTTCTAGATTAAGTTTTCTTAAGTCCAACTGTCTTCAGCCTGCCGCTGGTCAGTGCAAGGAGAGGCTCAAAGTCCGGACTGACTCTCCGCTCCAACACAAAAGAGATGCTCCTAGATCTGATTCATTCAACAAGCCTTTTAGGGAGTGGATTTCTGGGGACAAGATGCTGAAATAGGCACTGCCCATTACCCACACAGGGTTTCCAGTTTACAAGTCTATGTCAAAGAAAAGAAAATTATCAACAAAGTCTTACAGACCATTGCATTTAACACTTATTGACACTATACAGTGGAGAAAATGATGAAAAACTGGTAGACATTCTCCACACAGAAATTCAATACCCATTCCAATTGGTTTTTAAAAATAACAATTTCTTTAAATTTAGAGAAGAAAATAAAAGGATGACTGTCCCCAAACTAATATTTGAAACCTACAACCCCAAATTCAGAATTCAATCAAATGCCACCATCTCCATGAACCCTTCCCTATTCTCCCTGGCCAGAAGTCACATTCTGGATGGTTTCTGATTATGAGTGCGTCTTCTATGACCCTGCTAAATACAGCTCCAAGAAGGTACGGGCTGTCTTATTGATCTCTGGGTTCCCCACAGCACCCCATGCAGGTCAGAAGTAAACCCCGATCATTAAGTGAGTCAAGGGATCCAGTCCTGGCTGGGTGTGAGGGCTTATGCCTATAATCCTAGCACTTTGGGGAGGCTGAGGCAGGAGGATCACTTGAGCCCAGGAGTTTGAGACCAGCCTGGGAAACAACTACTTATGAGGCCTTGTCTCTAGAAAAAATACAAAAGTCAGCTGGGCCTGGTGGTGAGCACCTGTGGTCCCAGCTACTCGGGAGTCTGAGGCGTGAGGATTGCTTAAGCATGTAAGTTAGAGGCCACAGTGACTTGTGATCAAACCACTGCACTCCAGCCTGGGCAGAAGAGCAAGACCCTGTCTGAAAACAAACAAAACAACAACAAAACAAAATAAAAAAACAGATCCAGTCTCAGACTCCAAACAGCCAACTTCACTGAATTAGAGTCCCAAATGAGACAAATAAAACATTTTTGGTGTCTACCTCTAGTGGTTAAACGTCTTTGAGAACAGAATTACAGGGTCCATAATAACTCTAAAAGATACTGCCATAGAGAAGTATTCAAAATGTGACACAAAATCATATTCCCCCCGCCCCCGCTCAAAAAAAAAATCCTGCTAAGTGATCTAACACTAAACAAGAATTAAGACATCCTACTTAAGTGACAAAAGAAGAGTTAAAAATAAGCACCAAACAACAGCCTAAACAATGTCAGGCCACACTTCAGAAATAAAAAAGGTCTCATATGAGTGTGTAAAGTGAGAAGCAGGAGATGGTGACGGTAACAGCCACAGCCTGGAAGAGTTCGAGGTTAACTTGCCCAATTCATTAACTAAATAGAGGTTAAATCAGAGTTTGAATGAATACAATTCAGAAAATGGAAGGGTAGATTTGTGTCCCAGCAGTGAGTAGAAATACGCAAGCAGAAACAAGCTGCTATTTTCGCACCAACCTCTCTATATATTTTATAAAAGGGACTCACCGTTTTTCCCCGTACTGACCCGCAAAACCAGCAGCTTAAAAAAAATGTAAGGCGCGTGTATCACTCTGATCCCAAGAACAAACCTGGTGCCGGGCCTTGCTGAGCACTTTGCACCCCTCATGCTGATTCCCACGAAGGACAGGCTGCAGGGTGGGCTCTCCTAGCCAGCTCTGACCCAAGGCGGGGGTGGAGGGGGGGACAGCTGTCCTTCATGTGAGCTCTGAACCCCGAGTCTCTCATGTCCCCATTTTGACCATGGTTGGGGATTTTAGCACCTCTGGACCTAACACCCTGTCCCCTTCCCTGGCCAGCCCACTCTCATCCCACTGTGCCGGTTTGGGGGACACTGCTGTGAACCAAAAGACTCCCCACAGCCCCCCTATTCTTTGAATCTCTAAACACTGCCGGCTTCAGGGCTCCCCGTCAACCCCATCTGCCAAGACACCGATTATCCCACGCTGGCCTTCCCTGATACTGAAGCACGTTCCTTCAAATGTCAGCCAGTGTTTTTCCTCGCACCCTCTTCCTCCAGCCAGTCCCTGCCACTGGCCTTCTCTCTCCCTAAATCCCCGGGGGCACCCCACCACACACTGGCGGGAGTGGTTCCACCATCAAGACAGCTGCCTCTCTGCTACAAAGACCCTGGTACCCCGTAGTGAAGGTGGAAAAGCTTAGTTATCCAGAAAACAGAGCATCTCAAGTCACTGGGATCGCGAGAGAGTTTCAACACCCTACAAGCGACTTGTAAGAAGGCCGCATTTGCAACTGCAGAGTTCCCTCTTCCAGGAAATTACTTCCTGAACACTTTACCTGCACCAGATGTATTTATTTGTTTATTTATTTTTTGAGATATAGTCTTGCTCTGTCGCCCAGGCTGGAGTGCAGCGGTGTGATCTCGCCTGACTGCAACCTCCACCTCCCAGGTTCAAGCAATTCTCCTGCCTCAGCCTCCTGAGTAGCTGGGATTACAGGTGCTCACCACCAGGCCCAGCTAATTTTTTGTATTTTTAGTAGAAATGGGGTTCCACCATGCTGGCCAGGCTGGTCTCAAACCCCTGACCTCAAGTGATCCGCCGGCCTCGGCCTCCCAAAGTGTTGGGATGACAGGTGTGAACCACTGCACCCGGCCCACTGGATGTTTTTAGAAGGAGAAAAATCGGTTTACTTTTCTCAAGGCCATTTTATGAATCCCATAAAGCTGGAAGTAAGTAAAAGTGTTTTCCAGCCTCAAAGGCCAATGTGCACCTGGAATAGGGAAAAAGCCACAGGGCTTTAGAAGGAACAGTACTGTTTTTCTACAAACTATCCAAAGACCCTCGGGAAACGATCTCTCTCAGCACTTTTTTTTTTTTTTTTTTTGAGACAGGGTCTTGCTCCATTGCCCAGGTTGGAATTTAGTGGTGCAATCATAGCTCACTGCAGCCTTAAACTCCAGGACTCAACCAATCCTCCCACCTCAGCCTCCTAAGTATCTGGGATCACAGGTACACATCCAACTCATTTTTTAATTTTCTTGTAGAGACGGGGTCTGGTTATGTTGCCCAGGCTGGTCTTGAACCCTTGACCTCAAGCAATCCTCCTGCCTCAGCTTCCCAAAGTGCTAAGATTACAGGCATGAGTCACTGCACCTGGCCAGCATCAGTTTTCTGATATGCAAAATAGAGGTGATACCAACTTTGTAGGGTTTCTGCAAGGAGTGCCAAAATTCAACTTTAATGACCATCTCTTGGCAAGGTGTGGTGGCTCACCCCTATAATTCCGGCACTTTGGGAGGCCGAGGCAGGTGGATCACTTGAGGTCAAGAGTTCAAGACCAGCCTGGCCATCATGGTGAAATGCTGACTCTACCAAAAATACAAAAATTAGCTGGGTATAGTGGTGTGCACCTGTAATCTCAGCTACTCAGGAGGCTAAGGCATGAGAATCACATGAACCCAGGAGGCAGGGGCTGCAGTGAGCTGAGATTGCACCACCGCACTCCAGCCTAGGTGACAGAGTGAGACTCTGTCTCAAATTAAAAAATAACCATCTCTTGTATACCAGATCCCAGGGAGAAATAAAAGAATAAGCTGGATTCACTCATCCATTCATTTGTGCAAATGAGGCATCAGGCTGGCGGTATGAACATGGAGAAACAGAATAAACCAATGTATTAAGAGGGATATGTACATGTATATAAATCTACGAACAAGTCTGAATTTAACATATTATCCAGTGGAATTAAATGGGATAAAGCACAGTGTCAGGTACAAGGAAGACATTCAATAATTTTTTTTTCTTTTTTTTTGGAGACGGAGCCTCACTCTGTCACCCAGGCTGGAGTGCAGTGGCACGATCTCGGCTCACTACAACCTCCGTCTCCTGGGTTCAAGAGATTCTCCTGCCTCAGCCTCCCGAGTAGCTGGAATTACAGGAATGTGCCACCACACCCAGATTTTTGTATTTTTAGTAGAGACGGGGTTTCGCCATGTTGGCAGGGCTGGTCTGGAACTTCTGACCTCAGGTGATCCCCCCACCTCAGCCTCACAAAGTGCTGAGATTACAGGCGTGAGCCACCACACCCGGCCTCAATAATGTTTATGGAACTCATTGACCCTCAGTGAGCTTTATTCGGGAAATCCCTAAATCCAACTTTGCACACTACAGGGTTCCTTGACATTGAATGCGTTCTCCTGGAGTGGGCACGCAGAGGGACCACGACATCTGGGCTTTCCGTAAACCAAAAGAGATCCGATGAATCATAAGCTTCTAAACAAAAAAAAAAAAAAAAAAAAATGTCACCGTCATCACCAGATCCAGTGGCAGGATTTGGTTTTTCAGTCCAATGGTCCTAAAAGCAAGAAATGTCGTATGACAGCCACTCCCAGAGGATGGTGCTTTACTGACTTAGCTGTGGGTCCTGCCCTGTCCACAGGGTGTATCAGCAGCCCTGGGGTCACGGAAATGCTCCCAATGCTGATGCCAGTGTCATGGGGAGCCCTTATCCTCCCGAATCAGAAAAAGAGGACATGGCCGGGTGCAGTGGCTCATGTCTGTAATCCCAGCACTTTGGGAGGCCGAGGCAGGAGGATCACCTGAGGCCAGGAGTTCAAGACCAGCCTGGGCAACATAGCAAGACCCTATCTCTAAAAAAATAAAATAAAAATTATCCAGGCATGGTGGCTCACACTTGTAGTCCCAGCTACTCAGGAGGCTGAGGTAGGAGGACTGCTTGAGCCCAGGAGATCAAGACTTCAGTGAACTATAATCACACCACTGCACTGTAGCCTGGCAACAGAGCAAGATCCTCTTTCTAAAAAAAAAGAAAGAAAAAAAAAGTTTCAAAAGAAAAGAAAAACAGATAACAGAGAATGGTTAAAAAGAAGAGTGAGTTTTGCCCCCATCGGAAAGAAAGGAAGATGCAGTCACAGCAACTCGGCTGCCCTATTCAGGGGCTGCCCCTCCTAGAGACCCCCTCCCCAGCAAAGCCCCTTCCAAACCGTCCCTGCAAAACTGTCCCTGCCAGCCCAGGACTCAACAACGCCCAGCAGTGTCCGGCACTGACCTCCTTCGTCAGAACATTTGCTATTGGGCCCCACGCTGTGCCTGGTCCATCCTTTGGGCAATGGTATGTGTTGCTCTGCTGAGCAGGGAGCGAAGAGTGGGGGCTCAGCAGGGTGGGGGCCATCCTGTGGCTGAGGTCTGGGGGCTCCTCTTGTTGCTGGTGAAGCAGCATCTACCCTTCAGCAAGCCTCCCATTTAGGTCACATGGCCAGAAAACACCCGTGGGCTCTCAAGAGTTTCCAATGGCAACAAGGCCAACCTGCCCATGGGAGAGAGGAGGAGCAGGTGGCCGTGCCCAGCCTCCTCCAAAGGCCAGGCCCACCTTGTGCCTGCGGTCCCTGCTCTGGGCACTTCTCCATAACATACTCAGGAACTAAATCCAGCCTCAGTGAGGCTGGCATGGGCTATCCAGGCATGCAGTGCACGTGTGGGTCCTCGCAGGGGACCCTAAGCCTTTCTTCTGGCAGGCACGGGGGCCAGGGGGCTTCTCCCCACGGGTATCGTGTTGGTGGCAAAAGCCTACACCTTGCCGAATGCCAAGTCAACAAAGAAAAGTCCACAAAAAGGTGGGTGCCGGCCGAGCATAGTGGCTCACACCTGTAATCCCAATACTTTGGGAAGCCATGGTGGACAGATCACTTGAACCCAGAAGATTGAGACCAGCCTGGGCAACACAGTGAAGCCCCATCTCTACCAAAAAAACTACAAAAAAAAATTAGTTGGGCATGGCGGCGCACACCTATAGTCCCAGCTATTCAGGAGGCTGGGGTAGGAAGATCACTTGAGCCCAGGAGACAGAGGTTGCAATGAGGTGAGATTGTGCCACTGCACTCCAGCCTTGGCAGGAGAGTGAGAACCTGTCTCAAAAAAAAAGAAAAAGGCAGTCCTATGGAAGGCAGACCCTGTAGGGTCACTGAGACATCTAAGAGGCACCGACAGCACCCCAAAAGGGTAACCACCCACATTCAGGGCCAGCAGGAGATCCAGAGAGGCCAGAGAAGTGCCTCACCTGTCACTTCCAGAGTGTCCCCCACAGAGGCATGGGGATCCTGGGGCCAGGCTGCACAGGCTGGAATTCCAGATGTGCTGCCTGCTCATGGGGGCCAGTCACTGAAGGACCCTGTGCCTCAGTTTCCTCTCCTATAAACGGCGGTGAAAATAGCATCCGCCCTGTGAGCTTGTGGGGAGAGACCGAGTAGCACAAGTCATGAGCTCAGAACAGGCCCTGGCACAGACTTAATATTCCGTGAGTGCAACGAGTGTTGTTATTCCTTCAAGCCAACAGCCTCGTCAGGGAGAGCTGGGCAAGATATCTTTGGAAAACATTAATATTTATTGAGTAGTCCACGAGACACAAAGAGGAAGTCGTCCGAGGCCATGCCTGCTCTGTGCTCGGGGAACTGGGGCAAGGGGACCTGTAGCCTCACTGAGCTGGCCTTTAAGGACAAGGGGACCCTGCGGCCTGGGCCTTCCTGGGGAGAATCCTCCCATCTTTCCATCTTTATTTTTTATTTTTTGGGACAGGGTCTCGCTCTGTCGCCCAGGCTGGAGAGCAGTGGTGCAATCATAGCTCACTGCAGACTTGACCTCCTGGGCTTGAGGGATCCTCCCACCTCAGCCTCCCGAGTAGCTGAACCTCCCACCTTTGGTTCTCTCTCTCTTCTCTCTTCCCCTTCTGACCCTGCAAGGGGACCTGCCTCTCCTGTAGCTTTAATCCAAAGGCCTTCTGGACTTCCCTGGTGGACTGTCACCATTGGCAGGTGACAGTCACCTCTGCATAAACATTGTAGGGGGGAATCTGGGCACTTGGTTCATTCCCCTCCTGGCCAGAGAGCCTCTGGATGGAGGCAGGGCATCCAGCCCCAATCAGGGCACGCCTGCCCTGAAGCTATCAAACACTTCTTAGTGAACTGGAAGATTCCTCCCAGACTCCCGCCAAAGGAGACAGACCTCAAAATGTTGGCCACATGAAAGGCTTGTGTGTAAAAATAATTCAGTTCAACAAATATTTCCGCTATATGCAAATCACAGAAATAGGCACTACAGAGGACATGCAGGGAGGGGAGGAGGCGAGTGCTTCAAAGAGCCTGGAACCCAGCGAGGAAATGAAAAGGTGGCCGAGTGAGGGCTCACAGTCGAGGCCTGCAGTCAGCCCTCCACTGTGACAGCATCACCAAAACCAGGCAGAACTGGAGCCGGGGATTCCAGAAGGCAAGGGGGAAACGGCTTCAAATCACTGAAGATCTCATTAAAACAAATCCTCTGTTTATCCAATGTTTATGGTGTCACTGTGTAAATATCCATTAAAGTGCCAAATCAAGAATTAGCACTTTCTATGCTAAAGTCAATGTTCTATATAATGCATAGAAATTTGCAAAAAGGAAAAACAGAGGACATTAAACGGAATTATCTGTAATCCATGAAACTGACAATCATTATGTATCTCTCTCAGGGATCACTGCCTATTCGCTATTCCACTTTCTTAGAGAAGCCTGCTTTCCCAGGCACTCTGGGAAGGTGTGGAGAGCATGAGTTTAACACCCACCCACCTCACACGGGGCTTTAAATAATTACCTGTCCCAAACAGCACAAGGTCTTTGGGATGAGGCCCCAACATGGCACATGGCCTTCCCTACCCCATCTAAAAATGAGTACTACAGCAATTACCGGACAGAAAAACACGTTATCTAATTATGGGAGAGGAGCAAGGAGCTCTGGAATCAGAAATTTCTGAGAACATTATCAATAAGACTGTAGGCTAACTATAAGTATATATCCCAATTACCTTGACTTGATCATTACACATTGTATGCTTACACCAAAACATCACAAGTACTCCATGAATATGTACAACTATTATGTATCCACAATAACTAAAAATTGGCCAAAAGCATGGCTCACACCTATAATCCCAGCACTTTGGGAGGCCAAGGCAGGAAGATCACTTGTGGCCAGGAGTTCACGACCAGCCTGGGCAAGTCAGCGAGACCCCCTAGCAAAATAAAATTTTAAAACTTAGCCTGGCATGGTGGCATGTACCTGCTGTCCCAGCTACTCAGGAGGCTGAGGTGGGAGGATCACCTGAGCCCAAAAGTTGGAAGTTGTAGTGAGCTATGATTGCACCACTGCAGTCCAGCCTGTGTGATAAGATCCTATCTTATAAAAAATAATAATAATTTGGGCCGGGCATGGTGGCTCACACCTGTAATCCCAGCACTTTGGGAGGTCGAGGTCGGTGGATCACTTGAGGTCAAGAGTTCAAGACCAGCCTGGCCAACATGGTGAAACCCCATCTCTACTAAAAATACAAAAATTAGCCAGGTATGGTAGCAGGCGCCTATAATCCCAGCTACTCCGGAAGCTGAGGCAGGAAAATCGCTTGAACCTGGGAGGGGGAGATCATGCCATTGCACTCCAGCCTGGGCAACAAGAGTGAAACTCCATCGCAAAAAACAGTAATAATAATAATTTAAAATTTCAAAAAAAAATTAAAGAAAAAGAAAAAAAAATAACTATAGATCAATTGCATGATCCATGGCCAGGGACTTCGTTCCTGCCCCCGACCCCTGTATTTCTTAATAGCCTCTGGCATGCTACGGGGATCTGTAACATTGGCTAATAAAAGTACAATAAACAGCAATAGCTTTAGGAACTAAAGCCAGGTTTTGTCTATGTGTACATATGATGAAAATCTCAGGCAAGCCAACAATTACTATCTCATGCTAGTTTCATCCCCATACAATGTCAATAGTTCTATTGTAAACAGAAATCACTGGCAGGATTGGGATGAAAAGGATGGCAACATTCCACATTCGGACTGTGTGACGAACTCACCCCATAACATAAATAACTTCATTTTTTAAAAGAATAATAATCATCAAGGTACATGAGTGCCACCCCTCCATATGACGAAAATTGCTGTGATAGGAAGATGACGAAATGAGCAAACATCCCCTTTGGAGGCTGACTTGAAACCTGAGCCCGAGCCAAGAGTGTTAGCGTTTGAAATCAGTCACTGGCCTGGACTCTAGATCCGCTCCCAGTGACTCAGGGCTATACATAAATCAAATGCCAAAAAGGCCAGCTCACCACCCAGAGGTGCAGCTCTCTGGAACACGCAGAACCAGCAGGGCCTTAGAGGCCCGAAAAAGGCTTTATCCCAGATTTTCAAATCCCAGGACAGCCAAGGCTGGGCGAGACAGGGAACAAGGAAACAAGGTCACTGGGCCAGTGGGGAAGTCCAGGCCTCCAGTGACCCCAGAGGGCGCCGGTCACCAAGAAAGGAAGACTCCATCCCACGCCCACAGAGAGGGGCTGGGCTTAAAGCAAGGACCCACGTGCAGATTCCTGTGTTGGCCCCTCTGGAAACATGTACATCAACAGCTGCTATATTCTGAGTACCTACTACTATGTGCAGAGCATCTACTGTGTGAGCCGCTCACTTGCTGAGTGAACCAGGCCCTGAGCTCCAAAGTGAAAAGGTGACGAGAGGTGCTAGCCTGAATGAAGACCAAGAACAGCACCCCGGCTTTATTTCTGTAGGTGTCTTCATGCACAAATGCCTTTAGAGTGGTCTTTTTTTCTTTTTTAATTTCTACACCTAAGTCACACTGACAGTAGCTGATCGTCATCACAAATTTTCATTTTATTTCAATTCCAGGAGGGTAGGTCTCTGAAGAGACACTTTTGCCAACTAGGCTAAGCCAAGTTGTGTGAGGGTGACTCTGAGATGATCCTATTGGTCAGCCGTCCCCTTCGCAACAGGGCGTGCTGAGTGACTGGTCACGAAATTCCCTAAGTTAGTGGATTACTTACTTATGTGGTATGCTTATTCACCAGCCTCATCTGCTTCTTGCTAGGAAACAAGTTCCTTTTTTGTTTGTTTGTTTTTGAGATAGGATCTCACTCTGTTGCCCAGGCTGGAGTGCAGTGGTGTGATCATGGCTCACTGCAAGCTCCCACCTCCCAGCCTCAAGCGATCCTCCCACCTCAGCCTCCCGAGGAGATGGGACTACAGGCGTGCACCACCAAGCCCAGCTGATTTTTTTTTTTTATTTTTGGGTAGAGACAAGGTCTCACTATGTTGCCAAGGTTGGTCTCAAACTCCTGGGCTCAAGCGATCCTCCTGCCTCAGCCTCCCAAAATACTGGGATGACAGGTGTGAGCCACTGCACCTTGCCCTGTGATTCTGTTTTATTGCCATAGAATGGTTCGGCTGTTCTATAAAAGCACAGGAATAAACCAATAGCATTTTTCCACTCCTGCCTCCTCCCTCAATAACCTCCACCTTCAAGGAGGTTTCTGGATGCCCAAGTGACAGAAAGTCATCAGTCCCCTTTTTCTCGGCAGGAGAACTGCCCAATCACATGGCCCTACAGCCTAACAGGTGCTGTCAAATCGCTGAAAAGGCAGGATAAGTTCTTGACAAATCGGTGGCGTCAGAAAATCAATTCCCAAATACCATGTAATTTACTGACAAGCCCACCAGGGCATTCATATTGGACGGGAACAGATTTCTTCCCTGAAAAAGGACAAAGATAAGAGCAAGAAACATATTTACATTTTGTCTGCAGACCCAAGCTCCTGAGCCAGCGAGGAGGAATCAAGGGAGGTAGTCAGTGTATCGCAAACAACTCGGGCCTGCCAGCGATGAAAATTAATGGGAAGGTAAGAAGCTGCTTTTGATGCTGGAAGAACTCCAGTAAAAACTGGTCTGTACATGGGAACACGGTGTCAGACTCACAGAGAATCAGCTTGTCTGACTTGTGGTTTTCTTGACAACATTCATCTTCTCTTGGCCTGATACAGGGCAATTAGTGCTTGTCAGCTGAATCATGTGTTATTAAGATCATTCAGGCATTTTTTAATTACGGTGAGCGAGACAGACAGTAATGAGATCTCCAGCAACTTTAACTTTCCACTTCCTTTTTAGATAAATCTTAAGCTGCCTTTTTTTTTCTTTCTTCCCTACTGATGTTTCAAAAGAATTGTTTATTCCTACAGGTAATACTTGTAACTCAGCCCCCGTTTCCCCTACCTCCAAGCAAAACATCAAACTGCGGGGGGCTCCCCCAAAATCAATCAAAGACATGTTTCTTACACATCTGCTCACTCTAATTGGACATGGGATGAGCAGCTGCTCTTTTAAAAATTGCTCTTAGTGGAGAATTTGGTTCTGGAGGACTCCTTGGGCCCACAGAGCCCCAACCCAGGACCTGGGGGTGGGGGGCCTGGCCTGGCTGGCTTCCATCCAATTCCTAAAGGGGTCATGGCCTGTGTTTCATCACGTGAACCCCACCGTCTTTCCAAAACCTGGTCTTCTTTGTAGTAACTCTTCCTGTCACGTGACACCAAAAAACCCAGGATGCATAAAAATGATTTAATCTGCTTTTATAGTCTATATTTCATTCTATTTGCTTTTAAATTAACAATTCTCAAAAAGGTTAAAGTACACTACCAGCTTCAACCTGAATCAGGTTCATCATTTCTGCCTTTTAAAATGCTCCCTTTACATCAATATTTCATTGAGGGAATCATTGTCCTTTCCTAGGAGATTTCAAATGTTTATGATCCCAGTTCCCACTCTTTATACAGCCAGGAGCCAACGTGATTTCTGAGCTATTCCTGATGAACCATCTGTTTCTTTATGAGGCCGATGAGAGGGGTCTGGGGAACGGGTGATAAGGAGAAAAGCCCCCAACACTCATTCTTGCCGGGAACGCACACCGTCCTCATTGTGAGCCATTGTTCCAAAGGCACCGAGTCTCAAGAACGTGAACTTCCGAAATTGCCAACGAGCTTTAATCCACAGTGAACGAGCAGGAAGAGAACTTTCTGAAGGAAACTTCTCCAAACCCAATGACCTGTTCCTCGGAGTTTTTTGTTTTTTCAATGTTCCTTTCAACGGTGCACATTATATAAACGCATTCTGGATATTCTCACACTTGGAGTTTTTGTGCCTTTAGTTGTTTTTAAAAAAACAGCCTTTTTAAAAAAAAATCAGCCTTTTCCTGTAGGTTTTTATACAATTCTAGACAAGGTATATGCTGCGATCCAAAAACGCCTCCTCTCCCCCAGCCCCCAGCAAAGCCACCTTTCTCTGCCACAGACCCAGTGGACTCCAGTTTGTCGCCACCCACCACCAAAGTCCACAAGTCAGGAGGTGGTAGAAGGGTCTGAGTGTGACTCTGCGGTCCCCTGTGCGCCCCCATGCAGAAGCAGGCTGTCCTGTGCTTAGAGACCCTGGGAGAACCCCACTCAGCCAGCTGGACGCTGCCTTGGGGCAGGAGCTGAACCTGCAGGAATCAATGCTGGAGCTCCACCAAGGACCCTGCGGGCGGGCCGCACGGCACCCAGGGGGCCACTTTTATCTCCCAAGAAGGCAAGGCCACAAAAGGAACTGACCACCCTCAACTGGGCCAGCCGGGAGAGCCCACTGTCAGGGGGGTCACACCACACTGGCTGGCTGGCCTCAGGCCTCCAGGGCAGGGGAAGTAAGCCCCAGAAGGCCGAAGACAACTGGAGCAATGGTAAGACCAGCCTCAACCACAGAGAGGGGCTCCCAGCCACAGGGAAGCAACTGGGACAGCCAACGGCTAGAATGCATTGATTTAGAACAATAAAGCGAAAAGTTGCATTATTTTAAAGAGCTAGAAACTAGAACTAAAATAGAAGAGAGGGAGGGGTCCATTCCAATTTCAAAGCAATTTTTAGAGTAGACCACTCTTTGTACAGGGGAGATCTGACAGACAGAAAGACTTTCATGTTAAAGCTATGTGAAGGGGGGACAGGGGAGGGGGCAAAGGGTTAAGGTCCCCCAAAGCTGAATGCAAGCATTCCCACTTCCCCACCCCCAACAAGACAACCCCAGGGACTCCTCCTGGGCTCAGATCAAGACTTCAGTTCAGCTGCAGGGAACAGTGTCCTCAAGATATGCTTGAAAAGGCTTTGAAATGCAACAGTTTCAGCTACTTAGGCATATTGGTTTGAGTTCCTGCAAAGAACAGACAGGGTCAGGATGGTTCCAGCACAGTACGAATGGGCTTCTCGCCCTAACAGAATTCTCGAAAAAAATACCATAGTTACTTCTACTTTAAGATCTCGTGACTGGGTGCAGTGGCTCATGCCTGTAATCCCAGCACTTTGGGAGGCCCAGGCAGGAGGATCACCTGAGGTCAGGAGTTTGAGACCAGCCTGGCCAACATGGCGAAACCCCATCTCTACTAAAAATACAAAATTGGCCCGGCATGGTGGTGCGCGCCTGTAATCCCAGCTACTCAGGAGGCTCAGGCAGGAGAATTGTGTGAGCCTGGGAGGCGGAGGTTGCAGTGAGCCGAGATCATACCACTGCACTTCAGCCTCGGCGACAGTGAAACTCTGTCTCTTAAAAAAAAAAACAAAAAAAGATCTTGTAAGCCGCTGGTGCGTCTTTTTTTTCTCTTTATTAATAGAATTTTTACAATCACATTGTATTGAAAAGGATCTGTTTTGAGGCTTGGAAATTGCACTGCTTTGAACAAAACTGCATCAAGGTGAGCTTTGCCAGACCCCAGCAGCGACGCAGTAATTGTGGGCTCAGGCGCACAGGGCCGGCTACTACGACATTCCCCCAACTTGGCCCCAGCCACACCTTGCCAGCCTTAGCGGCAATGACTTCAGTTTCTCAAACTAACTTTTCATCTAGCTAAGCTGCAGCCTGTTGCTGGCTAACTGCGAGGTTGGTCTCTAAAAGGACCCACCCCTCTCCTAGGCACACTCACTGACAGTCACTGCCTGTTTCCTACAAGGAAGTGGCGTTATTCCAAGTTAGTAAAATAACCAAGGGGAGGGGAGGGTCCTGTCCCACAGTAACCGATTTCATTGACTCCTTACTGCAATGTGCACTTCCACACCTACAAAACCAGGTGGTTTGTTTTGTTCTGTTGCATTCCTTTTGTGCATATAATTAGTGCAATCATGAAAGAATTAGCATTAGGGCCCTGGAGGACAGGGCTCTCTGCAGCCAGTGCTGGAGGGAAGGGGTGTAAACTGCTAAGTGTGGGTAATCTGGCAGTTCCTACAAATTCACAAACACTTAAGTCCCTGGGCCTGGCCCCTCTCCCTATAGGAATGAGTCCTGCAAATCGGCTTCCCCCTGCAGATAAGCTTGCACCTGTGTCAAACGGTGTACGCACAACATTCTTCAAGGAAGCAACCCAAATATCTATCAAAATGGAACCAAGTATATAAAATATACCTATTCATATCATTGAACAATGGTGTCGCTTTAATAAACACACACACACACACACACACACACACACACACACACACACACACAATTGGAGGGATTTTAATGTACTGATTTGAAAAGTGTAAGAAACACTGTTAATTTTTATTTATTTATTTTGGAAACAGAGTCTCGTTCTGTCACCCAGGCTGGAGTGCAGTGGGACGGTCTCGGCTCACTGAAACCTCCACCTCCTGGGCTCAAGCGATTCTCCTGCCTCAGCCTCCCCAGTAGCTGGGATTACACGTGCCCGCCACCATGCCCAGCTAATTTTTGTATTTTTAGTAGAGACGGGGTTTTGCCATGTTGGCCAGGCTGATCTCAAACTCCTGACCTCAAGTGATCCGCCTTCCTTGGCCTCCCAAAGTGCTGGGTTTACAGGCATGAGCCACTGTACCTGGCCTGTTAATTTTAAAAAATAAAAAGCCACTTGCACAAGAGTGTGCATGGCATGCTAGACTATGTGCATACAAAGGAGGGTGACACTGGTATTTGTTTCTGTGTATATAATGAAACTCTGGAAGGATACACACCAAAAAATCAACAACAGTGGGTGGGGAGGTAGGCAGATAGGAGACTTTTCTTTATGCTTTGTTTTTGGAACCAAGAGATTATATTACTTGCTTAAAAATAGGTAAGTAATACAAGAAATTCAGTGCAGTTACTGCTATGAATTGTTCCAACTTTTCTGGAAAGTAATGTAATGAAATGTACCCAAAGTCATAAAAATGTGCACACGCTGTTCACTTCTACTTTTAGAAATTTAACCTAAGAAAATAATCAGACATTAAAAATCATAGAAAAGCTGCACGGATGTACAAGGATACCCATCCCAACGTGGTGCAGAGTGGTAGTGAGGTCAGAAACTAGGAAAAAGATGAAAAAAAGATCAGAGGCCGGGTGCGGTGGCTCACGCCTGGAATCTCAGCACTTTGGGAGGCCGAGGCAGGCAGATCACTTGAGGTCAGGAGTTCAAGAGGATCAATTTGATGAAATATGAGAAATCATATAGTGGAAAACCATGTAACATGTCACTTCAAATACAGTGTGTGTGTGTATATATATATTAACTATCATTGAAAGATATTTTCTTTTTCATTTTTCTTTTTTTTTTTAGACGGAGTTTTGCTATGTTGCCAGGTCAGAGCACAGTGGCCCGATCTCAACTCACTGCAACCTCCACCTCCCAGGTTCAAACGATTCCCCTGCCTCAGCCTCCTGAGTAGCTGGGACTACAGGTGCGTGCCACCACGCCTGGCTAATTTTTTCTATTTTAGTGGAGACAGGGTTTCACCATGTTGGCCAGGATGGTCTCGATCTCCTGATCTCGTGATCCGCCTGCCTTGGCCTCCCAAACTGCTGGGATTACAGGCATGAGCCAGCGCGCCCAGCCGAAAGATATTTTCAATAGCACGGTAAACTCTAGGCTAGGACACAAAATTGTTGCAAATCAGGTTTTTTTTTTGTTTTTTTTTTAATCTGTCGCCCAGGCTGGAACGCAGTGGCACCATCTCGGCTCACTGCAACCTCCGCCTCCTAGGATCAAGCGACTCTCCTGCCTCAGCCTCCAGAGTAGCTGGGACTACAAGCGTGTGCCACCACACCTGGTTAATTTTTTATTTTTAGTAGAGATGGGGTTTCGCCATGTTGGCCAGGCTAGTCTCGAACTCCTGGCCTCAGGTGATCCACCCACTTCGGCCTCCCAAAGTGCTGGGATTACAGGCGTGAGCCACCGCACCCAGCCACAAATCAGTATTTGACGTGTTACTTCCACTCACCTAGCTTTCTGTTTACATAAGCCCACAGGGAGAAAATATCTGAATAATGCATCCTGGGACCAAACCATCGGCAGTCATAGGATTCATGGCCATCTTTACTCCCTTCACCATAATTTCTTGTAGTTTCTTAATCTTTACTCTCATTTTTTGCTTTGTAAAAATCAGAGAGAAAGTCATTTCCATTTTGGGAAAAAAAAAAAGAGTGCTAAATAGATGGTTGTTTTTCCTTTATTAGGCAAAAAGTCAGGCCTACGTAATAGAGGATGAAAGAAATCTCTAAAGGTAGAAAAAGCAGAGCTCCCGGAAGGGGCAGAGAGCGGCGCACCTACCCGTGGGCACTGTGGGGAGGGGCTCAACGCGTCTCAGGTCCTGACTGGTATTCAGATGAGGTGTCCTCCTGTGAAAGGTACGAGTGGTACACACACACCACAGCTAAAACAGCAAACAAAACACCACGACCTCGAAAGAAGGGAGGTGGAGTAGCAGGCACAGTTTTCATCCTCCCCTAGCTTCCCTTCACTGTTTGGCACAAACAGTTCTTTGGCTTATTATAGGGCAGTGTGACAAAAATACATTCTAACAGCAATTAAACACCATGTCTAACAGCCAAGTGTTTTTGGTTAATAGAGAGCTCTGCTTATAATAAGAGAAATCATTGTCTAATGCAAAGCAGCTGAAATCTAAGCCCTCGTCCCTATTTCCCATGAGTGAATAGCAGTATTTTCTAAAAACAACAAAAAACATCACCCCACTGAAGGCCTGGCATGTGGCTGACGGTACCTGAAAGAGCTTGCAAACTGACATCAGAGAGGTCTGGGTTTGCATCCTAGCTGTGATTTAAGGAAGAATGACCCAGGACAAAGGTAATCTTTCTAAACCTCACTTTACTCCCGGTAAGAGAGGGTGTGTACAAGGCCCCAGGCAAGACACTGAGACATGCCCCCCAAGTGGACAAGGAGCCCCAGTTAGCCTGATTTCTCCTTTTTGACGTCTTCCTGTCATCAAGCAGAATTGTTACAAATTAAAATAGGCTTGCGGCCAGCGCGCGGTGGGTCCCCACTAAAGGGGTGGAATGAGGTCTAACAGCAGCGGTGTCTGTCCTCGATGCTCTGGGACAGGCGGCCCCCCAGCCTGGTGTCAGAAGGTGTGATGCAAACGCTCTGAAACTGGACTCCACGCCATCAAATTATTTCATTTAGGTGCAATTGTCTTCAATGGTATCAACCACGTGGTACCCTCTACAACTGAGTGTGTTGATTTTGCTTCAAATCCTTAGAATCTTTGTTACAACAACAGATTCCCCATCTGTTTCCCCTGAGTTCACGATGCCAGGCTGGAGGGACAGAAACCCGGGCAGAACCTCGGGGTCAGACCGGGCCACACTGGCCAGCTTGAGGACCTGGGCCAGTGACTTGACTTCTCCCTGAAAAACCAGGATGATACCGCCCACCACCTCGCAGAAACGTCCTGAGAATTCAAAGACATCACGATCCTAAAAAGTTCCCAACGGTGCCTGGCACCAAGGCGATGCGCCATAAATATGTCCTTCCTCTGTGCGTGTGTCCTGCTCCTCAGCTACCGGTGGAGTTTAGAGAAAAGTTCGAGGGCTCCCAGGGAGTTCCAAATCACCATGTTTCCGCTGCTTTTTAAGTAAAATGGAGTTAATACTATCTGCCTTCCAGTCACCTTTAAGGATGCGGTGAGGATTAATTGAATAGGACATATTAAGCCCTTATTTCCTCAGAGAGAGACACCAAGGAAGCACAGGATATTATTCTATCAACGGCCTGCACGGAGATCCTCTCCACAACTGGCATGAAAGGAATGTACCATTTCACTCCCATCCTGCCTGCAATAATCCGAATTCAATTAAGCCAGAAATCTCATTCTGAGAAGCATCTCTTGTTTCACAGGCAATATGAAACCATTCCAGACTCCTGGCCCAAAGAATATGAAATATGATTTACAGTTTACTCTTTTCAAAGCATCCTGAATAGTCTAAGACTACATGAGGCAAGGGAATGCAGGCACTGTGGGCCTCTTTACTTCAGCAGTCTTCCTGTGTTCATTTTCCTGTAGATAATTCACTGATACTGAATAGAAACAGAGGCAAGTACCTATATTATTCTATCAAAAGGAGAACCTGGCAGGACGCGGTAGCTCATGCCTGTATTCCCAGCACTTTGGGAGGCTGAGGCAGGCGGATCACCTGAGGCCAGGAGTTCGAGACCAACCTGACCAATATGGCAAAACCCTGTCTCTACTAAAAATACAAAAAATTAGCCGAGTGTGGTAGTGCACGCCTGTAATCCCAGCTACTCCGGAGGCTGAGGCAGGAGAATCGCTTGAACTCGGGAAGTGGAGGTTGCAGTGAGCCAAGATCGTGCCACTGCACTCTGTCTCACAAAAAGAAGAACCTAAGAAAATATACCTCTTCTTCAAATGTAGAGAAACCTAAAATGTTTCATCTATCTCCCAATATTTAAAATAAGGAAAGAGAACATAGAAGTTCTTCCACAAATATAATTAAAGCCAACATAATACCAGGCATGGTGGCTCACACTTGGTAATCCCAACATTTTGGGAGGCTGAGGTGGGAGGATCGCTTTAGGCCAGGAATTTGAGATCAGCCTGGGCAACATAGTGAGGCCCTGTCTCTATAAAAAATAAAATAAAACATATGGGGTGGGGGGAGGGATAGCATTAGGAAAAATAGCTAATGCATGCTGGGCTTAATACCTAGGTGCAGCAAACCACCATGGTACACACGTTTACCTATGTAACAAACCTGTACATCCTGCACATGTACTATGGAACTTAAAATAAAAATTAAAAAAAAAAAAAAAAAAAAGAAGCTGAGGCCAGGCGCGGTGGCTCACGCCTGTAATCCTAGCACTTTGGGAGACCTAGATGGGAGGATCACAAGGTCAGGAGATCAAGACCATCCTGGCCAACATGGTGAAACCCCGTCTCTACTAAAAATACAAAAATTAACTGGCCATGACAGTGCATGCCTGTAATCCCAGCTACTCGGGAGGCTGAGGCAGGAGAATCACTTGAACCTGGGAGGCGGAGGTTGCAGCGAGCTGAGATCGGGCCACTGCACTCCAGCCCGGGTGACAGAGCGAGACTCCGTCTCAAAAAAAATAAAAAATAAAAAAGCTCAGAGATTTTAAAAAGGATACCCAAATGATTAAAATGGTACATTGTAAAAACTAAGTAAATAAATAAAATAAAAAATAAAACCAACATAACTTTAGTATTCTCTAACAGAGAGGGGGAAAAAATACCCTCATCTTGAAAACTTTAACCTAGAAGTGCAAAAAAGGCCTAAATCCTATTGACACATACACACACAAAAACAGATAGTGTATGTGGCTTTATTTTTTCGTAATATTTCACGCATACAGAAAAGTATAAATTCCTATGTACCTAACACATAGCTTTACCAAATTTTATCATTTTGTCATATCTATTTAAAAAAAAAAAAAAAATCATAGAAGCCCCCACTCTATCTTCTTTAGTCTCATTTTCTCCTCTCCACCTCCAAAATAATCACTTTACAGATTCTTTCCCCCCAAAAAAATCCTTCTATGGGCCGGGCGCGGTGGCTCATGCCTGTAATCCCAACACTTTGGGAGGCCAAGGTGGGTGGATCATTTGAGGTCAGGAATTCAAGACCAACCTGGCCAACATGGTGAAACCCCGTCTCTACTAAAAATACAAAAATTAGCCGGGCGTGGTGATGGGCGCCTGTAATCCCAGCTACTCGGGAGACTGCAGCATGAGAATCACTTGAACCCAAGAGGCAGAGGTTGCAGTGAGCCAAGATCATGCCACTGCACTCCAAACTGGGCAACAGAGAGAGACTCTGTCTCAAAAATAAATAAACAAATAAATAAAATATCCTTCTATGTCTGCTAGATCTTTAATAATGTAAAGTCATTGCTTTGCATCTTGAACTCACAGAATCACGCTGCACACAACTTTCTTTTCTTTTTTTTTTTTTGGGGGGATGGAGTCTCGCTCTGTCGCCAAGGCTGGAGTGCAGTGGTGCAATCTTGGCTCACTGCAACCTCCACTTCCG
The DNA here is from genome assembly GCF_000001405.40 of Homo sapiens. Taxonomy (NCBI): domain Eukaryota; kingdom Metazoa; phylum Chordata; class Mammalia; order Primates; family Hominidae; genus Homo; species Homo sapiens. Next base: position 101,871,942 of record NC_000007.14, on the reverse strand, counting down.
GGGTTCAAGCGATTCTCCTGCCTCAGCCTCCCAAGTAGCTGGGATTACAGGCACACACTGCCATGCCCAGTCAATTTTTTAATTTTTAGTAGAGACGGGGTTTCACCAACTTGGCCAGGGTGGTCTTGAACTCCTGACCTCAGGTGATCCACCCGCCTTGGCCTCCCAAAGAACTGGGATTACAGGCGAGAGCCACGGCACCCGGCCCACAAATTTTCAACAGCCCTTTCCTGTGCGAGGCGACGCTGGCAAGGTGACCACACATGCCACCACCACCCTTACTTACTTCTACTAGATGCCACCTGATGGGGGCCAGCACCACCCATGCACATCTGCATCCTTCCGGCTCTTGCACTCCCATGGAATATATGACAACAGACACTCCTGTACCTGTCTCACTGTGCACGTGCCCAAGGTCGCCTCTAAGATGCATGCTTCATCTGGGAAGGAGGCTGCTCGCTGTGCTGCAGGCACCTCCACCAAGTGGCTCTCCAGTGGCCATTCTGCTCACTCTTCTACCAACAGGACACAGGGCCCCCTGCTTCTACTGCCCTGCCAACCCCCTCTACATGCAGACTTAAGATTCTGCCACTATGATGGGTGTTAACAAAAAAAAAAAAAGGCTTTTTTTTATTTTTTAGAATTATCATGTAACTGAGTACATCACTTCTTAGTCCTCACTACAGGACCAAATTCAGTTAAGCAGAGGCCTGTATTCTGCTGATAAGCCAGGTATTCCCGGGCAGAGCAAGGCAGTCAGGAAAATGTAGCAGGATCTCCTGAACCACGGATGCTAGGATCACACAGTAAAATGCTTCAGAAAGAGGGGTGCAGAGAGCAACAGGAATGCTCTCCAATGGCCTGCAGCAGGTTTTGAGAAGAAAACATGACAGGGAACAGGGGTGTCCGCCCTGCTCTGGGCAACACCCGCTCTCCTACTCATCTGCAGCCCCTGGTGGCTAGGTCCATCCAAGGCACTGGCAGGTGAGCTCAGCTTGGGGAGATAGTTACGAAACTGACATGTGCGTGGAACTAGGCGAGGCGCCTTACTATTTATTTACAGACTTCATAAGCATCTATTCTAAAATTACTCACTACCAATTTTACAAGGCAAAACTCTATACTGTCCTCACAGCTTTAGCTGAAAACAACTTTAAAAGGGGAAAAATGAAAACTAGACCACAAAGGGTTGGAAAAATCTTGCAGAACCAGCTCTACCACTTAAGGTTGTTTGCCGCTCTGTAATCCACATCGAGCTAATTGTAAGATTTCCCTGTAAATTCAGACTCTTGAGGTTTTCACAAGAAATAATCTGAGAAGAGTCCCTAGCTTCCCTCATCCATTAATTTCTAGACAAGAGTTTTACAAAAGGCAGAAAAGAAACAGCCTTGACTGGAGTATCGCAGATCCTAAGGAAAGAATGCCCTGCTTTGAGCCTGGAGATAAATAGCACCACCCCCTCTTTAAAACTAAACATTAGGGAATGTCTCATGCCTGTAATCCCGGTACTTAAGAGGCCAAGGCGGGTGAATTGCTTGAGGCCAGGAGTTCGAAACCAGACTGAGCAACATGGTGAAACACTGTCTCCACAAAACAACAACAACAACAAAATACAAAAATTAGCCCGGTGTGGTGGGTGCAAGAGCCTGTAGTCCTAGATACTCAGGAGTCTGAGGTGGGAGGATTGCTTATGCCCAGAAGGTTGAGGCTGCAGTGAGCTAGGATGGTGCCACTGTACAACGGTCTGGGTGACAAAGGGAGATGCTGTCTTTAAAAAAAAAAAAAAAAACAAAAAAAACACTAAACATCAGGGCCTGCATGGCCTCACAAGCTGCAGCGGGGTGAGACAGCTACAAAGAGCAAAGGGGTGAAGACACCGGATGGAAAGCTACAGGTGCTCAAATGGCCCACAGGGAGGCGGTCTCAGGAGGGGGTCAGAAAAGGCACTGGGGAGGGAAGGCACAAGAGGGGGGGCACGAGGAGCCGCCTTCCCAAGGGTGGTGGTTCTGCGGGGCACCTGGAAGGGGATGGCAGACAAGCTGCCCACCACGGTGGGAAATAAGGACACAGGGGCGGAGCGCGTCTTAACAAGAGGATTTAAGATTTGGCGGAGGGGAGCCACGGGGAAAGCTGAAACCGGGGTTTACATTCCTGGGAAATGCCAGAGCCTGGCCTCCCCTGCGCCTCCCCTGCGCTTCCTCTGCAGCCTGTGAGCTCCCGCCCACCTGCTGTGGCTCGCACGTGTGTCCTGCCGTCTTCCATGGTGTCCTGAGGACACGGAGGCTCCCCGCGTGTGCACACCAACGCCTCCTCCCGCCCTGCTGGCCGCCTGACCTTGGCTGACCTTCTAACGTGCTGGTTTCCCTCCCCCGCCCCACCAGCCACTCCCTTCCCGCGCCCCGCAAATGCTGTGCTCACCCCACAGCCTCAGCCCTGGGCCTCCAGCTCTTGCCTTTAAATTCCATCCTCAGAGATGCGTTGACGCACATGCCAGGCATTAGGAGACCTGTGGCCAATTCCGACCTTTCCCCTCAACCTCTTGTGTTCAGTCCACGTGTTTATTAAGCACCTACTGTGTGCCAGGCACTGTGCTGGGCAATGAAAACTCAGCCTAGACAGGACAGACCCACTCTGTCTCTTACTCAAGGGGTCTGAAAGGCACCGCGTCCTCTGGACACAGTGATGCTCCTCTCGCCAGCCGGGGCTCTGACACAGCCCCTCTGCCACAGGTCACGCGCACATGGGGCTCATCCTGGTCTCCCCCTACCTGCCCCCACCAGCCATTCCCACATCCCAGGTGGAATGACTCCCACTCCTTCTGGCCTTTGCTACCTGCCCAAGTCCATGCCCCAGGCCCTTTGCCCCCTCGCCCGCCCTCGGAAGCCAGGAAGTCTCCACCCCAGCCGCACCATCTCCTGCGGAAGCGTCTCCCAGGGCATGGCCCAGATCATGCCTACAGCTCTGCTGGCATCCAGGGGCCTCTCCTCTCCTGTTCTCGCCCAGGTTTCCAGCCCTCTCCCCACTCTCCCGTTCAGATTCAGTCCTCAAAAGCATCAGTGCGCAAGGCCCTCTTGCTCCCGTTCTGTCCCTTCCCAAGCCACTGCTCCCATCCCCCCACGACAAATGGCCCCAGTCCTTTAACTCCCACGTCAGAGGGTTCCCCTCCTGGGAGCCTCTCTCCATCACTCCCTACAGCCAGCTCTGCCCTGTCAACCCCTAAAGCACTTCATCATCCATTCTGAGCTTTGCGGCTGATGGTATTTAACTTAAACCAACTCCTGCTTCAGTAACCCCACCCATGAAGGTCTCATTGCCAAGTGAAGGGCTCCAAAAAACAGGATCAGGTTTGCAGTGGACACAGGGCACAGGGCTGGCTGTCCAGTGGCTGTTCCATCCCAGGGCACCAAGCGCTAAGGTGCCTGTCCTCAGTGTGTAAGATGAGCAAAGGGTCCCCAACACACAGACATGCCAGGTCCCTGGGGGAAAAGACTGAGACAGGAGAAAACAGCAAGTACAAGACTCTACCCAGGAAATGCCAACACATCACAGCAGCCCAGGGGAGGAGGCGCTGGCCCAAGATGAGGCCAAGGCTCAGCCAGGGACAGCAAAGGACAAAAGCCAGCTCCACTACAGGCCTACACAGGTGCCGTAAAGGGACTGGGGATGGATGCAACAGGTTTTAACTCTACAGAAGGAAACTCGGGTCCCCAGATAAGTCTAGAAGGACTGGACTCTGGATTCCTCAACACAGAGACAACAGCTAAAGGCACAAGTGAATGATTCTACTCACAAGTTGGCTTAAAAAGAGAAAAGCTCGCCTGTAATCAAAGCACTTTGGGAGGTGAAGGCAAGAGGATCGCTTGAGGCCGGGAGTTTGAGACCAGCCTGGGTAACATAGCGAGACCTCATCTCTATTTTTTTTAAAAAAGAGAGGCCAGGCACAGTGGCTCATACTTGTAATCCCAGCACTTTAGGAGGCCAAGGCGGGCAGATCACTTGAAGTCAGGAGTTCAAGACCAGCCTGGCCAACATGGTGAAACCCCATCTCTACTAAGAGCTGAGATCGTGCCACTGCACTCCAGCCTGGGCAACACAGCAAGACCCTGTCTCAGAAAAAAAAAAAAAGTTGCATTTGGACTTTGAGTTGATTTGATTTTCCGTGGTGATCATGAATGCGTTCTGTATTCCTGAGGTGTTTTGCTTCCATATGCTTAATTCTCTAACATGGAGATGCATCAACAGTGACAGATGAAACATCAGGTTGCTTACCGGGAGGTACCTTCCAGAATGCGTGTGACGGAGCCACCACGGGCAGCAGCATCCCGCTCCTTCAGAGGGCACTTTGGATGCTCAGTTTCCCAGGCAGACTGTTTATTAAGCGTGGCCGCACAGAAGCCCTCCCCTCCCAGTGTGCCCACGGTGACCTGGTTGAAGCCACACACCACGTGCTGAGGTGTTGTGGCTGGGGCAGACCTAACACCTGTGCCTCTTGTGGCTGCCGTGAGTGGTCACAGGTGAGAACAGGGTGGCAGGTGGGCCCCTGGTGGGATTCAGAGTGCACAGAGTGAGCACCTCCCTTGATGCCTGGGGCAGGGCGAGCACATTACGAAACCCTTGAGTGTGTCCGCTGATCAACACTTACTCCAGCCATTCCTTCCCTTCTCTGATCTTTCTGGATTTCAGGTAATTTGCTTTTCTCTCTCTCTTTTTTTACTTCTATTTTTTCAAGACAGAGTCTTGCTCTGTCTCCCAGGCTGGAGTGCAGTGGCACAATCTCAGCTCACTGCAGCCTCCGCCTCCGAGGTTCAAGCCATTCTCCTGCCTCAGCCTCCCGGGTAGGTGGGATTACAGGCACCACCACGCCCGGCTAGTTTTTGTATTTTTAGTAGAGATGGCGTTTCGCCATGTTGGCCAGGCTGGTCTCGAACTCCTGACCTCAAGTGATCCACCCACCTTGGCCTCCCAAAGCGCAGGGATTACAGGCGTGAGCCACCATGCCCAGCCCCAAATACAACTTTTATGAAACTTTTTGAAACTTCTTATTCCTATATGCCTTATTCCTATATTCCTATATGCCATGGCGCCGCCTTTGTAGGTTTTGAAGTCAATAAAATGCTTAGAGGGCAAAGTAGAACCACCTTTAACTCAACGTTTTGTGCCTTGTATTGTGTACACTGACTCAGGATTGAAATTCTCCTGATTTCATTGTTACCAACAATTTATTTAACGAGCTGTTCATTGTCTCAACGGTGAATGATCAGCAAACAACTATGCCTGCTCATTTATCTACTCTAGTTTAACTTTTTTTTAAGAGACAGGGTCTTGCTCTGTCACCCAGGCTGGAATGCCACGGTATGATCATGACTCACTGCAGCCTCCAACTCCTGTGCTCAAGTGATCCTCCCACCTCAGCCTCCCAAATAGCTGGTACTACAGGCAAGTGCTACCACAACTGGTTAGTTTTTGTTCTTGTTGAGACAGCGTCTCACTCAGTCACCCAGGCTGGAGTGCAGTGGTGCAATCCCGGCTCACCGCAACCTTTACCTCCCAGGTTCGAGATTCTAGTTCCTCAGCCTCCCAAGTAGCTGGAAATACAGGCGTGCACTACCACACTCAGCTAATTTTTGTTTTGTTTTTTTTTTAAGTAGAGATGGGGTGTCGCCATGTTGGCCAAGCTGGTCTCGAACCCCTGGCCTCAAGTGATCCACCCACCTCAGCCTCCCAAAGTGCAGCAATTACAGGCGTGAGCCACCATGCCCAGCCTAATTTTTATTTTTTTAGTAGAGATTGGGGTCTCACTATGTTGCCCAAACAGGTCTCAAATTCCTGGGCTCAAGCAATCCTCCCACCTCAGCCTCCCAACATGCTGGGATTACAGGTGTGAGCCACCATGCCTGGCCTCCTCTAGTTTAATTTGAGACCTTGAAATAAATGTTCCAGTCTGCAATAAAGGGTCCCATATGATTTTTTTTGACCGGAGGCTGTAAAACAAGCATTCCAAATCTCTCTTCTTTTGGTCGACGTCAAGGTCGCCTGCGTTGCCAAGGTCTCTCAAAAACACGTGCTGCTTTCCCCTGAATCCACTGAAATGGAAGTCCCATGAGGGCCGGTGCAGTCATTTGCTCCAGTACCCACTACCTACCATTGTGCCTGCTTTCACTCAACAAACCATAAAACGTTAGCTTAATGAATGAGTGCGCACGTCCCGTGGTGGCCATCATTAAATAGCATGCTAGTATCTCCACACTCCAGGGTGCACGCACACCCTTCGGCGTTCACAAACATCCTGAGCCTACCAACTGCGTAAGAATGAATGTGGAAACGCTCGGACGCTGGCTGCCCCCAAAAGTACAGGCTGTGTCATTGCTCTCTGACAGGGGACTCCCTTGTCATTTGACAACAATACGCTAAAGTAGACAGGATTGCCAGTAAACATTTAACAGCATGAGAAACATGATAACTCCACACAGTGCACTTCTTAAAGGAGCAGCCAGGCAATTTCAGCTGAAAGAAATGAAGATTTAACTTAGCTAGTCTGCACGAACATCAGTGCCTCCACCACATCAGGAAATATGTTCTCAAAAGGTCATGTGCACACACATCCACTGCAAAGAAGAAAAACAGTTGTTCTGGGTTTCTTGACAAATCAGAACAACCAGTCTATAATAACAGCAACTGCTGGCGGGCATCTGTAGCTCAACAAACCGGACTTTGTGCACCTGGCCTCCCACAGAAGTTCCACAAGGGGACCTCGAAATGGTGTCAGCGGAAGGACTGGGCAGCCACGGCAGGGGGAACCCAGGCCCCAGGCTCCTCTTCTATCTCCCAGGGCCGAGGCTAAGGCAAAGCCTCATTCTCTCTGGGTTTTGGTATCTTTGTGATAAACTGAGAGGATTGGTCTGATTTTGGTCCGATTCTACAAAACATTTAAAAAAAAGATATACATCATGAATAATACCATGTGGGAGATAGTATTTCCCTTTTTTACTTTTTTAGAAATAATTAAGGTGGCTCATTAAATATTAATATATCATGAAGCACCCCCAGTTGAAACATGAAGCTTAAATAAGTATTAAAAATAACTATCTATTAGGCTGGGCACAGTGGCTCATGCCTGTAATCCCAGCCCTTTGGGAGGCCAAGGCAGGTGGATCACCTGAGGTCAGGAGTTCGAGACCAGTCTGACCAATATGGTGAAACCTCATCTCTACTAAAAATATAAAAATTAGCTGGGCATGGTGGTGTGCGCCTGTAGTCCCAGCTACTCGGGAGGCTGAGACAGGAGAATTGCTTGAACCTAGGAGGCAGAGGTTGCAGTGAGCCAAGATAGCACCCCTGCACCCCAGCCTGGGCGACAGAGCGAGACTCCCTTTAAATAAAAATAAAAATAACTATCTATTAGGGAAATGCAAATCAAAACCACAATGAGATACCACCTTAAACCCACTAAGATGTCTACCATTAAAAAAGAAAAAAATCCAGGCTAGGCATGGTGGCTCACCCCTATAACCCCAGCACTTTGGGAGACCAAGGCAGCAGGATCGCTTGAGCTCAGGAGTTCAAGACCAACCTGGGCAACACAGCAAGACGCCATCTCTACAAAAAAATATAAAAATTAGCGGGGTGTGGTGGTGCACACCTATAGTCCCAGCTACTCAGGAGGCTGAGGTGGATGGATTGATTGAGCCTAGGAGGTCAAGGATCCAGTGAGCCATGATTGTGCCACTGCACTCCAGCCTGGGCAACACAGTGAGATCCTGTCTCCAAAAAAAAAAAAACAATCCAGAAAATGACAAATGCTGGCGAGGCTGTGGAGAAATTGGAACCCTTGTGCACCATTGGTGGGAATTTAAAATGGTGCAACCCAAACAGAATTCCACTTTTGGGTATAAACTCAAAAGAAACGAAAACTGGGTCTTGAAGAGATATATACACACCAGAGTTCACACAGTGTCACCACAGCCAAATGGTAGAAGCAACGCAAGCATCCACTGATTGATGAATGAATACACAAAATGGGGTATACACACACCACGGAATATTGTTCAGCCTTAGAAAGAAAGGAAATTCTGACACAAGCTACGACATGGAGGAACTTTGACACTGTGCTAAGTGAACTGAGCCAGTCACAGAAAGACAATACTGTATGATTCCACTTAGACGAGGGACCTAGAGTGGTCAAAGGCATAGAGACAAAGTGGAATCATGGTTGCCAGGGCATGGTGGGGAAGAAATGGAGTGTTATTGTTTAATGGGTGCAGAGTTTCAGTTTTGCAATATAAAAAGAGCCCTGGCTGGGCGCAGTGGCTCACACCTGTAATCCCCACACTGTGGGAGGCCGAGGCGGGTGGATCACTTAAGGCCAGGAGTTTGAGACAAGCCTGGCCAACATGGCGAAACCTCGTCTCTACTAAAAATATAAAAATTAGCTGGGTATGGTGGCACATGCCTATAATCCCAGCTACTCGGGAGGCTGAGGCAGGAGAATCGCTTTAACTCAAGAGGCAGAGGTTGCAGTGAGCCAAGATCATGCCACTGCACTCCAGCCTGGGCGACAGAAGGAGACTCCATCTCAAAAAAAAAAGAAGAAAAAAAAAAAAAAGAACTCTCAAAAGACAAAGACACATGAACCAGTCCCAGCGGGACTCTTGAATCTCACTTGGATTTTCTTGTTCTGATTGAAACAAATTTTTTTTTAATTATGACATTTGTGGGAAAGTGGCAGTTTGATATTGGATAGCTGATATTGATGAATCTTTGTCATTTTTCGAGGGTGTGCTAATGGTATTGTGGTTGTACTTTTTGCAAAGTCCTTCTCTTTTAGAGATACACACTGATGTATCTGTGGATGGCAAAAGATATGATGTCTGGGATTTGTTTCAAAATTTAAGTCGGGTGAGCGATGAGAAAGTTACAGATAAGACAAGGCCAGCGACAAGTAAATAATTATTATTGAAGCTGAGTCATGGACACAAAAGCATTCATGATCTTCTTCTGTTTGGGTATATATTTGAAATTTTCTGTAATAAGTAAAAAAAAAAAATACATGAAATGCAATTATTGCTGTGAAAAAAAATAATCTGAAGCCACATTTTCCTGATAAGTTTAGTAATACGGGTCTTTATCCTCTCTGAGCTCTAAACTTTGGGAGCTCTAAACTTTCCACACACACACACACACCGGGGACTTACGATGGGAAGGAAAGGGACACCGTGGTCTCCACAACGAGCCTGATGATGAAACGTGTTCAGGGCACACTTGCAAATTACACCAGGTTTAATATGTCCCTCGATGTAAATTATGTCAGTGTGAAATCCCACCTTTTTATAGGCAGGAGGAAAAACCCACCTTTTTATAGGCAAGTCAGAGGAAAGGGGGCAGGTTCTGAGCCAGCCCAACAGAAGGGCCTTCTTAGAAACTGCCTTCCCAGTCTCTGTGCTGGGGACTTATGGAAAGGATCACATTTCACAGGCAGCAGCTGAAGGACAACCGCAGGCTGGAAGGGCAGGCGGAGGAGGCCACTGGTGGCCTGGTGTCAACCGTAAAGCCAACTGCACAGCGTGCAAGTCCCGCCTACGACAACACACAATGTATTATATTCTAGGGACCCACCAGACTGGAAGCTCTTGGAGGACTAGAAGGACTCTGACCTTCCCGCCACACACCCCCGAGACCAACAGGAGTGTCTGCTCCATGGCTAGATGCTCCATAGATGTTTCTTGAGTTTCTGACTATGTCAATAGATATCATCAATCCATTTATTCAGAGAAAAAAAAATTCAAAGGAAATAAATCAAAACATTAGGGGTGGCCGGGCACAGTGGCTCATGCCTGTAACCCCAACACTTTGGGAGGCCAAGGTGGGCGAATCATATGAGGTCAGGAGTTTGAGACCAGCCTGGCCAACATGGTGAAACCCCATCTCTATTAAAAATATAAAAATTTGCCGGGCATGGTGGCAGGCGCCTGTAATCCCAGCTACGTGGGAGGCTGAGGCAGGAGAATCGCTTGAACCCGGGAGGTGGAGGTTGTAGTGAGCCGAGATTGTGCCACTGCACTCCAGCCTGGGCCACAGAGGGAGACTCCGGGAGGTGGAGGTTGCAGTAAGCCGAGATCGTGCCACCGCACTCCAGCCTGGGCCACAGAGTGAGGCTCCGTCTCAAAAAAAAAAAAAAGTTAGGGGTGATGATAACTCTGGTACTGGGATTATGAGTGACTGACACATGGCTACCAGCCAGCCTGGGCATGCAGAAATCTCACTAGCCCATAAGCACCAGCACCACCAAATCAGGACTGGTCAGGACTTCTTCTCCACCCCACCCCACCCCACCCTACATGTGCCTCTGCAGCACTGAGCCCCCAGTCCTCCGCCTGTCCCACCCTCAGTAGACAGGGGCACCCAGGGGGCCAACCAGCACCAAAACCAGCTTTGCAGCCCAGCATCTGCAGTGCATGCCGGGCAGGCAGTTTGTTAAATTCAAATGACTGAACCATTTCCATTCCAAAAGATTGGGGAAAAAACGGGTTGCAAATTTGCACCTGTTACTGGCTCTTAACAGCTAACTGCTAAATGTGGAAACGCAGCTTCCACTTAGTAGACTCTGTTCTTTAGAGAATCAACTATTACGCAGAGACGCCATTGCACTTGAAACCATCTGCCAGACATTAAAAAAGTGACCAGGAGTATGCGTGCAAGGACTGGTGGGCGCAGCTAAAGGAAAATGTGCCAATTCCTGCGACCAGCAGACACGGGGCAGAAATGTGGGTTCGAAGGAGCAGGGTGGCTGAGATCCGTTCTAAAGCAGGTCAGGACCTAACACATTCAGAGATGCAGATTTCTAGAGACAAAAAAAACTAGTGCAGGCCGGGTGCAGTGGCTCAGCCTATAAACCCGGCACTTTGGGGGCCTGAGGCAAGAGGATCGCTTGAGGCCAGTTCAAGACTAGCCTGTCTCTACAAAAAATTTAAAAATTAGCCAGGCATGGTGTTGCCCACCTGTGTTCCCGGAACCTCACAGGCTGAGGTGGGAGGATCACTTGAGACTACCAGGTCAAGGCTGCAGTGAGCTATGGCTGCACCACTGCACTCCAGCCTGGGTGACACAACAAGACTCTGTCTCTTTAAAAAAAGGAAAGAGAGAAGAAGAGAGGGGAAGGAGGGAAGGAAGGAAGGAAGGAAGGAAGGAAGGAAGGAAGGAAGGAAGGAAGGGAGGAAGGGGAGATAAAAGAGAGAGAGGATAAAGGAAAGGAAAGGACAGGACAGGACAGGAAAGGGAGGAAAGGAAGGAAAGACAGACAGACTAGTACAATCCTCTAGTTTTATAGATGAAGAAACTGAGGCTCACAAAAGAGCAGTGGCTAGCCCCAGGCCCTGGGACAGGTGATGGCAGGTGACAGCAGGTGACACACTGAACTTAGCTCACCTCTCCCCTGGGACCCCACAGAGCATCATTCTGCCATGCCACACAGCAGAAACTCATCCTTCATATTGTTCATTTATGTTTTAGGTGTGATCGTGGTATTAGGTATTTTTTTCGAAGTGACATTATCTTTTAGAGATACATACTGAAATATTTATGGAGAAAATAATATGATGTCCTTTTCAAAATTCCAGGAGTAGGCAGGGGCGGAGATGAAACTAGACAGGCCAATAGTTTGGAACTGATCATGCTGGGGGCAGCACACAGGGTTCATTATTCTCACCTCATGTGTGTCTGAAATCTTCCACCAGGAAAACATTTTCTTAAGAATCTGTTCAAAATACCAAACAGCGACAATGCATCTATCCCCTTCAAGGAGAGTCTCTGCTACTAATCTGGGCCTTCCAAAAAAAGAAAAAAGGAAGAAGAGGATAGGAGAGGGGAGAAGGGGGGAGAGACAGAGAGAGAGAGGAAAAAGCAGGCAGAGACAGAGAGACAGAAAGAGAGAGGAAGGAAGGAAGGGAGGAAGGTAGGGAGGGAGGGAGGGAAGGAAAAAGAAAGGGGAAGGAAGAAAAGGAAGGAAGGAAGGAGCAAAGAAAGACAAAGGAAAGAAGGAAATAAGCCAAGAAAAGAGAAAGAAAGAGAAGAAAGAAAAGAAAGAAAAAGGAAAGAAGGAAAGAAGCAAAGAAAAGAGAAAAAGAAAGGACTGAGAGAGAGAGAGAGAGAAAAGCAACCTTCTGCTAGGATCTTAAAGATACTACCCATGAAGCCTTCTGGCTGGGAAAAATTTTCAAAAAGCACCATTGCTCAATAAGAAGAGGGAACATATTCAACAAGTTATCAAGTCTGCAGAGAGAACAAGCCATGTCAGTATGAGATCATTAAATCAGCATTCTGGCAAAAAACGGTATTTCCAAACGTTCTGATGACAGCTGGATCAAACCCGCCAATACCTGACAGTAATAAATACAGTTATTTGGGAAGAAAAATAGGGAGTGACCTTACAGCTCCACTGAAATAGGCCAAATACGGGAAGCTTGAGGCGGTAGGAAATGGAAAAGAACAGCTAATATTTGGCAAGCTTCCTTGATGATCAACAAATTAAAATGTTAAGGAAGCAATTTGTTGAGAAAAGATATTTTTAAAAGAAGCTGAATCACGCAGGTTCAGCCCCGGATACGGTCAATTGGTAATTTTTAAATCATTTTTTAAAAGTTAATGTGTTCAGCCTCTAGAAATGGCATTTGAGACATCGCTGAGTTAATCATAAGCCGCCTCTCCCCCAGCTCAGGTGCAGGGAGGGATGCCTTTGCTGAGTTACTCTAGGGCTCTGCTCTCAACCCCAGGCTCAGCAGGGACTGCAAACCCAGCTCTCATGGGCAGTGCCTTTAGTGACAAGGGCATAAACAAAACTATAGCCTGAAGTCGAGCTAGAGTTTCCAAAGGCCCTCTGGTTGCCGGTCCATTTTCAATCATTAGCCACCTGACCTACTTCCAAATCTAGAAAGCCAAACAATACCGGATTTCTTCAATTAAAATACTGCTGGTTTTCACAACGCATGAAGGGAAGACTTTCTTGTGATTAAACAGCCATTCCCTGGGAGACCGAGGGAAGCGGATCACCTGAGGTCAGGAGTTTGAGTCCAGCCTGGCCAACATGGCGAAACCTAGTCTCTACTAAAAATATAAAAATTAGCCGAGCATGGTAGCGAGTGTGTGTAATCCCAGCTACTCAGGAGGCTGAAGCAGGAGAATCTCTCGAACCTGGGAGGCGGAGGTTGCAGTGAGCTAAGATCGTGCCACTGCACTCCAGCCTGGGCCACAGAGCAAGACGCCATCTCAAAAAAAAAAAAAAAAAAAAAAGGCATTCGCATTCTAAGGGCCAAAGTATACCCTCACTAAACCACCACAGCTCACAACTAACTCACTCAACATAGGGCTCACTGAGCATTTGCTGTTGTGGGTGCTAAGAACAAAGTCATTGTTTTCAGAATTCAAACATTCTTTCGGGTGAGAGGAGTGGAAGACACAGGTTTTATAAGTAGGGGATCATGTGCAGATAAGTCATTGAAGAAGAAAAAGTCAGGGAAGGCGGGAGGGACCAAGAAGGGATGGGTGAGGATGGCTCCTCTGAGAAGGGGACATGTGAGCTGAGACCTAAGAAAGTAAAACCTAACCATCACAAACCAAAGTCGGCCTCTAAAATGGGATCCCCACCACCAACCCCAAAACCAGATACTACAATGCTCTTGGCCGGGTTTTTAGCCATGTGCTTGGTTAGCTGCTGCTTAACTTTATTCTTAAGGAATCTACATACTGCATTTTTTTAAAGCAGGTTCCCTGGTAAGAAACCCTACTCCTCAGAAACAACAAAAATAGTATGTTCTGTTTTCTCTTTTTTTGAGACAGAGTCTCGCTCTGTTGCCCAGGTTGGAGTGCAGTGGCACCATCTTGGCTCACTGTAACCTCCGCCTCCTGGGTTCAAGTGATTCTCCTGCCTCAGCCTCCCGAGGAGCTGGGAGTACAGGTGCGTGCCACCACATTCGGCTAATTTTTGTATTTTTAGTAGAGACGGGGTTTCACCATGTTGGCCAGGCTGGTCTTGAACTCCTGACCTCAAGTGATCCTCCCACTTCGGCCTCCCAAAGTGCTGGGATTACAGGCGTGAGCCACCACCCCCAGCCCTTACTGTTAAATGACCATGATGAAGCTGATTTCTACAAATACACCAGGAGGAAGAGCTAAGGGGGGAAAAAAATTCCCTGCAAAATAAAACGAAACAAAGCTCCTTGCAATTATGCAAAGCTATAGCACAGCTAAGTTATTCTGAGCTAACTCAACCTAGAGGGGTGACGGCCTGGCAAAGGGGGTCATCCGACCCAGCCAGACAAGCTCCGTCTTTCCCTTCCTGCTTCACTCATTTCTGAAAAGAACAGTTCCAGTTTAAAGTAACCCAGCAAATTCATCCTCAACGGGTGAAACCCCATCCTCGCTTCACCTGACTCAAAGCGTGCGCTGCTTTAATTCAAAACAGCTGACTTCGGAGGCCTACAGTCCTCATTTTTCATCCGTCCCCATCATACCAAAAGCAGACTATGTAAGTAAGAGCGGTGAAAGGCCTTTCTGTGCTGAAAACATATTTTATGTATTGAAAAGTACTTGGTGGCCACGCATCTTAACTCCTGAAGAAGAAAATAGTTATTTCTTTTTATTTCTGCAGATATTTCAAAAATATGATAGGTATTGAATGCTAGGCCTGTGACAGGCAAAATGCCCTGTAGGAGGTGCCCGGGTTTCAGAGTCAAGCACAGCCCCCAATCAGATAAGCAGAGGCCTGGGAGAGGGAGGACATCAGGACCCACGTGACGCTAACACCGGGCGGGGTAAGGGCAGGAACATGGCGCAGGCCCAAAAGTGGCCCGCGGCGGGTGGTACGGGGCAGGACAGAGTCCACCTGCTGGAGAGGATCTGAAGGGCCTCGTCCTAACAGAAACAGGAACCGGAGCTGGGCAGGACTTCAGAGGCTGAAGGATGGGAGAGGGAGGGTGCGCCCAGGAGGAGGCACAGCTTGAGCAGAGGCGTGGCTGCATGACCGCGGAGGGAGGGTTCACACCCGGGGCCTGTGGTACGGCTGGCAGGCGTGGGAGAGCCAAGGTGGGGACACAGAGAGGTCAAGGAGGCCGAGGCCGAAAAGGGACCACAGAATTTGGCTACAAGAAAGCAGTTTCAGTTTAACGATGACAAGGGAGCCCGAGTGAAGAGGAAAACCTGTCAACTCCTCGTGAAAGTCGGGAGGGTTTCTGCGTAGAAAAAAACAGCGTTCAGCAGCTCAGTTGGCTGCCGTGAAGTCATCAGAACTAGAGGAAGAGTTGGACTTGCTCTAGTGAGGACAGCTTTTGAAGTCACTAACCACAAGGAGGAAGCCTTCCCCTCTGGGCCTGCAGGAAACAGATTGCGTGGCTTTGTCTGTCCTGGCTGGGGAACGCATGACACGCTGAAGGGTTTTCCAGCTCTAGGGAAGAAAATTCATCTTTCTGTAAAGTCCACTTCGTCTTCCATTATCTACCAGACTTCTTGATGGGACCATTTTTAGAGCCTTCAGTGAAAGAATGGAAAACACTAACTTGGATAAACAATTAAGAGTAGGGAGGGAAATAGGTGAAGACGCAACTCTGATGAAATAAACAAACCGCAACCGTGGAATAACATTCTGGTTATTATGGGTCGTGATTAACGGCTCCCTGCGTTGATGGCTGAAAACTTGTGCTTTACTGCACACTTCCAGCAGAATTTAGCTGCTTTTTTCTTTCTTGTTTCCTTTTTTTTTTTTTTTTTTTTTTTTGAGACAGGGTCTCACTCTGTCACCCAGACTGGAGTGCAATGGCTTGATCATAGCTCACTGCAGCCTTGACCTCCTGCTGGACTCAAGCGATCCTTCAGCCTCAGCCCCCAAGGAGCTGAGACTACAGATGCACGCCACCACACCTGGCCAATTTTTCTTATTTTTTGTACAGACGGGTTCTTGCTATGTTGCCCAGGCTAGTCACAAACTCCTGGGCTCAAGTGATCCTCCCGCCTCAGCCTCCCAACGTGCTGGGATTACAGGCGCTAAACCAGCACTTAAGCTGCATTTTTTTTTTTTTTTTTGAGCTGGAAACTCCTTCTACCGCCCAGGCTGGAGTGCAATGGCACAATCTTGGCTCACTGCAACCTCCGCCTCTCGGGTTCAAGCGATTCCCCTGCCTCAGCCTCCCGAGTAGCTGGGATTACAGGCGTCTGCCACTGCGCCCAGCTAATTTTTGTATTTTTAGTAGAGACGGGGTTTCACCATGTTGGCCAGGCTGGTCTGGAATTCCTGACCTCGTGATCCACCCGCCTTGACCTCCCAAAGTGCTGGGATTACAGGCATGAGCCACCGCGCCCGGCCTTAAGCTGCTTTTTAACACATGGGGAGAACACAGAGAAAGTACCAAAATGAATGTTGTAACTCAATTCTAAAATACGTGAAAATATACTGAAGACTCTTCCATTGCATCATCTTGTAAATTCAGGTGAAATCCTGCCTGTCCCTACCTAGGCCTCATTTTCCTTATCAACCTATGAGAAACGACCAGGCATTTCTTGGGTCCCCAGCACCCTGGAGAAAGAGACCACTCGGAGGACACGGCCCCTCACCTCATGGTCCCCCTGGCAGGCAAGGCCACCGGGCCAATTAATGGAAGTCAGTGACCAGCAACTGGAAGGGCTACAGGGTTTGGGAGGAGATAGAGCCTCTGAGGTTGGAAAGGCGGCCAGGGTTTCACTGGGAGGCAGGGCCTGGGCCAGGCTCCAAGGGACGGGGTCCAGCCCCCAGCAAAGCATCAGCACACACTTCAGCAGGAGGTAAGATGCCACGGCACTGGGGAAATTTTTAAGCAAGAGGGAAGAGGATGCATTAACAGAGAAGAGGGAGGTCACCATTGTGGGGCATTGCAATCCAAATTGAGTCCAGGCCGGGCGAGGTGGCTCACACCTGTCATCCCAGCACTTCGGGAGGCTGAGGTGGGAGGATCACTTGAGGTCAGGAGTTTGAGACCAGCCTGGTGAAACCCCACCTCTACTAAAAATACAAAATTAGCTGGGTGTGGTGGCACATGCCTGTAGTCCCAGCTACTTGGGAGGCTGAGGCACAAGAATCGCTTGAACCCAGGAGGCGGAGGTTGCAGTGAGCCAAGATGATGCCACTGCACTCCAGCCTGGGTGATAGAGTGAGACTTCATCTCAAAAAGAAAAAAAAAGAAAGAAAACTGAGTCCATTTTTAGTCCTTTGAAGTGTGCAGGTGTGTGTGACTAAAAACAGGCAGAACCATCACTGTTGAGAATGGGGTGCCACAGAAATGGGAGACAGGGTGTCATTTCTTACTCCAGCAATCGGAGGAGGCAACTGTTAGGAACAGCCCCCACTGGCTGAGCAGTGGCCAAGAGGCACCTCACTTTATGGAGGGGGTCCCTTCCAAACACTAAGAACTTAGGAAGTTCTCGCCACCCAGAGATAAGGGAATGGAGATGCCCAACCCCTAAATGATGGAGGCAGGATTTGAGCCCAGGCCTCTGGTGCCAAAGCCCCCACTGCTTCCTCATCCCATCACCACCAAACAGGCTCCTATGCTTAGGAGACTGGCTTTCTGAGCATTTCATAAAGTTGCTCTGCAGACAGACTCCAAACTTGTGTTAATCATATGTTACCCGCTGGCAGCCCGGCTAGAAGGCGCTCACAAAAGATGACTTTGAAAGACAAAACCAAAACCGAAGTGTTTCCTATGAAACTGGTATCATCACACACAGCCTTGCCCCATGCACACATTTCAGAATTGTCCGACATCCAGTTCAACATGGCAGACGATCCTGTTTGCTTTGGAACAGAAAGGTATAAACTCACCTGACAAAGAGGACAGGAAAGCAAGAACAAATGAAAAGCCCCCAAAATCTCAGAAGCTGGAAAGCGCTGGAAAGCACTGGAAAGCCGAAGCCGCCTTTCCAGACAAGCCTCAAGATGGAGCAGGCCGCCTGCAGCAAGCAAGCTCATTCGAGCTGCAGGACTTGGAGGCCGGGCAGGTGTGCAAAATGCCACTGCGGTCAGGTCCCTCCTGCACTGTGGGCAGAAGACTGGGGTTTCTCATGACCATGGGCAGGGGGCTGAGTGAATATCCCAGCACATGCCCCAGCCTGGTGCCTAGAAGACAGGTGGTCAGACTAACAGTTCCCAACTGCACCACCCAGCAGGAACACTGAGGGCTCCTTGCTAGAGAAACTGACCAGTCCAAGAGAATGAGCCACTGATACCCATGCCTGGGGGCTCCCCGCAACTAGACACCTGGGTTAATTACTTACGGTGGGGGCCACCAAAACTGCTCTTTACCCCGACACACACACACACACACACACACACACACACACACACCCTTTCTATTGCCATGCTCTGATATATGAACAAACAACAACACGTCACTAGGCATTTGAGGAAACCTCTAACTGGGACCAAAACAAAGAGGGAAACGAGGAAAACAGACAAAGCGACAGGACAAAGGCTAAAGAAATTTGGGTCTAGCCGCACAACTGGGTTTAAGCATCAGAGAAAATAAATGGACCACAGTTATAACAGACAACCTCACAGATAATGTTGCAGTAACTCAAGTTCAAAAGGCAAATCCTGCAAGTCTATTGCAGAATAATACCATTTTTATAGAGCTCAAACTCAGGGAAGAGTAATCATATACTACTTAAGCATCTATTCATGGGTGCAGAAAATACATTATTTTAGGCAAGAGCATAATAAATACACTACTTAGGATGGGTCACCTGTCCCAGAGAGGGGGCAGGGAATAGGAGGTGGGAGGAATATACAGGTGGATGCAATTGACTGGCAAAGCTCTGATTCTTAGGGTTGGGTGGAGGGTTCCTGGGTGTTCACTGTATTATATTTTGCAACCAAAATGCATGGTATGCAACTGTTTATATATTTTTAAAAAACATTTTACAAAGTAAAGACAGTAAGAATTCAATGCAGAGGCCAAGCACAGTGGCTCATGCCTGTAATCCCAGCACTTTGGGAGGACGAGGCAGGTGGATCACCTGAGGTCAGGAGTTCAAGACCAGCCTGGGCAACATGATGAAACCCTGTCCCTACTAAAAATACAAAAAACTAGCCAGGCATGGTGGCATGTGCCTATAATCCCAGCTACTTGGGAGGCAGAGACAGGAGAAATGCTTGAACCCAGGAGGTGGAGGTTGCAGTGAACCAAGATCACTCCATTGCACTCCAGCATGGGCAACAAGAGTGAAACCTCATCTCAAAAAAAAAAAAAAAAAAAAAAAAAATTCCAACGCAGAGAACAGAAGAAAACTTTTTTAAAATTTTTTTATTTGTTGCAACAGGTTCTTGCTCTGTCGCCCAGGCTGGAGTACAGTGGTGTGATCTCGGCTCACTGCAACCTCCACCTTCAGTGTTCAAGCCATCCTCCCACCTCGGCTACCCAAGTAGCTGGGACTACAGGTGTGTGCCACGATGCCCAGCTAATTGTTGTCTTTTTAGTAGAGACAGGGTTTTGCCATGTTGCCCAGGTTGGTCTCAAACTCCTGGGCTCAAGCAATCAGCCCACCTTGGCCTCCCAAAGTGCTGGGATTACAGGCATGAGCCACCTTGCCTGGCCAAAAACTTTTTAAAAAACTGTGATGAATGTAGCCAGGAATATAAAAGATGATGCTTCCATGAAAGAACAGACCATAAAAATGTTCAAAGAATAAGAAAACTTGGAAATCTAAAATAAGATGCATAAAAGTTTAGAAAGACTGGAAGGTTGAGAAATTCCTGCAGAAAACACATCAAAAAAGACAGAGGCATGAAAGTGAAAGGTAAGGCTGGGTGCGGTGGCTCACGCCTGTAATCACAGCACTTTGGGAGGCCAAGGTGGGAGGACTGCTTGAGACCAGGAGTTCAAGGCCAGTCCGGGCAACATAGTGAGACCCTATCTCTATAAAATACTTAAAAAATTAGCCAGGCGTGGTGGTGTGCACCTGTAGTCCTAGCTACTGGGGAGGCTGAGGCAGGAGGATCCCTTGAGCCCAAGCAGTGGAGGTTGCAGAGAGCCATGATGGTGCCACCACACTCTGGCCTGGGTGACAGAGTGAGACGCTGTCTCAAAAGAAAAAAAAAAAAGAGAGAAGAAAGACAAATGAAAAGTAAGAAAAATTAGCAGATCAGGCCACAAAGTGCAACATCTGACTAACGCAACTCTGGAAGACAGAAAACAGAGACCAGGCCATAAGAACCACGCCAAGGTGCGTGTTCATGAAATCTGAGAAGAAGAAGAAAAAGACAACTCTACAAGGTGTTAGAACAAAGGACAAAAATGCAGAACGCCCTTGACGGATGCTAGAAAACGGGGAGCCAAATCTTTCCCATTCTGCAGGAAGTGTTTTCCAACCTGGGATTTGAGGACAGAATAAAGAAGATCTTGTCGGATCGCAGATATGGTCACCATCTATCAGGAAGCAATCGGAGAACATCCCCGCAGCAAATGAGAGGTTAACCAGGAAGAACAAAGCCATGGCGTACACGAGTCAGGAGATCCAAAGCTGGAGAGAGATGGGAGGAAGCCCCCGAGATGATGAGGAATGGGAGACCCAGCTGGGCAGAATAGGGGGGCCAAGAAGGGCTGTCACCAAGAAAGATGAAACCCTACCTCACTGATGGCCTTCCATATTTTAAGAGATCTATGTTGCTGGAGGAGAGTTTAGGCATACATTAAGTAGTGTACAAAGAATACTAATATTTACAAAGTCATAGCTATGGAAACACTGTATATTTGAAAATTGATTGAGCCAAAAAGAGAAGTATGACTATGCTTTTAAAAATGTATTTATTTGTTATTTTCTAAGAGACAGACTCTCGCTCTGTCACCCAGGCTGGAGTACAGGGGTGTGGTCATAGCTCACTGCATCCTTGACCTCCCCAGCTTAAGCAATCCTCCCACCCCAGCTACCCATGTAGCTGGGACTTACAGGTGCACACCACCACACCTGGATAATTTTTTTATTTTTAATTATTTTGGTAGAGACAGAGTTTTGCAATGTTGCCGAGGCTAGTCAAGAGCTCCTGGCCTCCGGTGATCCTTTTGTCTCGGCCTTCCAAAGCACTGGAATTACAGGTGAAATGTGACTATTCTGAGAAAGAGAGAGGCGTAGGCAGCCTTTTCTGAGGCCAGAATCCTCATCCATGTCTCATAAAACACATCAGTAAGTCAACACCTAACACTGAAATATCAAAGACAAGTGGTATAAGCCTGCTACTTAGAAAACCAGGGGCTGGCTGGGCACAATGGCTCATGCCTGTAATCCCAGCTTTTTGGGAGGCGGAGGCGGGAGGATTGCTTGAGCCCAGGAGTTCGAGACCACCTGGGTAACATGGTGAGATGCCATCTCTACAAAAAATACAACAATTAGCCGGGCACAGTGCTCTCATTTCCTATACCTGGTCAAGGCTGCAGCGAGCCATGATCGCACCACGGCAATTCCAGCCTGGACAACAAAGAGAGACCCTGTCTCAAAAAAAAAAAAAAAAAAAAGAAAGAAAGAAAGAAAAAGAAAACCAGGGCTGCTCTTGGGTGTAGGAAATGAGAGTGGGGAGAAGTGGGGTGGGGTTGGTTCTTTTTTAATATTAAGCCTTATAAAATGTTGATTAACAAATGAAAAATGTTTTGAAGAAAAGAAAACATGCAAAAACAATGACTACCTTCAGAAAAATTGCATTTTAAAATGAAATAAACCAGGCATGGTGGCTCACACTTGTAATCCCAGCACTTTGGGAGGCCAAGGCAGGCGGATCACCTGAGGTCAGGAGTTTGAGACCAGCCTGGCCAAGATGGTGAAACCCCATCTCTACTAAAAATACAAAAATTAGACAAGCATGGTGGCACATTCCTATAATCCCAGCTACTAGGGATGCTGAGGCAGAAGAATAGCTTGAACCCAGAAGCGGAGGTTGCAGTGAGCCAAGATCTAGATCGCGCCACTGCACTCCAGCCTGGGCGACAGAGTGAGACCCTGTCAAAAAAAAAAAAAAAAAAAAAAAAAATTGCATGAGACAATGAGATACTGTCTCATACCGGTCAGAATAGCTATTATTAAAAAGTCAAAAAGTAACAGATGCTGGCAAGGTTGTGGAGAAAAGGGAACACTTATATACACGGTTGGTGGGAGTGTAAATTAGTTCAGCCATTATAGAAGACAGTGTGATGATTCCTCAAAGACCTGAAGACAGAAATACCATTCGATCCAGCAATCTCATGACTGAGTATAGGCCCAGAAGAATATCAATCATTCTATCATAAAGATAAATGCATATGTATGTTCACTGCAGCACTATTCACAATAGCAAAGACATAGAATCAATGTAAATGCCCATCAATAATGGACTGGATAAAGAAAACATGGCGCATACACACCACAGAATACTATGCAGCCAGAAAAAAGAAAGAGGTCACGTCCTTTGCAGGGACATGGATGGAGCTGGAGGCCATTATCCTTTGCAAACTAACTCAGGAATAGAAAACCAAATACTGCATGTTCTCACTTATAAGTGGGAGCTAAACAATGAGAACACATGGACACAGAGAGGGGGGAAAAACACACTGGGGCCTTTTGGAGAGTGAAGGGTGGAAAGAGGGAGAGGATCAGGAGAAATAACTAAAAAAAAAAAAAAACTAATGGATACTGGGCTTAATACCTGGGTGATGACGTAATCTGTACAACAAACCCCCATGACAAAAGTTTACCTATGTCACAAACCTGCACTTGTATCCATGAACAATGACGTGAAATAGAAAAAAAGCTAAGATGATCCACTGTCACCCCTCTCATACCCCCAACTCAACTACCCACCCTTCAGAGAAGGACAGGGCTGACTACATAACTGGCCAAACCTGCTGCCAAGGAAGAAACACCTACTTGGAGACAGTCTTCAAGATCTCGGCCAAGAAAACAAAACCCGGGGCCCAACTTGTAAGTCACGTGGAACAAGAGCTGTATTGTGTTCATGGAACCCAAGCTCTCCAGACAGTCAAAAAAAAAAAAAATTGCCTTGCAAGTGTTCAGTTAGTCTACACACTTTTTTCAAACTCTTTTTTTTTTTCCGTTTCCTGGAGAAGGGGGTCTTGCTATGTTGCCCAGGCTGGGTCTTGAAATCCTGGGCTCAACAATCCTCCCATCTCTGCCTCCCTAAGTGCTTGCACTACAGGCATAAACCACCGCACCCGGCCACACTTTGTCTTCTGTTTGCTGTGCACTTAACAAAGCTACTAGAAATTTTTCTGATCCTTATGGTTAAGCACATTCCATAGATGGAGCCTCACTCTGCACAAAAGTGGGCAAATTCGCAACTAAATTTGGCCCCCATGGAGGCCTACCAGGCTGGGAAAATACAAGGGGGAGAAAATTCAAACATTCCTAGTCCCCTCAACATTAAGAATCAAGATCCCTCGCCCAACAAATTCTTTTGCCATCTGGATCTGAAAGGACTTCCACTTTGAAAATTTTCTCCTCGCGGTAGGAAGTTTGCCACCAAATATTAAAAGCCACAGAGGTGCCAAGTGTTGTGTGACTCACATGTTTCATTTGCCCACTGAACATTTGATGTGGAAGCTGCTCACACCCAGGAAGCTGGCTTGTGCCTTAAAAAGACATTATGCCAACTGAGCTGGGTTTAACGTGTAAGCAGATATTTTGAATCACATAAGGGAGAAAAAAAAATCAATCTCTGGGAAAAAGCATAAAAGAAATAAAACATGTAAACAACGTCAATACACACCCAGTGACCTGGGCGATCTAGGCCTCACCATTGATGCTATAGCCCCTAAGGCCAGATTATGACCATTATTTTTCTTTTAATATAAAGCAGTTTATTTTTTCTTTTCTTTTTTTTTTTTTTTTTTTTTTTTGAGTCTTGCTCTGTTGCCCAGGCTGGAGTGCAATGGCGTGATCTTGGCTCACTGCAACCTCTGGCTCCCGGGTTCAAGTGATTCTCCCGCCTCAGCCTCCTGAGTAGCTGGGATTACAGGCACCCGCCATCATGCCCAGCTTATTTTTGTAGAGATGGGTTTCACCACGTTGGCCAGGCTGGTCTTGAACTCCTGATCTCAGGTGATCTGCCTGCCTTGGCCTCCCAAAGTGCTGGGATTACAGGCATGAGCCACCATGCCTGGCCTTTAAAGCAGTTTCTATGGGTGAGCTGCCAACACCATAACACTTTACTTTCTCATTTTGAGGAGAAAATGAAAAAGCACTTTGGGAGGCTGAGGCCAGAGGATCACCTGAGGCCAGGGGTTCAAGACCAGCCTGGGCAACACAGCAAGACCCCATCTCTAAAATAAAAATAAAAATAAATTTAGAATAGTACATCAGGCACTGCCATACGTTGAGTCTCACAGAATCCTCTACACAGTAAATAGTTTTATCACTGGCTGTTTCACGGAGGAAGCAGGTTCAGCAGTGCCCAAAGTCACACAGCTAAGAAGTGCTGGAACAAAAATTCCAAATCAGATGTGCTGTCTGCCGTCCAAGACAGAGCACCCTTGGCCACTGCCTAGACAGTGGGACGCATGGCTGCTGATAGGGATCAGGTGCCGCCAAACATGGGTCATCTCCAAAACCCCAGGTTCTTATCCACTGAGGGCTGCCATTTCCAGGTAACAATATATCATGAATCCAGCACACTAGAGGAGAGGAGTTTCCCCAAAACTAAATTTTCCAAACAAGTGTTTGTCTTGGCCTTGACATTTGCTACAGCGTTGGTGAAAATACTACCTTCTCCACCAGGTGGTTGACTGTTTATTTTGTCATTTCTTTAGGGATAGGACCTTGCTCTGTTGCCCAACCTAGAGTGCAGTGGTAGAATGACAGCTTGCTGCAGCCGCGAACTCCTGGGCTCCAGCGATCCTCCCATCTCGGCCTCCTCAGTAGCTGAGACTTACAGGTGCGTGCCACCATGTCAGCTAATTTTTTTTAATTTTTTAAATTTTTTTGTAGAGACAGGGTCTTGCTATGTTGCCCAGGCTGCTCTTGAATTCCTGGCCTCAAGTTATCGTCTCACTTTGGATTCCCAAAGTGCTGGGATTACAGCATGAGCCACTCCACCTAGCTACATGTCAGGAAGTCAGCATCCATACCAGACCAACACAGCCTGCAATTATTTTTAGTCTTTCTGGTCTCCCACTATCAAGCTAGCAACTGGTCTTAATTGCTACTGTCCGTGGGGCTGCCACTAGCACCTCCTTGGCCTACTTCCAATTTGCTGTTTTAATGTATTAGCACCTTGAAGAGTGGATGATCGATACTGTCAGAACTACGTGTAAGAAAGGAGTTCGGCTGGGTAGGGTGGCTCCCGCTGGCAATCCTAGCACTTTGGGAAGCTGAGGTGGGAGAATCGCTGAGGCCAAAGAGTTCAAGACCAGCCTGAACAACATCGCCTTTACAAAAAATACAAAAAATAAAATCAGCTGGGTGTGGTGGCACACACCTGTAGTCCCAGCTACTCAGGGGGCTTAGGTGGGAGGCTGTGGTGGGAGGATCGCTTGATCCCAGGAGGTCGAGGCTGCAGTGAGCTAGGATTGCACCACTGCACTCCTGCCTGGGCAATGGAGCAACAGCCTATCTCAAAAAAAAAAAAAGGAGTTGCATTTAAAAGCGGCTTGGAAAAGGGCTCGGGAACTCCCCTGTTTATGCACAGACTATGGGCATCAGCCCTGGCAGCTGGGCCATCTATGCTGGGAGAGCTCAACTTGGAAGATAAGGGAGGAGTCACTCTATTAAAATATGAATTAAATAAAACCAATCATTCCTTTTTAAAGGATCCAGACCAGTGCTCATTTAATGTGCAAACATTCATGTGCATATGATTCACCTGACAATCTCATAAAAATGCAGATTCTGTCTCAGGAGGCCTGGGGTGGGGCCTGAGAGCCTGCATTTTTTCTTTTTTTTTTTTAGATGGAGTCTCCCTTTGTCACCCAGGCTGGAGTGCAGTGGTGCAATCTCGGCTCACTGAAATCTCCGACTCCTGGGGTCAAGCGATTCCCCTGCCTCAGCCTCCCAAGTAGCTGGGATTACATGCATGTGCCACTGCATCTGGCTAATTTTGTATTTTTAGTAGAGATGGGGTTTTACCACGTTGGCCAGGCTGGTCTTGAACTCAAGTGGTCCTCCGGCCTCAGCCTCCCAAAGTGCGGGGATTATAGGCATAAGCCTCTGTGCTCGGCCAGATCCTGCATTTCTAACGAGCTCCCAGGTGATACCACTGTTGCTGGTTCATGAATCACTTTGCCTAGCAAGGGGCTAAATCGGAACAGCACTGTTCCATAGAAATGTACGATGTGCCATGTAAGTCATGTTAACTGTCCTGGCAGCCAGCCCCAAGCCTATCTAGCCAGCCTCCTCCTCTATTCCCTCCCCACTTTCATCCCCACACCACAGGCTAAGGCCAGTGGGTCTCAGTAGGAGGTAATTCAACTGGAGCTATACACAGACAGTATTTCAAATACATACAAACAGTACCTCACCACCCATCGCCTGTCTCAACAATCGCCAATTCATGGGTACCCTCACTACCAATCGCCCATCTCAACAATCGCCAATTCGTGGCCAGTCTACACCAAGGCTACTCTCTTCATGTTTGAGAATGAGGCTAATGTTAAGAGATACAGAGAACAGGTCAGGCATGGGGGCTCGCACATGTAATTCCAGCATTATGGAAGGCTGAGGCAGGAGGACTGCTTGAGCCCAGGAGTTTGAGACCAGAGTGGGCAACATAGTGAGACCCCATCTCCATTTCAAAAAGAGAGAGAGAGAGAGATGGACAACAGAAGAAGGGTTGACACCTGTACAGTGGGTGTCCTAGAAAGAAGAAAAAATAAAGAGAGGAGAGAAAATATTTGGAGAGATAAATGTATGAGAACTCCCTAGAATAAAAGAAAAAAATAAGACATCAGAATCAAAGGGTCAGTAAAGTGCCAAATAAGATAGGTAGGTGGAAGAAATCATTATTTAGATACATTTTGGTGACATTAAAGAATAAAGACAGGCCAGGCGCAGTGGCTCACGCCTGTAATCCCAGCACTTTGGGAGGCCAAAGTGGGTGGATAACTTGAGGTCAGGAGTTCGAGACCAGCCTGGCCAACGTGGTGAAACCCTGTCTCTACTAAAAATACAAAAATTAGCCGGGCATGGGGGCAGGCGCCTGTAATCCCAGCTACTCAAAAGGCTGAGGCACAAGAATCACTTGAACCCGGGAGGCGGAGGTTGCAGTGAGCCAAGATCGTGCTGCTGCACTCCAGCCTGGGCGACAGAGAGAGAGACTGTCTCGGAAAAACAAAAAGAAAAAAGAAGAACGATGACAAGGATAAAAAGAAAAAAGAATGAAGACAGGGATAAAAAGAAAAACCAGACTTCCCTCCAAAGCAGTAAGAATCACACTGTCCTCATATTTCTCAACCGTGACTCTCTGTGCAAAAAGAAAACAGGGGAATAATCTGGGTGTTGAAGAAAAAGAATTTTGACCTACAATTTTACATCCAGCTAATGTATCACTTAAATATGAGGGTGGAATAAGTATAGACTCAGACTTTAAAGTCTCAGGAAGTTTATCACAGAAAGACTTCTTTAAATGCACTATCATTTAAAATACTTAACAAAAGTGCTCTGAAAAGGAATCTGGAGGAAAGAGACTTTATTCCCGTGGACAACGTGCAAACCAGGGAGATGCAGCCTTCCGTGTAAACAGAAGCTGCTGGGGTTGGGGGCGGGGGCGGGGGCGGGGAGGGGGACGGTGTTTGTTAATAGCAACAGTGCCCACCCAGGTTCCCAGTCAGATTTCTTTATGAATGATTCAAACGTGCTTAGGGCTGATTGGTTGACACAGCTGAGCCCTGATTGGCCAGGGCTGGTGAACTCAGACTAGTTGGGTCAGGTGAGCTCTGAAAGTCCCAAACTTAAGAAAGGTGCAGGTTTTCAGGGAACTCAGACTAAGTGTGTGACTTCCAATCTGCAAATGGCCGTCTGGCTCTATTTTAGATTTAGGCCTGGTTAGCCATTCTGGATCCATCCTGAAGGATTGGCTCTTTCAAAAGGTTCACATTTGTTCACATATTCTAGCAAGGAGAGAACATTAATACTGAAAGTCTAATACCTGGTGACGCTGATTCTGCACACCCGAGGGCCACAGTCCTATATGGCACCATTATCCTAGAATCTAAACGATCTCAACAGGCTGAAGGGAGGAAACGAGGTCCCTATCACTTAACTTGTTTGACAGAAAGACAAAGATATTAATAGCCTTTAGAAACTGACAGGAATCCCTACTCCAGGCAGTTGAAACAAGTAAGTGAATTTAAAAATCAATTATATTCTAAAAGAAAAAAAAAAGAAATGGATAGGAAAAACTAATCACATAAGTGGCTCTTAATAATTTTAAGAATAATCACAATTCTGAGCTCTAGAAGAATAAAATAGATTGCACAACTTTAAAATCCAGCAGAAGAAAGTTCAACCCTACAAAGCATTACAAGAAAAGCTTTTTTAAAAATAAGTAATGGTAAGCAGAAAACACAAAATAAGATGGCAGAAATCCTAATATAACACAACTACCAGAAATGTGTCTCAGCTAAATTCACTTATCAAAGATTCTCAACCTGGGTTTTAAAAACAAGATCTTACATCACAGATCTGCAACAAATGCAATGAAAGCAAAATGATATGGATTGGAAATAATTAAAGAGAAAAAGCAACATCAAACAAATGGAAACCAAAAACAAACAAAAAAAATAGGAGAATAGGCCAGGCACGGTGGCTCACGCCTGTAATCCCAGCACTTTGGGAGGCTGAGATGGGCGGATCATGAGGTCAGGAGATCGAGACCATCCTGGCTAACACGGTGAAACTCCGTCTGTACTAAAAAATACAAAAAATTAGCTGGGTGTGGTGGTGGGCGCCTGTAGTCCCAGCTACTCAGGAGGCTGAGGCAGGAGAATGGTGTGAACCCGGGAGGTGGAGTGAGCCGAGATCGCGCCACTGCACTCCAGCCTGGGCGACAGAGAGAGACTCTGTCTCAAAAAAAAAAAAAAAAAATAGAATAATTTTAATGTCAAAACGAATAGAATTTAACATGAAAAACATAATAAGAGTCTATACAGACATCAAAAAAAAAAAACCAATACATCAGGAAAATCTAAAGATCATGATCATGATCATACATGCAATGTAACAGTACAGCCTTAACCTAATATAATGTAACAACTGTCAAAAACTGTAGGAAGGCCCAGCATGGTGGCTCACACCTGTAATCCCAACACTTTGGGAGGCTGAGGCAAGAGGATCACTTGAGTCCGGGAGTTAAAGACCAGCCTGAGCAACATAATGAAACCCAGTCTACTAAAACTAGGAAAATTAGCTGGGCATGGTGATGTGCTCCTGTAATTCTCGCTTCTTGGGAGGCTGAGGCACAAGAATTGCTTGATCCTGGGAGGCAGAGGTTGCAGTGAGCAGAGATCACGCCACTGCGTGCCAGCCTGGGTGATGCAGCGAGACTCTGTCTCAAAGAAAGAAAGAAGAAAAAAAACTATGGGAAGAAAATTATCAAAGAAACAGTGACATGAATGTATTCCATATACCAAACAAACTGTATGACTATATGGTATATGTCACTTGTATACTGCATATATAACGTTTTTTTCTACTCAAAAAACACATTCTTTTTGAGCACATATGGAAAATTCACAAAAATCCACCATGTGCAAGACACCAAAAAGAAGACCTCATAGATTCCAAAGAACCAGGATTATGTGAACTATGTTCTCTGACCATATGTGATAAAAATGACAGCAACAACATTTTTAAAAGCCATTAAAGAAAAGTGTCAAAAATCTAAAAAATATACAGTATTAAATAACCCTTAGGTTAAAGAGAAAATTATAAGGGAAATTACAAAATGAATAGAAAATTACAAAATGAATAAAAATGAAAGCACTACATGTCAAAATTTGTGGAACACAGCTAAAATAATACTTAGCAGAAATGTTACAGTTTTGAATAGATTTATCCAAAACAAGAAAGAACCCCAATTTAAAAAGCTGAGTATTCAAGGCCAGGAGTGGTGGCTCATGCCTGTAATCCCAGCACTTTGGGAGGCTGAGGTGGGTGGCTCATGCAAGGTCAGGAGTTCAAGACCAGCCTGTCCAACAAGGTGAAACCCTGTCTCTACTAAAAATACAAAACTCAGCTGGGCGTGGTGGCAGGGACGCCTATACTCCCAGCTACTCAGGAGACTGAGGTGGGAGGATCACTTGAACCCGGGAGGCAGAGGCTGCAGTGAGCCAAGATCACACCACTGCCTTCCAGCCTGGGTGACAGAGTGAGGCTGTCTCAAAAATAAATAAATAAATAAATAAATAAAATGAAATAAAAAGCTGAGTATTCAAAAAAATAAGTTAGAAAAAAAATGCACTCAGAAAGTAAAATAATGGTGAGAAATAAGCCACATAAAAAAAAGGCAAGATTAACAAGACCAAAAGCTGTTTTTTCAAGATCAGTAAGATAAACAAACCTCTATGTACAACTAAAAATAAAGAGAAGAGTTGTAAATAAATTCAGAAATACAGAATGTAGAAATGGGAGACAGCTAGAGTTCAAAACAGATTTACAAAAAAAAAATACTATGATCACAGAACAGTTAAGTTTTAAAACCAAGATAAAATGAAAACATTTTTAGAAAATTATAAAATGCCAAAATTGGCATAAGAATAGAAAACCTGCCGGGCGTGGTGGCTCACGCCTGTAATCCCAGCACTTTGGGAGGCCGAGGCGGGCGGATCACAAAGTCAGGAGATCGAGACCATCCTGCCTAACACGGTGAAACCCCGTCTCTATTAAAAATACAAAAAATTAGCCAGGCGTGGTGGCGGGCACCTGTAGTCCCAGCTACTCGAGAGGCTAAGGCAGGAAAATGGTGTGAACCCGGGAGGCAGAGGTTGCAGTGAGCTGAGATCGCGCCACTGCACTCCAGCCTGGGCGATAGAGCAAGACTCCGTCTCAAAAAAAAATAATAATAATAATAAAATAAAATAAAGAATAGAAAACCTCAATAGACCAAAAACAAAAAAAGTGAAATGTTAAATGCCTCCCAGCCACCATTCTAAAGTCTCAGGCCCTGATGGTTTCAAAGGTGAGCTATCAAATTTTAAGATACAGATAATCCTCATGTTATATAAATTGTTCCAACACAATGTTTACCCATTTCATGAGACTAGTAAACCTCAATTCCAACTGAATAAGAAAATTATAGGCCAATTTCACTTAATAACACAGATTTGAAAACTGTATATCAAATCCAACAATATTTTTAAAATACAAGAGGAAGAAGAGTTTATCCCAGAAAGCAATAAATGATTCAACATCATATAGTCAATCAATGTAATTTACCACATTCATAAACTAAAGGATAAAAACTGCATGGACATGAATAGGTTTTAAGGAAAAGTATTTGCAAGAGGATAACGCCTATTTATACCAAAAAAAATTCTCTAAAAACTATGGAAAGGGGAGTTAAGGTAGTTCCTTCACCTGGTTAAACCTTCTACCAAAAATCTCCTTTGGTAGAAAGAGAAAGAAAAGGGCAGCCTCTATCACCACCACCATGTAATTGAGTACTTCAGATTCTAGCCAGCAAGTCACTCCACTGTAAGAATCAGAAGGAAAGGAACAAATAAAAACTTGCATTATTTTGCATATATTATTTCCAGAGAAAATGCAACAGAATCAAGTTAATTAGTAAAAATATTAACAGCAAGCTTCCCAGCTTCGAAATCAACAAAAACCAATTGTTTCCTCTATACCACAATAATCTATTAGAATTTTAAATTTTTTTAATTTAAAAAACTATAACGGCCAGCGTGGTGGCTTACGCCTCTAATCCCAGCACTTTGAGAGGCCGAGGCAGACGGATCACCTGAGGTCAGGAGTTTGAGATCAGCCTGACCAACATGGTGAAACCCCATCTGTACTAAAAATACAAAAATTAGCCAGGTGTGGTGGCGCATGCCTGTAATCCCAGCTACTGGGGAGGCTGAGCCAGGAGAATCGCTTGAACCCAGGTGGCAGAGGCTGAAGTGAGCCAAGACCGCGCCATTGTACTCCAGCCTGGGCAACAAGAGCAAACTCTGTCTCAAAAAACAAAAAAAAGAAAGAAAATTGACAAATTATTCGCATGTGAAACATACAAGGAGCTCTTGCAAATCAACAAAAAGATGGTAAACCATTTAGAAAAAAAAAAAGAGGACAAAATATATGACCAGACAATTTACAAAAGGCGAAATCTGAAAAGCTGACAAGTATAAAATGAGGCTTATCGCAAAGATCGACTTCCCTGGTGATCAGAGAAAATGACACAACACTGAAGTACCACTTTAAAACCATCTCACTGGCAAAAAATATCTCCACAAAGCACGGATGAGATTGTGGGGGAAAGAAACTCTCACGACTGTGGGTGGGGGAGTAAGTGGGGCAGCCACGCTGGGAAGCGATCTGGAGGTGCTTCGTGAAAGAAGGACCACTATCTGGCTGGATCCAGCAAGGCTTTTCCTGGATACTGGTAAGGGACGTGTGTAAGAACGTTCCTAGCAGTGCTGTGCATGGAGGGGCTTGGGGGAGGGGGGTCAGATACCACCGAGGGTGACCAGCCCCAGGGAAATGGACGTGTGAGCTAGGGTGCTGCTACGGACTGAACTGTGTTGTCCACCCCCCTCAAATTCATACATTGAAGCCCCAGCCTCCAATATGATGGTACTTGGAGGTGTGGCCTTTGGAAGGTCGTAAGGATGAGATGAGGTCACTAGGGTAAAGCCCTCATGATGGGATTAGTGTACTTAAAACAAGAGATACCAGAGAGCTGGCTTGCCTGCCTGCGCACACTCTCTGCTATGTGGCAACACAGCAAAAACGAGGCCATCTGCAAGCCAGGAAAAGGGCCCGCACCAGGAACCACGTTGGCCCGTACCCGGATCATGGACTTTCCAGCCTCCAGAACTATGAGAGATAAATATGTGTTGTGTAAATATGTGAAGCCACCCCATCTATGGTATTCTGTTACGGCAGTCTGGACAGATTAACACAGGTCAATTCTGAAGGTGGATTTTTTTTTTTTGAGACAGCGTTTTACTTTTGTTGCCAAAGCTGGAGTGCAATGGCACAATCTCGGCTCACTGCAACCTCTACCTCCCAGGTTCAAGCGATTCTCCTGTCTCAGCCTTCCAAGTAACTAGGACTACAGGCATGCGCCACCAAGCCCTGCTAATTTTTTGTATTTTAGTAGAGACGGGGGTTTCACCATGTTGGTCAGGCTGGTCTTGAACTCCTGATCTCAGGTGATCCACCCACCTCGGCCTCCCAAGGTGCTGGGATAACAGGCGTGAGCTACCGCGCCTGGCCCTGAAGATGGATTTCAATACGGCTGTCATAACAAACAAAATTCACAGGGAATGACATAGACAACAAGATCTCAAAAATTGTGGTGAGTGAGCCCAGGTGAGGTGGCTCACGCCTGTAATCCCAGCACTTTGGGAGGCTGAGGTGGGTTGATCACCTGAGATCAGGAGTTCAAGACCAGCCTAGCCAACATGGTGAAAGCCCGTCTCTACTAAACATATAAAAATTAGCCGGGCATGGTGGCAGGCGCCTGTAGTCCCAGCTACTCAGGAGGCTGGGGCAAGAGAATCACTTAAATCCAGGAGGCGTAGGTTGCAGTGAGCCGAGATTGTGCCACTGCACTCCAGCCTGGGCGACAGAGCGAGACTCTGTGTCATTTAAAAAAAAAAAAAAATGTGACGAGTGAAAAGGAAGGAGAAAAAGATTTAGGGCACAGTGCCACACTTATGAATTAAAACCACGTATACACACAAAATAGGCCACATATTTTACAAGTTTGCATCCATATAAAGGCATAATTAATAGAGTAGAATGAGGAAAGGGGGCTGAAAATGAGAACGGACCATAAAGGCAGGCAGAAAACAAGGATTTTGTTTTTCTTGCACGTGGTGTAGAAATGGGAATGTTAAAACCCTTATAATTTGACTTGAGAATTTTGGTATCCTTTTTTTTTTTTTTTTTTTTTTTTTTTTTTGACAGGGTCTCGTTCTGTCACCCAGGCTGGAATGCAGTGTCACGATCATGGCTCCCTGCACCTTCGACCTCCCGGCTTCAAGTGATCCTCCCACCTCAGCCTCCTGAGTAGCTGGGAACACAGGTGTGCGTCACCATGATGCCCAGCTACTTTTGGATTTTTTTTGTAGAGAGGGTCTCACTATGTTGCCCAGGCTGGTCTTGAACTCCTGGGCTCAAGCAATCCACCCGCCTCAGCCTCCCAAAGTCCTGGGATTACAGGCATGAGCCACTCCACCCAGCCAGATTTCAGTAACTTTAACATGATAGAACAACTGGCAAGATGTTCTTAAACATTTAAAATTATAGTGAACTGAGTTGAAATTGAGCTCGTTTCTATCCACAGAGGAGGTAAGATTCACTCATCTGAGTTGACAGACTCACTGAGATACACATACACAACTAAAAAAAGATTTGGTATTTCACTGTAACGTATGGAACCCGCCAATTTCATTCACAATTTACGCCAGCTTCTAATTATACTTTAGTGAATATTAACCATTGTAATTGCTTAATGTTTTATTGGTGGGATCTAACGTATTGAGGGACATCTGGCTTGGCAAATGGAATTCTGCTGCCTTTAGAAAACAGAGCTTAGAGGACATATGTCCTCCTCACACTCTCAAATATACCTGCACCCCGGACAAGTGCATCTCAAAGATGTCACTGTAAGTCCATGCCAAGCCAAAGCCGTGCACGGCAAGTTGCTACGACCTGGATTTTCATTATAGTGGCTTGTTTCAGAATGCTCTTCCATCTCCAAATAACACAATGGCCAACTACAAAGGATGAGGAAATTTGACTTTCCCAGGCCACAGAAAAATGGGGACGGGGCACTGCAGGACTGACTCACTCAGAGCCATCGAGGGCCCAGGTTCCTTCCATCTTTCTGCCCCATGTCCTCTGCGATTTTTACTCTGTCTCCCCTGCCCCCCACCGCACCCATGCTGGGATGATGGTAGCAGGTGGGGGCAGCCTCTTCTCCCACAGGCATGTCTCCAGGCAGACAACGGGCACTCCCGGTTTCTCCAGCCAAAACAAAGTGTAATGCCCACTGGCCGTGGGGAAGGAACAGCCAGGATTCTTTTTTTTTTTTTTTTTTTTTTGAGAAGGAGTCTCGCTGCTCTCAGAGCCTTGGCCAGGCTGGTCTCGAACTCCTGACCTCAGGTGATGCACCCGCCTTGGCCTCCCAAAGTGTTGGGATTACAGGCATGAGCCACTGCGCCTGGCCAAGGATTGATTTAGACAACCCTCAGGCTTCATAGTCCAGTGAAGGGGGTCCCTTGTTGCTGAGCAAGGAGGGCAGGTGGGGTTGGGGGAAGGGAGGACCGCGGGGGCAACCAACTCTCATCCCAAACTGCACAACAGCCATTTTTTTTGTAGAGATGGGGTCTCACTGTATTGCCCAGGGTGGTTTCAAACTCCTGGGCTCAAGCGATCCACCTGCCTGAGCACAAAATCACTTTGTGCACAGCAGTGGTTCGCAGGGGAGCACCTGCACCCCAGGAGAAATCTGAGGAAGAGACAGCATGACACCCAAGGCAGAAGAGAGAGAGATGGAACGGGCTGGGTGTTAAAAGCAGCATTCTGGAGAACAAACGGGACTTACACATAAGAGGCCAAAATGCAACAATGCAGGGAGGTAGCGACGGCTAATGGCTACAAAAAAATAGAATCAATGAATAAGGCCTAGTATTTGACAGCACAACAGGGTGACTATAGTCGATCATAATTTAATCGTACATTTTAAAGTAACTAAAAGCAACTGGGCGCGGTGGCTCGCGCCTGTAATCCCAGCACTTTGGGAGGCCAGGTGGGTGGGTCACCTGAGGTCAGGAATTCGAGACCAGCTTGGCCAACATGGTGAAACCTCGTCTCTACTAAAAATACAAAAATTAGCCAGGCATGGCAGCTGTAGTCCCAGCTACTCAGGAGGCTGAGGCAGGAGAATCGCTTGAACCCGGGAGATGGAGATTGCAGTGAGCCAAGATCGCGCCATTGCACTCCAGCCTGGGCAACAACAGTGAAACTCCAACTCAAAATAAACAAACAAATAAAATAACTAAAAGTGTATAATTGGACTGTTGGCAACACAAAGAATAAATCTGTGATGGATGGATACCCCATTCTCCACAATGTGATTATTATGAATTGCATGCCTGTATCAAAACATCTCATGTACCCCATAAATATACGCACCCACAAAAATAAAAAAATAAATAAATAAAATACAACAGACTCAAAAAGCAAAGCCCAGAGTGACTACATATGACCTGGCAATTGCACCTAAGAAAATGGAAAACTGCATTCATACAAACATTTGTACACGAATGTTCACAGCAGCGTTATTCACAATGGCCAAAAAAGTGGAAACAGCTCGAATGTTTACTAGCTGATGAAAGGATACACAAAACCTGGTATGCCCATACCAGGGAATATTATTCAGCCATAAAAAAGAATGCGGCCCAGACAGGTGCATGAGTCAATGTGGGTGAGCCCCGCAAACACTGTGCTACGTGAGAGAAGCCACAGCACGAAGGTCACGTAATCCATGATTCCCGAGACGCATGGAGGCAGAGAATAGATGCAGAGAATAGATGAATGGTTACGGGGTGCCGGGGGTACAGGAGGGAGGACAAATGGTAACTGCTGACAGGTATGGGAGTTTCTTGTCGGGGTGTTGGAAACGTTTTGGAACTAGATCGTGGTGATGGCTGCACGACATTGTGAGTATACCAAACACCTATGGATTTTAAACTTTATTTATTTATTTATTTATTTATTTATTTATTTATGACACAGAGTCTCGCTCTGTCACCCAGGCTGGAGTGCAGTGGCGAGATCTTGGCTCACCGCAACCTCTGCCTCCCGGGTTCAAGAGATTCTCCTGCCTCAGCCTCCTGAGTAGCTGGGATTACAAGCGCTCACCACACCTGGCTAATTTTTGTATTTTTAGTAGGGACAGGGTTTTGCCATGTTGGCCAGGCTGATCTCAAACTTCTGGCTTCAAGTGGTCTGCCCGCTTCAGCATCCCAAAGTGCTGGGATTACAGGCCTGGCCAGAATTTTAAACTTTGGAAAGGTAAATGTTACATTATATGAATTTTAGCTTTAAAAAAAAGTTACGGGACGGAGGTATTGTATCAAAAGAACTGCTCTCTGCACCAGGGCAACAAGCGGCACGTTTAGAACAGAAAAAAAATTTCTTTTCAAGAGTACTCTGCACCTTCTTGGTCCTCTCTAAAAAAAGGAACTTTTTAAAACTCACTGTGCATGCAAATGTTTTCAGTCTTGCTCTTTCTTTAAAAATAGAAAATAAGGCTGGGCGTGGTGGCTCATGCCTGTAATCCCAGCATTTGGGAGGCCAAGGCAGGTAGATCACCTGAGGTCAGGAGTTCCAGACCAGCCTGGGCAACATGGCGAAACCCCATCTCTACTAAAAATACAAAAATTAGCTGGGCGTGGTGGCGGGTGTCTGTAGTCCCAGCTACTCGGGAGGCTGAGGCGGGAGAATCGCTTGAACCCAGGAGGCGGAGGTTGCAGTGGGCTGAGATAGTGCCACTGCACTCCAGCCTGGGCAACAGAGGGAGACTCCATCTCAAAAAAAAAAAAAAAAAAAAAAAAAAGAAACAATCAGCTTTTCAAATAAATAAGAGGCCTCTCTCTGAAACAGAACACTAGGCACTAAAGGCCATCCCTGGGCACCGCCCTGTGGATTCCACTTCCAGATTCTTCCCTGGAAGAATCGTGACAACAGAAGTCTGGGGATAAGGAAAGGCACGTGGCTGCACAGGGTAGGACAGGATCAGAGGGGCCGGCCCAGCACCCCACCTACTCGGTACTCGTGTGAACACTGTGCGTCCCATTCTAGGACAGACTCTGCACCCCCCGTTAGAAGGAGATGCCAAGTGCCCTGATTTGGGGGGGAAAATTGCAGTGAAGATTTCTTAGCAAAATCGCCTCCTCCTAACACAGAATAAAACCAGTCTGCAAAAAGGATGCAGACTTCCTGGGAAGGCGAAAACCTGAGAGCTCTGTTTTAGGGTCTGATGCCGCAGTGTACAGGTCCCAGAGCCCTGGACTTGGCCTCCTGGAAATACTACAGCACAGTAATGGTTTTTAACCTGACATCCATCTTCTGCTCTCCCACGCCCCGAGGTGACTGTCGCACTTTCTCCCTTCTCCATAAGCTTGCTTTTGGATTCTTTTTTTTTTTTTTTTTTTTTTTTAAGAGACAGAGTCTTCCTCTTGCTCTGTCACCCAGGCTGGAGTGGAATGGCACTGTCATACGTCACTGCAGCTTCCAACTCCTGGGCTCAAGCGATCCTCCTGCCTCAGCCTCCTGAGCAGCCAGGATCACAGGTGTGCACCATCACGCTCAGCTAATTTCTTTCTTTTTTTTTTTTCTGTAGAGACAGGGTCTCACTGTTGCCCATGCTGGTCTTGAACAACTGGGCTCAAGCAATCCTTCCGCCTTGACCTCCTAAAGTATTGGTATCACAGGTGTGAGCCACCATGCTGGGCTAATTTCTTTTCTTTTCTTTTTTTTTTTCTGTAGAGATGGGGTCTCACTGTGCTGCCCAGGCTGGTCTTGAACTCCTGGGCTCTCAAGTGATCCTCCTGCCTCAGCCTCCCAAAGTGTTGGTATTACAGGTGTAAGCCACTGTACCTGGCTTGCCTTTCCGATCCTTGAACGCTTCACGTTCAGTCGAACGCACCCTCCTCCCTTTTTCTCAGGAAAATACATGAATCAGAGAAGAATGCTCTCAGGGAACCAGCCCCGAAGTTACTTTCCCAGCAAGACTTCTCTTTAACCTGCAGACAAGTCCAAGCCCTCCCACCCCTAAGCAGCTCCTCCCTGCACACCACCTCCCTCTCCGGCCCCTCCCTGCATGGCCATGGCGCTGCTCCTGGTAAGATGGGGACCAGAGGCACCGGAGCAGGCCACAGGACAGCCAGCTGACCCCCTGTGCAGCCGCTCCGACGCGCCCAGAAGTGGCAGTCCTAGTACCAAGCAGACAGGAGCCCCCCAGCAGTAGGTACCTGCCTTGCCACCAGGTATCACTATAATTAGTCATTGTCATTGAAGCTGAATGCAATTAATTACATAATTTTGAAAGGTTCGGGTTTATTTCCATTAGAATTACATCATGAAACCAGGGAATTACAAAGGATTACAGACAGAAAGCAAATAGGGATGAATAAAGGAACTCCAAGCCAACTCCCCGCGTGAGTCACGTCCAACGCCGAAGTGTGGGTCCTGTCGCCCCACTTGTGTTTGATAAACCTGTGGGGACTGACTGGGTGGACGTCTGCACGAAGCCCGCCCCTGAAGGTGCCAGCCCCCTGCACCGCAGGTGCTGGGGACACAGTGGGCTCGCTGGATGTGCCATGTCGGTGGGGGACACTGATGACCACACCCTCCACAGGCTGTTCCCTGCCCCTGCTGTTCCCCAACCTCAGTTTTTCGCACCCCTCTGGATGCCTGTGGAAATGCCACTCACCCAGCCCCATCTCTCCCATCACCCCTCAGTGGTCCCTGCCTGAAATGCCAGGGCCAGGCACACTGAGTCTGGCACGGCCACAGCCTGGCATCCTCTCACTGGGCCATGACCACCACACCCTCCTGGTTCCATTATCACCCCTCCCTCCTCACTCTAGCCCGCCTTCCATGTGGGGCTTCCAGAAGGATCCTCTAAGACACACCCCAACAACTGAACCATCCCTCTTCAGTTTAAAAATCGGGGCTAGGCATGGCAGCTCAGGCCTGGAATCCCAGCACTTTCGGAGGCTAAGGCAGGAGGATCGCCTGAGGCCAGGAGTTCAAGACCAGCCTGGGC
The DNA here is from genome assembly GCF_000001405.40 of Homo sapiens. Classification (NCBI taxonomy): domain Eukaryota; kingdom Metazoa; phylum Chordata; class Mammalia; order Primates; family Hominidae; genus Homo; species Homo sapiens. The sequence continues at coordinate 101,831,951 of NC_000007.14, read as the reverse complement.
AACACAGTGAGACCCCCCCATCTCTACAAAAAATACAAAAAAGTTAGCCTGGCATGGTGGCGCATGCCTGTAATTCCAGCTACTCGGGAACCTGAGGTGGGAGGATAGCTTGAGCCCGGGAGGTCAAAGCTGCAGTGAGCTATAATCACACCACTGTACTGGAGCCTGGGCGACAGAGCGAGACTCTGTCTCTAAATAATAATAATAATAATAATAAAGTTATTTCTCAGGGCCTTCAGAAGACAGAAGTGACTCTGTGGGGCTTTGTGTATCAGTCCTGCTCCGTCTGTTCCCAGGCCACTGGGCACTCACTTATTCCTTGCCTTTGTCTTCCATCCCCCTTGCAAGAATGTCAGTTCCGGCCAGGCATGGTGGCTCACGGCTGTAATCCCAGCACTTTGGGAGGCTGACGTGGGTGGATCACCTGAGGTCAGGAGTTCGAGACCAGCCAGGCCAACATGGCAAAACCCCGCCTCTACTAAAAATACAGAAAATTAGCCCGGCGTGGTGGTGCACACCTGTAATCCCAACCATTCAGGAGGCTGAGACAGGAGAATCACTTGAACCCAGGAAGCAGAGGTTGCAGTGAGCCGAGATTGCACCACTGCACTTTAGCCTGGACGACAAAGCAAGACTCCATCTCGAAAAAAAAAAAAGAATGTCAGTTCCTTAAGGGCAAGGATTCCCTACTGTCTGGTCACTCAATCCCTATGCTAGAATGCTGCCCGGCACACAGGAGACACTCAATAAATGCTCAACAACAGCCTAAGGAAGTCTTTGGAGCAAGACAGCCAGAGTCCATCTTCCCAAACCCCTGCCCTGTTCACACAGCAGACACACCCAACCCGCTGCCATTGGACACCTCGCGATACCCCAATGTGTCCTGCATTCTCTGACCAACCAGCAGGCCAGAAGTATATTTCTTTGGGTAACCCAGGGGCTTGAACAGGATCCATTCGAGTCATCAGGTACCATGGAGTGTGCTCAGAACACGAATGGATGCACGGCCCCAACAACCTATGAAAAAAATGAATCACCCCAAAACACACGGAACTGCCAACAACTTCACTCGAATGTGCTGTGTTATTTCTGAGACCAGGGCACATTTTTGCATATTTTGTCTTTAAATTTATAAATTTTTAACAAAACAAAGTGCATCATTATAAAAAAATCAGGCAGGCAAGAGTTATCTGGGCCAGGCGTGGTGGCTCACGCTTATATAATCCCGGCACTTTGGGAGGCTGAGGCAGGAGGATCACTTGAGCCTAGGAGTTTGAGACCAGCCTGGCCAACATACTAAGACCCTGTTTGTATAAAAATATGTAAAAAAAATTAGCCAGGCATGGTGGGGCACACCTGTGGTCCCAGCTACAAAGGAGGCTGAGGCAGGAGGATCACTTGAGCCTGGGAGTTCGCGGTTGCAGAGAGCTATGATCCCACCACTGCAGTCCACAACAGATCAAGACCCTGTCTCAAAACAACAACAACAAAAGCATCTGAATCCAGAGTGGCCCAAAACCTCAGTTTTCCAGTCCAATGATAATTCCCCGAGGAAAAGAAGCTAAGATCTCAGGGATGTCGCTGTGACCAGGCTGTTTCAGGCCAGTCGGCCACTGGTACATGTCTTATGAAATCAGTCTCTTAGAAAACACACGCCCAACATCCCATGTAGCTCAGAACAGAAGCCTGCGTGGTGGGTGCTGCCCCGACCATGTCAGGGGATCTGCATGGATTTGAGTGCGGTATCACTGCAGGGGCTACATCAACCAGTTTCCCAGGGGCTTGGAGAGTGGGGATCTGGTCTTGACCGTCACAGGGTTAAGTACAGGTATCAGTATCTACGGGCAATTCACTCCCCAGCACCCAGGGGCATAGCCCCAGCATCTCAGAGGAAAGTCTTGTAAAGAGACACCCCATCTAGCACTCACCGAACCGCCCACAGATAGGGCAGGCCGCTCCTCTGGGCCCCTCCGGCCCCATGACCAGGCCTCTCTCCTAACAGTTCCCCAAAACTGTCCCAACAAACTTGCTTCAGGCAAGGATGGGGCATCTGAGGATAGTGAGTAATGCAACAGGGGGGCTCCTTACAGCCTGAGCCACAACCGTACCCCAACTATCAGATGAAGTTTGCTAATGGGAATGATGGGGCAGCCGTGATTCTATCATCAGATGACCCTTCTCTGCGGGGCTGAGTTTGAAGTCTTGCCAGGGCAAGGCTCCAGCCAGGCGTCCCTGAGAAAGTGCTCCCCTCAAGCCCACCCACCCCGGCCCCATTTCCATCCCCTGCTGCTCACTGCTAAGTGACCCAGACCCAGCCAAGCTCATCTTGGGCGGCCCCTGAGAAGAGGTCCCTTCTGAGTCACCCGATGACCCCACTGCTTCGGCTGAGGGTTGTCTAGGGAACAGCGCAGGTCGGGAGGAAAAACACTCCTGGAGCTCAGCAAAGTCCGGGATGTAACCCCAACTCCCGGCTTCTCACCTATGGCAGGTACGCAGCTCCATAGGGCTGTCATGCAAGTAACATGAAATAAACCAAGAGCCTAAGCCCGTGTCCGTCCGCCATCTGTTCCCATGAAACCATTACTGTTAGTGCACAAAAACATAAAAATACAAAACAAAAATAGAAAAGCTCCTGTCTTGTCACCAGTGGATGTAAAACTGTAGATATGGTATGTGGAACCCAATCCTACAAGCAAATATTCTCCCTCTCCACTACTCCTTTTGCTGAAACATCAAGCCGTCCTCACTCCAGAACAGGGAAAGTCAAGACAAAGGGGTGCTGTGCCAGTTCAAGTTAATTCTTCACCCCACCCCACCCCAAGTGATGCAAAACTCTCCAGCACCAGCCAACACTCCAACAAAATCCTCCCCGGGCTTCAAACTCCAGGTTTCAACTCATCTTCCAGACTTTGGCACCCACTTTTCCACTGACCTTAAAGCCTCCTTTTCCCCAGGGGCTCGACCCCTGGAATTCCCTCCCACCAGCCCCCCAAAACCTCCATATCCCAAAGGGGGCACACCCCTTCCCCCTGCCTGGGGTGGCTCCTCTCCCTCCACCCTGTCCCTGCAGATGCTAAGCCCACCCCCCATCAGCCACCCGCAATGGGCCTGGGCATCCTGCCTCTCTAAGCCCTCCTCTCCCAGCCCTCACTTCCCCAAATCCAAGCAAATGCTTCTGCAGCCAGACAGTGATGTCACCTCTACAAAAATATCCTAGGTAGTTTCTTAGACTAAATGAAGAGGCACAAAGCCTATGAGGGCCACTGCTCTGAAATGGGGCCGACCTGGAGCGGGGCGTGCCTTTGCCCAGACACAGGGACGGGGTCTGGGGGACAAGGCAGACGTGAGACATTCCTCCGATGCTGACACCCAAACCTCTGTGTTTCTTGCTGCTGGGTTTCTCTTAGATTTTTTTGGGTTTTGAGAACTACAACATGCACTTTCCCCGTTCGTTCATATGGGGAAGTTTCCTCCCACTCAGGCTGTCAGCAGAGTCAAACAGACCTCTGTCAAAAAATTGTTCTGCCCAATGCTGTTTTTAAAAATGTGGATCTTTTTGTGTTCTATGTGCCACAGGTACAATTATACATATAGCTGACTCTTGAACAACACAGGTTTGAACTGTGTGGGGCCACTTACACGCAGATTTTTTTTTTTCCATAATAAAAGTGACATTGAGTGGGGCTGGGTATGGTGGCTCCCACCCGTCATCCCAGCACTTTGGGAGGCCGAAGCGGACAGATCATCTGAGGTCAGGAATTCTGAGACCAACCTGGCCAACACGGTGAAACCCATCTCTACTATAAAAATTAGCTGGGTGTAGTAGTGGGTGCCTGTAGTCCCAGCTACTCAGGAGGCTGAGGCAGGAGAATCACTTGAACCTGGGAGGCGAAGGTTGCAGTGAGTCGAGATCCGCCACCGCACTCCAGCCTGGGTGACAGGGTAAAACTCCCATCTCAAAAAAAAAAAAAAAAAAAACAAGTTATACCAATTGGGCCTGCTTCTCCCGACTCCCCCTCCACCTGCTCCAGCCCTTCCATCTCCACCACCTTGAAACAACAAGACCAACGCCTCCTCTTCCTCCTCAGACTCCTCAACATGAAGGCAAAGAGAATGAGGACCTTTATGATGATCCATTCTATATTCTGATTAGTAAATATATTCTCTCTTCCTTACAACTTTCTTAATAACATTTTCTTTAGCTTACTTCATTCTAAGAATACAGTATATCACACATATTAACATACAAAATACATGTTAAGCAACTGTTTATGTTATCGGTAAGGCTTCCCATCAGCGGTAGGCTATTAGTAATTAAGTTTTTGGGGAATGAAAAGTTTTATGTGGGCCTGGTGGCTCATGCCTATAATCTCAGCTCTTTAGGAGGCTGGGACAGGAAGATTACTTGAACCCAGGAGCTCAAGACCAGCCTGGGCAACAAAGCAAGACCCTGTCTCTAAAAAAAGAAAAAAATTAAAAATTAGCCAGGCATGCTGGTGAGTGTCTGTAGTTCCAGCTACTGGGAGGCTGATGTGGGAGGACTGCTTGAGCCCCGGATGTCCAGGCTGCAGTCAGCTATGATTATGTCACTGCACTCTAACCTGGGTGACAGAATGAGACCCCGTCTGAAAAGGAAGGGAAAGGAAAAGAAAAGAAAAGAAGAGAAGAGAAGAGAAGAGAAGAGAAGAGAAGAGAAGAGAAGAGAAGGAGGGGAGGGGAGAAAAAAAGTTATACGTGGATTTTTGACTGTGCAGGTGGGGTAGGGGGAACAGCAGAAGGGATCAGCCCCTAATCCCCATGTTGTTCAAGGGTCAACTGTATTTTAACCAACACTTATGTTACTTTGCAAAGAAAGATAATTAATGGGACTGAAAAAGTAACACTTATGTTACTTTGCACAGAAAGATAATTAATGGGACTGAAAAAGAAACATCTATTCCATAGGTGTACCTATCAGTAGCTTTCAAAACACAGCCATTTTAATATAATCTACCTGCTTTCACTATATTAAAAAAAAGAATTAATTTTGCATTCTTAACCAGCTGAATGAGTCCTAAATCGGACACACAAGGCAGAGAGTGGGGGCCTGTGTGGCGATGGTGTGGTGGGTACCCAAGGGATAATCAGGGCAGAGGGAGGGAACCCAAGCTCAGAGGGGAGCCCTAGAGATCCCCGGCCACCCCACGACTGTTCTGCTGGAAAGCCCTGTCTCCCACACCTCCCCAAGCACACAGAACTCAGTGGGCGCCCCCTGCCCACTCCCCGACCCGCCTTCCAAGCCCTTCCTGCAGCCTTCCCAGAGGCTCAGACACACTGCTCCATCCATCCCAGCCTCGTCCTGCCAGTCCTGTCCGCCCTCTAGGCGGGAAGCCACTGCTATTTTAAGTCTCCATCACTACTGCCGGGCACACAGGGGCAAAAGAAAAAGGAATGCATGAAATAGGCTTGAAGGCCGGGCGCAGTGGTTCACCTCTATAATCCCAGTACTTTAGGAGACCAAGGAGGGAGGATTACTGGAGCCCAGGAGCTCAAGACCAGCCTGGGGAACAGGGCAAAACCCTGTCTCTAAAAAAAAAAATGGAAAAATCAGCCAGGCGTGGTGGTGCATGCCTATAGTCCCAGCTACCCGGGAGGCTGAGGTGGAAGGATTGCTTGAGCCCGGGAGGTCAAGGCTTCAGTGAACTATGATCTCACCACTGCACTCCAGCCGGCAACAGAGCAAGACCCTGCCTCAAAAAATCAAAAACAAAAAAAAACAAAAAAATTCTGAAGTAGGCTTGAAGCTCAGATGTACAGAGGGAGGAGGAGGGAGCTCCCCCAAATAAGCAAGATTCTGGAGTCATTCTAGCTGGGATGGAAAAGGTTTAGGTGGGGCAGAAAGGACTATCAGGAACTCTGTCTGCTACCCTAAGAAATGTGGTCTCCACTCTGTGCCTAAGTGGGCCACCATGGATGTTTAAGGAGAGGAATGGCATGATGAAATCAATGGTTCGGGAAGATTAATCTGGCAGCTGCATTTATAATGGATTGCGACCTGTTTCGAATGGGCAGTTTTGAAACAAGTAAAAGACGACGCACTCAGCTCGTGTGTTAGAAAGACTTGGCTCTCACACACAATAAGCAGCCCCGAAGACTAACTGCGCGCGCGCGCGCACACACACACACACACACACACACACACACACACACACACACACAGATTTCATTAAGGTATCAGGGCGTTTTAAGATGACAGCATAATTATATACCAACACAGAGCCACGTAAAACAATCACAAACTACTTCTTACTCCCCTGACAATGACATTCAACCATAACTGGCAATATCCTTCCTCTCCCAGTCCCACATCGATGCTGACAAACTGCGGGATGACAAACTGCGGGACCAGGGCTGAGGACCAGGTGGAGGGGAAGAGATGACCAAGCCTTCCCTCTGGGACGGCCAGCTCCGGATGGTAGCTTTACGATTCCGCAGCACAGCTCTCCAAGGGCCCTGGCCACCTTGTGGTCCTCCAGGCTCATCGGTGACTGCAGGCTCCTGGATCCCATGGAGCAGAAACCTGAACTTGTCTCCCACTTGGCTGAGTGACGAGACAGCATGCGTTACTGTGTAAGCAACGAGTTGAGATACGGCTGAAATAAAGCAATTCTGGTAAATGAATGTTTCTATGCTGGTTTAAACACATGCTCCTCTGCTCTCAATTTTCTGTCTCAAACCTGTATGACTTATAACATCTCTACTGTGTGAATAGGAAGGGAAGATGGGATTTGATTAACAGCTCTGGTCGTAATTTTAGCTGTAATCTCTGTATGTTGGGGACTCCAGCCCTTTTTCTTTTGAAAGGTTGGTATTCTCCGGGCGGTTGCTGACTACGCTCTCGGCGAGGACACAGCAGAACTGTATGCAGCAGAAATAATTCACTGGACCCAGGACTGCATGGGTTCAAGTTCTGGGTCAACTACTTGGTGAAAAACAGAAAATAATATGTTTCACCATTATCTGCCACACCTTTCAGAGTGACACAGAAATGGTGACGGGAGCCACAGAATGTTCCCAGTTCCAGAGGGAGAACGAAAGTCTTTTCCAAACCTCATCAAAAACGTTACATGTATACGATTCCCTCCAGCGAGAATTTTATTTTTAATTTTCATTTACATAGTATCTTTCTTCCAAGAATCTCAAAATAATGGAGCTGTAGAAATACTTGTTTAAAAAAAAAAGTTGTCACAACACAGGAAGGGACAGGCTTGGCAGGGCAGGAGAAGGGCGAGAAGTGACAGGCCGTCCTGACAGCAAGGGCTCCAGGTAACACCCGGAGGCTAGGCTGAGGGCGGCTCCAAGCCGGCCCTTCCCTCACTGCAGCCCACGGCTTTACCAATGCTCACAGCTTCAGGCTCTTCAAGACAAAGATTTACCTTTGGTATCATCTGCTACCTTTTATCAAATTATTTTTTATCTAAATAATCATTTCTTCCCTAGAAACAGGAGGGGAAAGTGGTAATAAGCCAGAGAAACTTACAGGCCCAAAACAACAACTCAACAAAGGTGTCTAAAAAGAGTGGAGGCCAGGCACGGCGGCTCACACCTGTAATCCCACCACTTTGGGAGGCCGAAGGGGGTGGATTGCTTGAGGTCAGGAGTTTGAAACCAGCCTGGCCAACATGGTGAAACCCTGTCTCTACTAAAAACACAAAAATTAGCTGGGCGTGGTGGTGCACACCTGTAATCACAGCTACTCGGGGGGGCTGAGGCACGAGAATCACTTGAACCTGGGAGGTGGAGGTTGCGGTGAGCGGAGTTTGTGCCACTGCACTCCAGGCTGGGCGACAGAGTGAGACTCCGTCTCAAAAAATAAAATAAAAAGAGTTGATATTCGTTCTGTCTTAAAGATATTAAACTATGTTAGAGAAAACAAAATCATGGCAATTCATTAGGGAGAAAGCCCCAGTTTAAGAAAAATTGTCTTGCTTTTGGGGGGAAATGGAAAGAAGCTTTTGTGTTGCATTTTGTTTTTCGGTTTGGTTTGGTTTGGTTTTTTCATATGCTGGGTGGACAGGATCTGAATGTCTTACATTTAACAAAAAGCTGTCAACACCCAGATAAATTTTTAATGACGGTACGACAGGCATTCTATTTCTCACTGTTTCGCAATACTCACTTAAGAAAGAGCTAATTTGTCAATTTGTTTTTCCCTTAACCAAACTCGGAACACCTCATAACCCATGGTTTACTTGTTAAAAAAATGTTAACTGCATTTCCTTATTGAATAAACACAGCCCAATAGAAAGGTATCTATAAGAAAACAAGCAGTGTGCCAGCATCCACTCAAAGTAACCCCAAGAAAGAACAAGCCACTTCCCTGGTGTCTCAGAGTAAGCTCTGTTAATTTCCTGCTTTGTTAACTGCATCAATCACACACGGTCAAGACCATCCAGACCATCCAAGATCTCAAGCTTCGGCTGATGGAGTCGGCCAGGGCCCGGTCCACTCTGGGGGGTCGTGTGCTTTATAAAGGTTCGGACCCCTTATTGGGCTCATTTTCACAAAGGTTTTCATGAAAGGAAGCAGAACCAAGTCAGTTTCACTTACTAGGAAACTCCCGGCTGGCTAGTTCTTGAGTTGCTGGCAGTGTTAGTAAATCCCTAGGAGGAACACCACCATCCTTGGCTCCGTTCCAGTCACCTGTGTGATTATGTTTCTCTGTGTAGGAAGACCCCTGAGGGTGGGATCTGTACCAGTCCTGCTTGTGGGGTCAGCCAGGGATTGGGCGACGAACTTTGTGGCCACAGTACCTGCACTTCCCATGGCCCGAGGCTCTAATCAACACAAAATTTCTGCCAACGGTCCTGGGCCTCCTGCAGTTAGGAAATGCCGTTGGATTAAAATAAAGAAATTGACAATCTTTATTTTGTGCACTAACATCATCCTCTCTGAATTTAATTACAACAAAATTAAAATTATTTTTATTAGAGAGGCATTAGCTTTTTAAAGGGAAGGTTCTTGACAGGTTTTACAACAAATTAGATGTCTTTTTTTTTTTTTTTTCTGAGACAGAGTCTCGCTCTGTCACCCAGGCTGCATGCAGAGCAGTCACACGATCTCAGCTCACTGCAACCTCCACCTCCTGGGCTCAAGCAATTCTCATGCCTCAGCCTGCCGAGTATCTGGGATTATGGATATGCGCCACCACGCCAGGCTAATTTTTGTATTTTTAGTAGAGATGAGGTTTTGCCATGTTGGCCAGGCTGGTCTCGAACTTCTGACCTCAAGTGATCTGCCTGCCTTGGCCTCCCAAAGTGCTGGGATTACAGGCATGAGCCACCGTGCCCGGCCTTAGACGTCTTTCGAAAAGAATGGTTCACCCTCACTGTGTAATACCCGAATAGGGCAGCACAAATGCTTTTTAAAAATCTTTTAAGTCACAAGCCAGGTGCTTCAAAGCTGTTTCAGGCGCAGGACAAATGAGGGGAACGGCACAGGTTCCCCTCAGTCCTGGTTCATTTCCTGCAGGGAAACCTCCATCCCCGCCAAAGACCACTCTCCTCCATCAACCTTCTCAGAAGACAGCAGAGAAGCTGGACTGATTACAGCTCAGCAAATCCAAAACTGCTCCATACCAAACCTTAGCTGTCCTCAGCAGGAAAATCCAACACTGACACACCATCGAAACTTGGTTCTGAAACACATCCCAAAACCAGGGTGATCGACAGCTTTTCAAGACCACGCCTTGAAAACTGGAATGGGTCAAATAACACAGTCAATCCAGAGGGCCCTGCCATTAATATTTAAGAAAACATCGGCCGGGCACGGTGGCTCACGCCTGTAATCCCAGCACTTTGGGAGGCCGAGGCGGGCAGATCACGAGGTCAGGAGATCGAGACCATCCTGGCTAACACAGTGAAACCTCGTCTCAACTAAAAATAGAAAAAATTAGCCGGGCGTGGTGGCGGGCGCCTGTAGTCCCAGCTACTCCGGAGGCTGAGGCAGGAGAATGGCGTGAACCCGGGAGGCTCAGCTTGCAGTGAGCCGAGATCGCGCCACTGCACTCCAGCCTGGGCCACAGAACCAGACTACATCTCAAAAAAAAAAAAAAACAAAAAAACAAAAAAACTAGCCAGGCATGGTGGCGGGCGCCTATCGTCCCAGCTACTCGGGAGACTAAGGAAGGAGAATGGCCTGAACCCTGGAGGCGGAGCTTGCAGTGAGCCGAGATCGCACCACTGCACTCCAGCCTGGGCGACAGAACCACGTCTCAAAAAAAAAAAAAAAAAAAAAAAAAAGAAAAAAGAAAAAAAGAAAAGAAAAGAAAATAGGGGCCGGGCACGGTGGCTCACGCCTGTAATCCCAGCACTTCGGGAGGCCAAGGCGGGCGGATCACTAAGTGAGGAGATCGAGACCATCCGGGCTAACACGGTGAAACCCCGTCTCTACTAAAAATACAAAAAATTAGCCAGGCCTGGTGGCCAGCGCCTGTAGTCCCAGCTACTCGGGAGGCTGAGGCAGGAGAATGGTGTGAACCCGGGAGGCGGAGTTTGCAGTGAGCTGAGATAGTGCCTCTGCACTCCGGCCTGGGCGAAAGAGCGAGACTCTGTCTCAAAAAAAAAAAAAAAGAAAGAAAATATCCCCCTCACCAAGTTAATACTTTTATGGTTGCTGGTGGAGCTTATATTCTCTAAATGTAGAATTTTTTTGGGGGCGGGGGGGAGTATCTTCTCTCTGAATTCTATATCATTATTGGGGTATAATAAAATGTACCTACATGCTCTGGTCAGTCAAGGTTCATCAAGTCAGAAATCACAAATGAATTCACAAATTCTTTGCTCTAAAGTCATATAACAATGCAGATATTAAATTGCTTGTCTAACTATACCATTAGATTCCTTTTTCACTCCATTATCGGCACACACACACACTTCTCTCGGCATCCAGGCATTCACAGGTATCCAGTTCCTAAAGCGCCCAGCACGACTGCTTTGTCCAGGTAAGCAACAGTGGGACATAAGGAGAGGCTGTGGGGCCCCTCTTCAAATAGCTTCGACAAAACGAATGGCTATAAGTGAAAAGTGTCCCTGGGCTTTGCTATAAAAAGACTCAAACATGGGATTCCAAGAATTCCACCTGTTTCCAATTAGATACCAGAATTGCTTGAGTGTTTAAGCTACACTCGCTTGCTACTTACACAAAACAATTCTTCCGGGTTTTGTGAACATTTTAAATATGTTAAAATAAGATTAAGGGTCTGGTTTAAACAATCGGAGGCAGGGAAATTTCGGTGGAAACCAAAACTCTCTCTCTGCAGCGATAACGCGGGGCTTCAGACAAAACAAAAGGACAAGACAGACAAATTTCTGTCTTTGACAATTATAATAAAAGTCACTTTTCATAGAGCAATTACATTTTTTAAAGTTATGTATTCAATAATTTTAAATAGGTCTTAAGTAATTTCTACAATAACTCACGATCCTGGATCCTGTATATTTGAATAATGGTTAGAGTTGCCTTTTACATACCATTTGTGTTACAATTCGTCAGATATACCTGTCTGTGAAATTTACATGTGACAAATGTGTAAACTATTTGAAATGGAAGCACGGGTAGGAATTTAACCTACCTCTGTAGGATTCTTCATATGATGAATTTCTCTGCTTACGAAATGTATGAGTTTTCCCCTAACAAACGTGTCCTTCCTTCATTTCACTAAAAACAGACGTTCCTGGGGCATTACAGAGGAGCTGAAACAAATGTGGATTTTCTACTTCTAGTCTTGTGTTCTCTCCTAAGACACAGAAAGTGAGTACAGCCTCAGGAGTGGTTTTGATTGTTTACTGCTACAGGTAGACCCAGAAGGGAATCAGAGAGCACAAACTACTGTTCCTTCACAGCTCCCATATAAACCCTGATGGGTTTGTCTTAATTGTACAAAAACAGGAGACTTTTTAAATAGCCATTAAAGGTTTCAGGCTCAGCACAGTTCACCAGACTGCATTTTTAAGGTTAGCTCAGTGGATTTAGGAGAGAATCATTCCTGAAGGTATTGGACTATTTGGCCCTTTCAGCTTTCTTAGGTTGGCTAACTACCGACAGAAGATACACGAAGCCGAGGATGTAGTCAAAGGGCTCTCTGTGGACTCAACTGTACCAGGAGTTGTTGCATTAACTCACCACTTGCACCTTTAAGGAAAAAAAGAGTTTCACATAGGAAAAAACTTAAATCAACTGCCAATGACCCCTTCCCACATCCAACCTCAAAGACACCCATATTAAAAGAACCAAGAAAACAAAAGCAGGAGCAGCAGTGGTGTAATTTCTTGAACTGCTCTTTTATAAAGGGTACTAGATGGGACATTTTAATTAAAATAATATACTTATTATGGCAAACAGTACTGGACAGCCAGTAACATACACACTTCCACAACAGGGGGAAAAAAAGCCATCAGAAAATGGACTTTCAGCAAAACTGAAATTGTTTTTTGATTCTGAAAAAGAAGGCAACTTTTCAAGTTTACTTTTGCAGAAGCTGCTTAAAGGGGAAGGCTGGTCACCATGTGGGAATAATGTCCCAAAGGGAAGGCAGTCATTGGCGGGCCCCGTCCCAAAGAGTTCAAAGCTCCACTAACATACAGAGTGCCATGAGCTTTGTCTTAGAAAGTGTCCTCCTTTCAAATATGTATTTAAAAGACAAATTTATACAACAGTGCTTTTCTTATTTAAAAAGAAAAGAAAACCTGGTTTTTACAAGTCTGAGATAGGATAAAAAACTTGTCCAACTAGTCTTAGCAATACCAAAGCACTGAAACTTCCATACCACAAGCCTTTGGGACTAAAAAGGAAACGGAATAAAACACAATCTTCAGAAATTCTCTTCCTGAGCACACACTCCTGTGCCAAGGCAGCAGCTTCAAGACCCAGGAAGCCGAGGGACAAGAACCCAGTGAGCCAGGGTTGCAGAACTGCGGAACGGCCCAACCTCACCTGGACCCGCTGACGTCTCCAACCTGGATTTCTCTCTGCAAAGACCGATCAGCCTCTTTACCCCCAGGTGGCAACCCAATCTCAGTATAAAGAGGTCTGGAAAAATGAGAAAAATCTGGAACTAATGAATTCTCTCCCAAACTCGTTCTATTGACTCACTGACTATCGGTGGGAATTAACCAGACACCAACTCCAAAGGCCTCCTCACCGCCCAGAGAAAGAACCAGATTGGCCTGAGACTTGAACTTTGACATTCCGTATTCGACTAAAGTTTGCAAACCCATAGGAAATCATCTAAGGCCAAATCGTTAGCAACCACCAAAAGCAAAGGAGTAAAGAGGAATGAAGTTCAAATAAGGGACTTTGTTTTGGGGTTTGGTTTTGATTTCTTCTTAATATCCACATAAAGTGCAAGTAAACTGACATGGAAACTTTCGATGGAACCCTGGAGCCCTGATCCCCTGAAGAAGTAGCTAATATGGGGGACAGGAAGGTTTAGAGTTCTTAAAATCTAGTAACTCTAGAAACCAAATCCATTTTCCAGGCAATTTTGCCAGGATGCTTTAAAAAAGACACTTCATTGATATTAAGCTAGGATGTCACATTTAGGAAGACAAGAGAGAAAAATAATAATAATGTTTGTCCTTAAAACTCCACAACGGGTTTTACAGTAAGCACAGGAATTAAATTATGGTAAAAGGGAGCTATTTTTACTAAAACAGGGTAGACCAATTTATCAAAAATGCCATTCGGCTGTGTTCATTACATCCAGGAATCTAATTTACACAATAGACACTTTGGAGTAATCTATTTTAGTCAATAAATACTTAAACTCCTTTAAGTTTTAATCTTATCGGAAATACATATTTCGCATAGTCTTCTTCCTAGTTAAGCGAGAAATTTCAGGAAATTTCATAACGACTATGACTCGGCTTTATCGTTCTTAGTAGGCAAGAGCAGAAAACAAGCATATACAATTAAAGTTGTCAGATTCCATTTAAATATGTTTTAATCCAACCCGCTTCGTTTGATACAAGCCTGCATCTCGAGCTTTGCTCCCAAAGGTATTGCGGTAGGTCACTGTCACCAGTCCTCCAGGTTAGGAAAGTTCAGCCAAGTTTATCTTCACGCACACCTTAGCAGTTGGGAGTAGCTGCAGTTCCCCAGGGGCCCTGAGGAACCCTCCTATCCCCTCCCAGAGCACCAGGCCGCCCTAGAGCATTCTAAGCCGCGGGACCCGGGCACCCCCCGACATCCCCGGTTCCCTCCGCGCCTGCAACCTCGGGACTTCTGGCCCACACGCCGCTCACCTTCAACCTGGCTCCGGCTACGCACAACATCCACCTGGCAGAGTCCCGGGGCTGTCCCGGCGCCGCGGGCGCCGAGCTGGCACGTGCGGGGCGGACCCTAAGGGTGCGCCGCTCCTCCGGGCGGGGGGTGGCAGGCAGGCACTCGCCCCTTGGGCACGGCGGCGACTCGGGCGCGGGCCGGGGAGCCCCGGCACGGTCCCCCCGCGGCGCCGGGGACTCCGCGCGCGGACCACCGCCCGGCATGCCACGGTCCCAACGGGCCCCCGGGGCTCTGCTTTCGAGAACCCGGCCCGAGAAGGCATCTCCGAGCGCACCCGCCGCGCGCTCCATGGCGGGCCCTGCAGAGAGGGCAGAAGCCCCGAGGGGACGCAAGGAAGGGACCCGGCGCCGCAGGTCACCGGGGGCCGCCGGAGCCCCCAGGCGCGCGGCGATCGCGGCTCGGACCGGCGGCGGGGAGGCAGCGTACACTGCCCGGGCACCCGGGGGAACAGCTTGGGGCCTGCCTAGGGGAAAGTTGCAGCCTCCTCCTCCCGCGCCCGCACCCGGCGGTCCGGGACACCGGGACCCAGCGACACTGCGCGCGGGGCACCCCCGCCGCCCCTCGCCAAGTTTCCCCAAAGAGCCCCCGCGGGGGTCCGCCACGGAGGAACAGGTCCGCGTCACCGACACAGGCACACAAAAGAGCGCGGCGGCCGCGAGGTGCGCGGGTGGCCCCGGGGCGCTCCCCGGGACGTAAACAAACCCGGGGGTCCGCGCCGGGAGCCACACGCGGGGTGCCGGAGCGGCGGCGCGGCCCGGGCCGGTGACAGCCGGGGGCGGCGGCCGGGGCCGGCCGGGGGTAGCGAGCGCGGGCGCCTGCCCGGCCACCCGCCCGCCTGGCCGGAGCCGGGCCGCGCCGCCGCCGCCGCCGCCGGTGGCCGCTCTGACCCTCCCCCGAGCCGGCGGCACCACAGCGCCACCAGCCCCAGCTCCGCCGCGCCGGCGGCAGTGGCGGCGGCTCCTCCTGGAGAGGCAGGCGCTTCACCCCCCGCAGCAACTCCCCACAAACTTTCCCCGGGAATACGGCGGGCCGGGGGCGCGGGGCGAGCGGGCGGGCGGGCGCCACCGCCGGGCCGCGGCCCCCTCCCGGCGCCCGCCGCCGCCCGCCCCCCGCCGCCCGCTCCCCGCTCCCCGCTCGCGCGCGCACCCCGCGGGCCGCCGGGGCCGCCCCCTCCCCGGTCCCGCGGCGGCAACGGCGGCGGCGGCGCTGGCGGCGGCGGCGGCGCGGGGCCCGGGGGGGCGCCCGGGGTGGGGGCAGACACCGGGGGCAGTGGTGGCGGCGGCGGCTCCCGGCGCCATCTTGGGCTGATCGATGAATTGAACAAAGAGGATCAATTTCCGATCAAGCGAGTGATCAATGGGGGCCGGGGAGCGGGAGGGACTCGGCCCCGACTCGGCCCCGCGGTGCCCGGCACCCCCCTCCTCCCCGCCGCCGCGGGCCCCCCGGCGGCTGGGCCAGCCCGGGGCCCCCGGCGGAGGCCGCGACCGCCCGCAGCCCCCACCCCCGGGCGCGAGGCCGAGCGCGGAGGAGCCTGACCTGCAGCTGCTGTAAATCAAAGCGCTTCCAATATTGAAACATCGATCCCACATTGGCCGCCATCTTGAGACATATTGAGACGGAGTGAGCGGCTGATAGAGAGGGGGCTGGAGTTCAGGAGCCGCCAGGAGGCAGCAGGCGGGCGGCGCCAAAACCCGGCCTGGAGCCGGCCGCCGCCGCCGCCACCGAGGACGCGGACTCCTCCTCACGGCACCGCCGCAGCCATGGCGAGCCCGAGCCGGAGCCGGAGTCGCAGCCCCAGGGCGCGGCGGCCGCGGCCCGGCCTCGCGCGCGCGGCCCCGGCCCCTGCTCCCCCAACCCCCCCACCGCCGCCCTCCCCCTCCCCTCCGCGGGCCGACCGGCGACCCCCGCCCCTCGGGACAACCCCCCCCAAAGTCCGCGGTCGCGCCGGCCACAGACCCGGCCCCGAGGGGGCGCTGGAGGGCAGCGCCCGGGGTCCCCCGGCACCGCGCACCTGGGGAGGGCTGCGGGGGTGGGGGGGGTCTCCCGCTGGGATCGCGATCGCCCGCGGTGGCCGAGCGCAGCGCCTTCAAGACTCCGGTTGGGGGGAACGTCGGAGCGCCCCTGTAGTGGTTAGTGTACAGAGCGCGGAGACGCCGCTACCACCTGCCCGGGACCCCCCACACCCGACCCCTGCGTGGCCCAGGCCCCCCGCAGCAGCGTGCGTGGGAGGCGCCCCGACGGTGGACGGCAACACTCTGATCCCTCTGCGCCCAGCGAGGACCGGGACACCGACACGACCAGGAACAGCGTGGCATGTTTGGAGGAGTGGAGTTGAGGGGGAAACAGCCCTGACCCTCTCAGGGGGCCGCGCGCGTGGATGCCCCACACCCGGACAGCGGCGGTGCCAGCGTCGCACCCGAACGCACCCCAACGGCGGTAGCGCTGGGGGTCCCGGCAGCCCCCATTCGCCCAAGCCGTTCCAGTTTAGGCCACGACAGGAAAAGTCTGGGAGCCCAGTTCTGTGTCCCCCCGCGCCGCTTCAGCGGAACAGCCCAAGAAACTTCCTGTGGTTCAGACACCTTGGTTTGTTGCAACTTTGGGCGCAGAAAGTTGGAAAGTGTGGGTGCACTCACTGAAAACGGAAAGCGTGGTCCCAAGTTTACAGAAATGCTAAAATGCAAACCAAAAAATAAATTCTCTTTTGATTTCTCTCCTCGCGGAAAGCTGGCGAAAGCACACGTTTTATGATCGTCATCTTTCATTGATTATACACACGTGTGACTTGGAGTTTCCAGTAGGAATACTGTTCTTTGACTCTCCCGTACTTCACTGAACGAGTAATTAGTTAAAACAAGTCCCCAAATTCCTTAATCTCAAAATGCATATGTAAATAGAATCTGCATAGGATACAAAATAAAACGCGCAAGTGGAAAACAATTGCTTTTCAAGTGAGTTCGAGGGTTGGCGCAGTGAATTCGGCATTTTTGGAGGAAGAGGCTGGAAATGAAAGTCCCAAGATTTAGAGAACACGCGTGTCCCCAGGTCTTGCGCAGCTGGCCAGGGGCCTCAGTTTCCCCAAGGGGAGGCCCCTGATGTCGGGAACGGGGTTCACTGTCTCCCCAACGCAACCTTGACTCGCCGGTGGGTGGGAGCGCGCTGGCGTCGGGGGGCACGTTGCGAGCCTCCACCCTAGATGCGGTGACGCCGCGCACAGCAGGGCACTGTGGATCTCGGGTGGCCAAGGGCTGCCTCCGTGTGGGGCGCCCCGGCCCGCGCGCTCAGTCGGCCGGCCGCCGCGCTGTAGCTCCGACCGCGCCGCCCGGTAGAGGGCAGCGGCGCCCCGACACTCGGGTCCTCGGGTCCTCGGGTCCCCGCGCACGTGCCCACCGGCGCGCCCAGGCCCCCGCGCCTGCCACGCCCTGTCCCGGAGTCAGGCTTCTGGCGGGAAGCGGCATTGCCACCGAGGGACATTCCTGTCCCGGGGAAATGCGACTTCTAAGGATGCCTGCACACTCGGGGAGGCGGCGGGGGTGGGGGGGGGGGTGCTTCCGCCTTCCCCTGGCATGTCTATTTCTGCGGTGGCAGGCAGGCGAGACCTAGGAATTGCGCTAAAGGTGGCTAGACAAAATGTGCAGGGGCTTAAAAAAAAAAAGAAATCCCTCCCATGGGGAAGGCTCAAGGAAGGATCAGGGAAATGGTTTGGATTTGATGCAGATGTTCTCAATCTAATTATCGTGTAGATCCCCTGGGTTTGAACCAAAAAAGTGAAATATATATGACCTGTGTAATACTCCCGAAATACATCTGGTTGGAATTCAGTATTCTGAATCCATGGCAATATTTTAGAAATAAATCTGATGACTATTAAATACCGTTGTTACATTTCTGGTTATATTTATATTATTTACATGCTAACCTGACTTAGTACAGACACACTATATTGGATGGCCCAGAGGTTAACCTCTATTTAAATACAGTTGAGTTCTCCCACCAAAGTTTTGGGTTACATAAACCTTGTTGCTCTCTGCAGGGGGTGGTGGGAAGGGAGGAGTTTAGAATAACTTTCACCAGCACCATAAAACGTTACTTTGTAAAAAGAAATTCATTCAAAATAAACCACTGATCAAAAGTTATCTGCGTTGAGTGAAACAGCAGAGACCTAAAAAAAACTTTTTAAAGTGCACTTTATTTTTCTTGAGCAAGTATAGACACAGAATAAAAGCAAATTGTATTTATTTCCAAAGACTATTTTGTTTCTTTTGTATTGTTTCAGATTGATTTTTAGCCCCACCATTGTAAAAACCCAGGAGTACCCACTGGCAGAGTGGATCTACAAAGATGTGCGCTGCATAAAATATTTACAAAATATTTTATAGGTTTTAGGACCTAGATTTCCACTGGCACCTACAAAGATAATACAGTAATGGCTATGACCTCCCAGAGCACGGTGTGAGAGGCAGGTAAGTTCTCAAGATAAATGGCCCAGTACCAAGAAATACCTAGGGCACCTGGACACATAATTAATATTACTTAGAATGAAAAACAAGGAAAAAAAAAAAAAAAACAATCCACAGGCATTTGGTCACTTTTCGACACTCAGGCTCTCCCTTTAGGGGATGAAATCTCACAGTTTCCAAGTATATGACCAATTTGCCACCCAAGCTTTCAAAATCAAGCCCCCAGTCATCAGATGGAGGAACTGACCAAGATGATGTTTGTTCCTGACGCCTTTAAATGAAATACAGCTTAGCCCCAAATAAGGTAACTAAATAATTAATATTTGAGCCCAGAATTCCTAAATTTCTTTTCTGGCCCATTTTATTTTGCCTAAAAAGCAGTAAGTAGCCACATGAGGGATGTGATAATACTAACTAATTTAACTTGCAGAAAATTGTAAAGTGCTTTTGGGAGTTCATTCTTTCCTATCTTCCTAACACTAGTGGATTCTCCTTTCCCTGACATCCACATATAGTTTATTAAATCCACTAAAGTAAAAAAAAAATTGTCCAATTCTCCAAAATATGGGTAATTACTACTAAATTGGCCCTCTTTTGGCAGCTCCAAGAAGTGAAAATGTGTCGCGTTGTTTTCTAAAGATTCAAATTTAAAAGTTGTTCTGTTATACTTCACCTAATTCCTTGAAGGAATTAACTATCAAGAATTTCTTCCAAATTGAAAAATGTCTTACACTGTAAGGCATTATTTTAAAAATCCATTTTCTTTATCCCACACAAGATCTTTTATTATGGACTCATACAATTAAATTTCACCTAAAGTTAAGAAACTTTATCCCCAAGAAAAGTTGGGGAATAATCTATAATTTTTACCAAGCTAGAAGGAAAATGAAAAAAACTCAGAAATCAGATATACTTCAAAGGAAAAATCAAGAGGTTCGTTCTAAAACCTTAATGCATTTTCTGAATTTTTTTTTTTTTTGCATCCAAACTAGAATGAGTTTCAAATAGTTTTCAACAAGAAATATTTTGGATAATCAGAAACAATTCATAATGCTAAATGCTTCTATCGTAATTTATTCATAAATAAACATAAAGATATGACTATTTTGATGCATGGTATAAAGGAATCATACTCTTAATAAAAAGTTATGTGGAGAATCTCAATTTTACAAACATAGAAGTTCAAAATTATATCGAGGTAGTAATTCAAGCTGCCTGAATTTGTAAATGTTTTAAATTTAGGACTAAGACCAGACAGAAGTTTTGAGACACTTTACATTTGAAAATCCCTTTTCCTTAAATCAAAAGATTATGAATAACAGAGGAGAATGACTCTTTCTTTTGTCTTTGGCGACTGCCTTTTAGAATGATTTGGCATAGACTACTTGAATAAATGAAAGGAAGATTCCAGATTCTTTTATTTTTTGAGCTCAAGAAAACCAAACAACTTTTAATTGCTCTGTTTTTAAAAGAATATTTTATGTTAATTATTTTTAAGTACACTATTCAGTGTACTATATGTAAATACCCACCAAATAAAAGTATACATTTTGCTACATGTAATTACATGTATAGTAGTACATCATTCATTTCAATACCCTGAATGTATGTGCAGTTATATAATTGTACCAAAAACCTGCCCAACTTGTAAGAACAAACTGTAATGATTTCTAAACAGTAGACTCCTGTTGACCACCCTCCCACCCTGACTCTGGTGACAGCATTTCTCGGTCTCCTTTTGGAAATCTTCAAAGACTTCATGTCTGGCCCACCATTTCCCCCTTCTTTCCACTTCTGGACAGCATATGTTAATGACATTCACTCTAGGTATCTTTCGACACCTCTAATGATTATGTTCTGTTCTCTCCGATTTGTCTTAAACAAAAAAAGTGTACAGCTTGGCCTCTCAGATGGTGGTGGCTTACACTTTGAAAATACATCTATGGCGGAAAGGTGGCTCACGTAATCCCGGCATTTTGGGAGGCCCAGGCAGGCGGATCACTTGAGATCCAGAGTTCAAGGCCAGCCTGGCCAACATAGTAAAACACCGTCTCTATAAAAATACAAAAACTAGCTGGGTGTGGTGGCGTGTGCCTGTAATCCCAGCTACTCAGGAGGCTGAAGCAGAAGAATTGCTTGAACCCGGGAGGCGGAGGTTGTGGCGAGCCGAGATCACACCACTGCACTCTGCCTAGGTGACAGAGTGAGACTCCATCTCAGAAAAAAAAAAAAAAGAAAGAAAAGAAAAAAGAAAAAGAAAAAAAAAGAAGAAAATACATCAAGCTTAATGGACTTGACTCCTCCTTGCTTTGGGACATTCAAGTTTCTGACAAGAGACCTGGAGCTTTTGTTATCACACAAGCTTCCAAAGCCCATCTCACCAGCCACTGACCCCTGGCTGCAATCTCTTTCTTACCAAATTTATATTCTAATATAAATTTGGTTTTCTTTTCTCTTATTTTAATTTATTTTATTTTATTTTTTATTTACTTTTTGAGACAGAGTCTCGCTCTGTTGCCCAAGCTGGAGTGCAGTGGCGCGATCTCGGCTCACTGCAACCTCCACCTCCCGGGATCAAGCGATTCTTCCACCTCAGCCTCTGGAGTAGGTGGGACTAGAGGCATGCACCACCAGGCCCGGCTAATTTTTATATTTTTAGTAGAGATGGGGTTTCACCATGTTGGCCAGGCAGGTCTCGAACTCCTGACCTCAAGTGATCCACCCGCCTCGGCCTCCCAAAGTGCTGGGATTACAGGTGTGAGCCACCGCGCCTGACCTCTTTTCTTTATTTTTTGAGACAGAGTTGCACTCTGTACTCCAGGCCGGAGTGCAGTGACACCATCATGTCTCACTGCAGCCTCAGTCTGCTAAGCTGAGACCACAGGCATGTGCCACCATGCCTGGCTATTTTTTTTCTTCTTTTTTTGTATGGAGCAGAGTTTCCCAGGCTGGTCTCCAACTCCCAGTCTCCAGGGATCCTCCCACCTCGGCCTCCCAAAGTGCTAGAATTCTCAAGCGTGAGCCACCACACCCGGGCCTACATTTTCTTGATATTTTGAGTTTATTCGAATATCAAATCTCACTTTTCCTTTTTTATCTCCCCCACATCATGAGACTCCCACAGAGAGGTCATATTACCCATTTCCTGTACACAATTAAAATAAATGCCATCTTCTGTGACTCTCACTGATGTCATTACTGAATCACTAGAAATTAATAGGGTAACAGTAGCTTGAAAGGGCTTGAGATATGTAAAACACTATATAAATATTATTATTAACTTGCTTAATGTAAAGTTCAAGTTCTGTGCTCAGACTTATACTAATTTCTTTGCTTTCCTCCTGGGAGATATGAACCATGGGCGTTTTATTTATATTGAGTTTCATTATTAATATTGCTCTTATAACAGAAGTTTGCCATCCAATATTTTAAACGACAACTATGTCCCTGGTGCTAGGCCATGTAGGGTATAGACATGGGTTGGGTTTTTTTTTTCCAGTTGTATTCATCATACAAAGCAAAATATTTTTCTACACCCTCTTTTGTGACACGTCTCCACAGTTATACAGTTGGTGTTGAATGAAGATTTGTTTTCATGAAATATAATTAGATTTTCTTTTGTCACAAGCACTGTCAGATTGTATATTGTTTTTTTTCCTGAGTAAGTGTGGTTTGCAAGATTTTGAAAGCTTGTTCCGGCCAGGCGCGGTGGCTCATGCCTGTAATCCCAGCACTTTGGGAGGCCGAGGCGGGTGGATCACCTGAGGTCAGGAGTTCCAGACCAGCCTGGGCAACATGGTGAAACCCCGTCTCTATTAAAAATACAAAAATTAGCTGGGCATGGTGGTGGGCGCCTGCCTGTAGTCCCAGCTACTCGGGAGGCTGAGACAGGAGAGTCGCTTGAACCCAGGAAGTGAAGGTTGCAGTGAACTGAGATCACACCACAGCACTTCAGTGACAAGAGCAAAACTCTGACTTAAAAAAAAAAAAAAGAGAGAAGAGAAAGGTTGTTCCAGTGGAAAATAGGAAATAGAAAAGCTCGTATTTCTAGCAGGAGTAGAAAACTTTTTCACTCCCTCAAGCTCCATGCACGTGAAATATTTGATGTAGTGTCAGTTTTTGAGAGTCTGTATTATAATATCTTTAGAGGTTTAAGAAGCTAGCTTTAACTAGGGTAGAATCTAAGGGGATGTCAACATTTTATTTTTGTGAGAGAGAGGTGAATGGCAGAAGGAAGAAGTAAGGAAAGTAGGCATCGACTCTGGCACTTACTTTTCTTATTAAAATATTCACCCACAGACACAGGCACACACACTTGTATAATTTGAAAAGCCTGTGTGGGCCTGGCATGGTGGCTCACGCTTATAATCTCAGCACTTTGGGAGGCCGATGTCGGCAGATCACCTCAGGCCAGGACTTCAAGACCAGCATGGCCAACATGGTGAAACCCCGCCTCTACTAAAAATACAAACATTAGCCCGGTGCAATGGCAGGTGCCTATAATCCCAGCTACTTGGGAGGCTGAGGCAGGAGAATCGCTTGAACCCTGGAGGCGGAGGTTGCAGTGAGCTGAGATCGCGCCACTGCACTCCAGCCTGGGCAACAGTTAAAGACTGTCTCAAAAAAAAAAAAAAAAAGAAAGAAAGAATGCTAGGGAAAAAAAAGGCTAACTCCTAAGAGTGGGTGTCTCTGGATGATGAATTTATAAGTGACTTATTTTCCTTAATATTTTTTCTTTTCTTTCTTTCTTTTTTTTTTTTTTTTTTTTTTGAGACATGGTCTCACTGTTCCCCATCCTGGAGGGCAGTGGTACAATCATAGCTCACTGCAGCCTCGAACTTCTGGGCTCAAGTCATCAGGCATACACCACCAAGCCTTGCTAATTTTTTTTAAACAATTTTTGGTAGAGACAGAGTCTCTCTATATTGCCCAGGCTGATCTTGAACTCCTGGCCTCAAGCCATCCTCCCTCCTCGGCCTCCCAAAGTGCTGGGATTATAGGGATGAGCCACAGCACCCAGCCTTATTTCTATATTTTATGTATTTTCTACATGAGTACATACCACCTGTATAATGCAGGGAAATAGTAAATGTTATTTAAAATAAGGACACATTAGAGCCTATGTCATCTTTTTTTTTTTTTCTTTTTTGAGACGGAGTCTCACTCTGTCGCCCAGGCCGGAGTGCAGTGGTGCGATCTCAGCTAACTGCAACCTCAACCTCCGCCTCCCAGGTTCAAGCAATTCTCTGCCTCAGCCTCTGGCGTAGCTGGAATTACAGGCGCCCGCTACCATGCCCGGCTAATATTTTTGCATTTTTAGTAGAGACAAGGTTTCACTATCTTGGCCAGGCTAGTCTTGAACTCCTGACCTCGTGATCCACCTACCTTGGCCTCCCAAAGTGCTGGGATTACCGGCGTGAGCCACTGCGCCCGGTCTTTTTTTTTTTTTTTTCTTTTTTTCTTTTTTTTGAGACAGAGTTTCACTCTTGTTGCCCAGGCTGGAGTGTGATGGCATGATCTCAGCTCACTGCAACCTCCGCCTCCTGGGTTAAAGTGATTCTCCTGCCTCAGCCTCCTGAGTAGCTGGGATTACAGGTGCCCACCACCACAACCAGCTAATTTTTTATATTTTTAGTAGAGACAGGGTTTCACCATGTTGGCCAGGCTTGTCTTGAACTCCTGACCTCAGGTGATCTACCTGCCTTGGCCTCCCGAAGTGCTGGGATTACAGAGGTGAGCCACCGTGCCAGCCTGTCATCTCTTTAAACAGTAACTTAACTCTAACCTAAAAGGGGTCCTGTGATCTAGTGATTATAGTAGGCAATTGAAAACAGAGAGGGAAAATCACATCCTAATTTTGCCACTGAGTCACTGTTTCACTTTGCCTCAGGTTTCGGGCCTGTAAAATGGGAATAATTAACACTTTCTTGTAAAATGCTTTGGAGCTTTCCAAGGAAAGACCTTATGAAGGTGCGAAGTATTGTTCTATTAGCGCTAATTGAAGTGAACATAAAAACAAAGGCATTTGAGAGAAATTGAAGTCATTACGGTCAAGTTGAGGAAGGCAGCAGACACAATACCAACTGCTGAACTGGATCTTCGAGATCTTTGTCTTCTTTTTTCTTTTAATTGTTTTTACTTTTTTTTTGAGACAATCTCGCTCTGCTGCCCAGGCTGGAGTGCAGTAGTATGATCATAGCTCACTACAGTCTCAACCTCCCAGGCTCAAGTGATCCTCCCATCTCAGCCTCCCAAGTAGCTGGAACCACAGGCATACACCACCATGCTTAATTGTTAAAAGTTGTCTGTGTTTTTTTTGAGATGGAGTCTTGCTCTCTTGCCAGGCTGCAGTGCAGTGGCATGATCTTGGCTCACTGCAACCTCCGCCTCCCAGGTTCAAGCTATTCCCCTGCCTCAGCCTCCCAAGTAGCTGGGACTACCAGCACGCACCACCACGCCCGGCTAATTTTTTGTATTTTAGTAGAGACAGGGTTTCACCATATTGGCCAGGATAGTCTTGATCTCCTGACCTCGTGATCCACCCACCTCGGCCTCCCAAAGTGCTGGGATTACAGGAGTGAGCCACCACGCCCAGCCTAATTGTTAAATTTTTTGTAGAGACAGAGTCTCGTTATCCTGCTCAGGCTGTTCTCAAACTCCTGTGCTCAAGAGATCCTCTCGCCTCAGCCTCCCAAAGTGCTGGGATTACAGGCATGAGCCACTGCTCCTGGCCTGTATTCTTTAAAAAGGTTTTCTGAGGGGCAGATAAGGATGTCACCAATAATGCTGGAAAGCCCATTGTCCAATCACCAAACACTATGTGTTGAGCAAAGTGCTGTGTCAGACACTAAAAAAACCAACCACATGGCAGAGGTGGACTACGTCCCTGCCCTTAGAAGCTTACAATTTAGTTGGGAGTGGGAACAGGGCAGTAACCTGTGAAAACAATAATGGGCTGGGCACATTGGCTCACGCCTGTAAACCCTGCTAAGACTGGTCTAATATTCAGCTTCCAGGCCTGTCTACCTGAGACCTTTTATTTCAGAAACCAGGGCTGAGACCCCCCCAGCTCTATACAGAGAAGTCAAGTTTCCTGTTTTCTCAAATATCATGCAAATAAAGTCAACAACTGTTCCTAAAGCCTGTATCAGTCTGGTGGTATTGGTGGTGGTGGTGGTGGTGGGGTGTGTGTGTGTGTGTGTGTGTGTGTGTGTGTTTGCTGGAGCAGGCAAGAAGGCAAGGTGGCGGAGTGTATATAAAGTCACCCGAAATACAGTAGCTCCTGCCCGGGAGAGAGCTTAAAATTCAACTGGGAAGACCTGGAAAATGTGTAATTGGTTTGATCCTATTAAGCCAATTATTTGATGTACACACGAAAATTCGTATTTGGTACTACTCGGTTTTATTTGTGAGTCAAGATTTACCTAGAAGACAATGTTCTTAAGACTTCAGGGTCCCTCGTTCTGACTCAGCCATACACCTCTCTTAGACTTCTTTCCCTTTGGGGGACTTCTGAGTTCACGCCTCCCCAGAATAAAATGTTTATGAGAACTCTTGGCAAGGGACTGGGAATAGAGCCACGAAGGGACATCGCTGTTATCTACTGTCCTCCTGAGGTTGGAAAGGCCAGATGGGAAGTCACAAGTCTGCAAGAGTCATCTTTGCCTGTAAAACCACCTAATCACAACAGTTATTGCCCACTGAGCTCTGCACAGCTTCCCTCTAACCCCAGTAGCAGCTTTGCAAGGTACAAAGCATTAGCTCCCTTTTACACAGGGGGAAACTGAGGCTCAGAGAGATTAAAAAGAACTGCTCCACAACGACTTACTCTCTGGTAAGCCAAAGTGTGGACTTTCGGTACCACCCCAGACTTACATGCAGCTGTTTTGCCACACCTGGTCCCCGAACTGGTCAGAACCTACCTGAGCTGTCCAAAAGGGAGCCTCGATATCCCCCCTTCAGGAAGTCCTGGGTATTACCTGCCCAGGAAGGATTCTTTCATCTTACCTTGCAGCAACCTGCTTGCCAGCAATCCTTCCCCGTAGAGGCTTTGTCTCCAGACATCTCTCTGCGGCGGTGGAGGCTCCAGACACCCCGGTCCAGGGCATCTATAATCAAGATTGATAACTTGACCTTGGTCTTGAATGAGACATTGATTGCAAATGAGAGACGTCGGGAAGAGTCAAAAGTCCCCCTTAAGTACAGGAAGACGGGTGGTTGGCAGTCTAAGCAGCTAGAAAAGGGTGTGTTTTCCAAGTCATCATTGGGAATCTACTTGCTAATTGCCGTGGGCTCTATCTTCACTTTAGGGGAGTCTGGTTTCATGGACTGTCTGGGGAAGTATCTGATTAACAATCCCATTCTGGCAGCTATGGCTGGGAGGGTGGGGTCATGAATGTGCTATTACACAGTCCAAGGCGAGCAGTTTAGTGAAACAATTGTAAGTAATTCCAAGTCGGTATCTTAGACTCTCTCATTCCTAAATTTAATACTGACTTGTGAGTGGGAGGTGGGATTAGTTTACACAAGCTCCGTTTATCCGCTAGCGTTTTATTACCAACCAAGTCAGACCAGGTGGTGGGGTTTGGTTTTGTTTTCTTTTGAAACTTGTCTGTGTTTTACTGTTCACCTGGTTGCCTCTTACCCCCACCTGTGATTGTGATGTTTTCTTTTAAAACACACACACACAGACACACACACACACAGACACACACACACACACAGACACACACACACACACACACACACACACACACAGGCTCCCTTAGGAAGAAAAAAAAGGAAAGAAAGAAATGACCCTCTGGTTCCCCCTACCCCTTGCTGTCCCCTGTAGCCTGATCTATTTAAGACCCGTTCTCTTCAAACAGATCTTGCCCCAGTTTCTCCTGCGCCGCCTCTTCCCCTCTGCCCCGTGTCTTGCGCATTTGACACCAACTCAAGAATCTTGTAGCCTCTTGCCTTTCCACTCCCGGCAGAGTTTGTTATTCAGCACTTCAAAGCGGGCACTTGTTTGCACCTCTTGTTTCAAACAATAGACCAAATTTCCTGTTACTGAGTCTCTTAAAAACTGCCTCCCTCGCGCTCCCTGGAACAAATTGCAGCGGGCACTCTGCAGATGAAGAAAAAAGCTCAATCCTCACCCTTCTGCATCTCAGAGGAGCCAGCGCCATGGGGCAGAGAGAAGGTCACAGGTGTGGACATCAGACAGACAGACCTGTGTGCAAACCCTAAGCACTGCATGCTGCTTTTTGGCTGGGTGACTTTGGGCTGGTTACTTAACCTCTCTGAGTCACCTTGTCCTCACCTGTAATATCTGAACCTTACCTAACCCATCCCTATGGCTGTGTTCAAAACGAGATCCAATGCTAGAGGTTAAGATAATTATCGAACATACCTTCTTGTATCTTTGTTAGGATTAAATGAGTTAATACACATTAGACCTTGGCACAATCATCCCTCAGTGACGGTTTTAATTTTTCTTCCTCCTTATTCCTCATTCCAGAAGGGATCTTTGGCCCTGCTCTCCTTCAATAACTCTGTTTCATTGCTATTAGAACATTGCATTCACCAGCCCAGATCCATATCCTATAATGGTCTCAGCCCATTAGGAGTGTAGTGTTTGTTCTTACTTTCTTGTTCCTGGAATATCATTTTTTGCTTAACTTCAGGATGATGAAAATACCTGAGGGATGGAGCCATAGCACTGCAGTTTTAGGACAGGGAAAATATTATGTGTGATGTTGTAATGGTAAGCACGTGACATGCATTTTTCACAATCCTCGGAACTGTACAACTAGAAAGGTAAACCCTAATGTAAACTGTGGACTTTAGTTAATAGCGATGTAATAACAATGTGTCAATATGGTTCTGTTTTTTTGTTTGTTTGTTTGTTTTTCAGAAGCAAAATCTCCCTCTGTCGCCCAGGCTGGAGAGCAGTGGCGAAGCCTTGAACTCCTGGGCTCTGGCGATCCTCCTGCCTCAGCCTCCCAAGTAGCTGAGACTAGGGCTGTGTGCCACTACATAGAGCTAGTATTAAAAAAAAAAAATTTTTTTTTTGGCCAGGAGCAGTGGCTCACACCTGTAATCCCTGCATTTTGGGAGGCCAAGGCAGGCAGATCACCTGAGGTCAGGAGTTCGAGACCAGCCTGCGTGGCGAAACCCCATTTCTACTAAAAATACAAAAACTATCTGGGCATGGTGGTGGGTGCCTGTAATCCTAGCTACTCGGGAGGCTGAGGCAGGAGAATCACTTGAACCCAGGAGGCAGAGGTTGTAGTGAGCTGAGATTGCTCCAATGCACTCCAGCCTGGGGAACAGAGTGAGACTCCACCTCAGAAAAAAAAAATTGTAGAAACATGCTGGTCTCAGAGTCCTGGCTCAAGTGATCTTCCTGCCTCGGTCTCCCAAAGCACTGGGATAACAGGTGCGAACCACTGCACTTGGCCAATATGGTTTAATTTTTGTTTGTTTGTTTTCAAATTTTTTGAGACAGGTTCGTTCTCTGTCACCCAGTGAGGTGTGTCATCATACCTCACTACAGCCTCCAACTCCTGGGCTCAAGCGATCCTCCTACCTCAGCCTTCTGAGTAGCTGGAACTACAGGCACACCCCACCACACCCAGCTAATTTTTTCATTTTTTGGCTGGGTGTGGTGGCTCACACCTGTAATCTCAGCACTTTGGGAGGCCAAGGCAGGTGGATCACTTGAGGTCAGGAGTTTGAGACCAGCCTGGTCAGCATGGTGAAACCCCATTTCTACTAAAAATAACAAAAGTTACCCTGGTGTGATGGTGCACACCTGTAACTCCAGCTATTCGTGTGGCTGAGGCATGAGAATTGTTTGAACCTGGGAGGCAGAGGTTGCAGTGAGCTGAGATCACGCCATTGCACTCCAACTTAGGTGACAGAGTGATACCCTGTCTCAAAAAAAAAAAAAGGTATATGTGTGTGTGTGTGTGTGTGTGTGTGTGTGTGTGTGTGTGTGTGTGTAGAGACAGGGGGTCTCCCTATGTTGCCTAGGCTGGTCTTGAACTCCTGACCTCAAGCGATCTTCCTGCCTCAGACCCCTAAAATGCTGGGATTATAGGCATGAGCCACTGTGCCTGGCCGTGGCGTTACCTTTCCCAGGCTGTGGCCTCAACCCCTGAGCCACTGGCCTCATCTTCCTGACTTGCTAGAAATAGTGGTCGGGGGAAATCACCAAATCCTCTAAAGGCTCTGGAGCCCAAACTAAGTGAAGGAAGCAAAGAGTCTTGTTGCACAGAATAAAAACCGCCTTCCTACCCATCTCAGATCCCACTGAGCAACTGAAGTCTTACTCTTTGGTATCCTGAGGCCAAGATTGCAATAACCATTGAGTAAAAAGCAACCACAATAGGCCAGCAGCCACTTCTAAAACATATTTTAAACACAGATGGAAACTTCCCAGCACATCCTGTCTGGTTGTCTAGTCCCCAAACTCTGTGAGATTGAATTTCCGTGGCATGTCACTGATTAATAAAACCATCAATTTAACATCTATTCCCAACGTGTATCATGGGTGAGACAGGCCCTATTGCTGTTATCTGGAATTGAGCTTGTTCATGATTCATTAGCCAGGTGTGGTGGCACATGCCTGTAATCCCAGCTATTTGGGAAGCTGAGGCAGGAGAACTGCTTGAACCCGGGAGGTGGAGGTTGCAGTGAGCTGAGATCGTACTGCTGCACTCCAGCCTGAGCAGCAGAGCGAGACTCTAGGTGAAAAAAGAAAAAAAAAAAATAACAAAAACAGGTTGTTCATAATTCAACAAAAGCCAAATCACAAAGCCACAGAATTCATTGGGAATTATAGTCGGTAATAATTACAAGTTGCTTTAGTGGTGTGATGAGCAGGAAAAGGCAGAAATTGTGAAGTTTCAGAAGAGGCCCAGTTGCTTGTACTGGTTGTATGACTTCCTTATGCCTCACTTTTCCCATCCATAAAATGGGGGCAATAAAACTTGCTTCACGAGCTTGTAAGGAATAATTAAGATAACACATGTCGGCCAGGTGCTGTGGCTCATGCCTGTAATCCCAGCACTTTGGGAGGCCAAGGCGGGTGCATCACTTGAGGTCAGGAGTTCAAGACCAGCCTGGTCAACATGGTGAAACCCCGTCTCTACTAAAAATACAAAAATTAGCCAGGTGTGGTGGCACATGCCTATAGTCCCAGCTACTCTGGAGGTTGAGGCAGGAGAATTGCTTGTACCCGGGAGGCAGAGGTTGCAGTGAGCCAAGATTGTGCCACTGCACTCCAGCCTAGGCGACAGAGTGAG
This sequence comes from Homo sapiens, assembly GCF_000001405.40. Classification (NCBI taxonomy): domain Eukaryota; kingdom Metazoa; phylum Chordata; class Mammalia; order Primates; family Hominidae; genus Homo; species Homo sapiens. Next base: position 101,800,879 of record NC_000007.14, on the reverse strand, counting down.
ACGCTATCTCAAAAAAAAAAAAAATGATAACACATGTCCAGTGTCTGTGGGACACCTAGCATGTATAAAGGCCAGTTTCTATCCCAGCACTTGGGGAGGCCGAGGTAGGGGGATGGCTTGAGGCCAGGAGCTCAAGACCAGCCTGGGCAACATAGCAAGACTACGTCTCTACAAAAGATTCAAAAAGTTAGCTGGGGCACGGTGGCACATGCACTTGTTTTCCCAGCTGCTCAGGAGGCTGAGGCAGGAGAATCACTTCAGCCCAGCAGTTGGCGCCTGCAATGAGCTGAGATCGTACCACTGCACTCCAGCCTGGGTAACAGAGTGAGACTGTCTCAAAAAATTTGTTTTTTTAAAATTGCCTGAGCCTAAGAAGATATAGTAGGTGAAAAATGAACATAAAATGATGCGTGGGTGACATCTTCTCTATTTTGCTCTGTGTTTCCAAGCATCTGATATAAATAATTTACAGTGTTAAAAATGAGTTAACAGGCAGGGTTTTTGATGGACAGAAGAAAATTCATTCTAAAAGAGGGCTAGTCTTCATAATGAGAGGCTGCTGAGTGGAGGAAAATTTCGAATTTAGACAAGCATCTTTTACATAGTTATTAATCCGGTTGGATAGAATTTTTAATAATTAAATGGTATTACTGCAATATAAGTGATATTTTATTAAGCTTAAATGAAATGTGCATTTAGGAACTTCATTTGAAACATTGCCTACTTTGTTATTCTATTTTTCATAATTGCATATGTTTGGAAATTATGTTTTGCCTTCCGCACTGTATTATCTGCCTTAGCCCTTTGCCTTATTTATAGGAATGTTATTTCTTATGTTTTAAGGAAATTGATATGAAAGCTCTAAATGACAAACTCCGAAGCTAGCTTCAAAAGTTTCTGACTAATCGCTAATGAAATATCCATAATAGATGAGGAAGAAAGCATAAATCCCAATGAAACACAGCTTCACTTCGTAAGTGTCTCGTGTTTGTTTGACAGCTTTTGAAATTTTCTTTGTCATTTGGAAAATCAATACAAAATACAGCTAAACACCAGACTTTGCCTCTCAGCCTAAGACAAAATAAAAGATTGAAAGCTTCCATATCACCAGCTGTCAATTTTTGAAGATCATATTGCTTAATGCAATAATTTTTTTCTCTGCCCAAACATTACTCAGCCTCCATGATCTCTTGTTAAGACCCAGATGCACACACATTATGTCTGTGAATTCACAAAGACGCGAGACAGCTGGTGGTTATCGGTTTAGTCGATTAATATAGAGAGAATGGTAATGAATGACTACCGTCTCCACCCCTGCCCACTCTTATTTTGAGAGTAAATTGTGCACCCTGGCTTCCTGAAAGAGCACGGATTAACCAGCGCTCCTAACTGTCCTTTGCTTGTTGTTTGTTTGTGAGGTGTTTGTTTGTTTGTTTGTTTGTTTGGAGACTGGATTTCACTTTGTCTTCCAGGCTGGAGTGCAGTGGAGCAATCATAGCTCATTGCAGCCTCAAACTCCTGGGCTCAAGTGATCCTCCTGCCACAGCCTCCCAAGTAGCTAGGACCACGGAAGTGTGCCACCACACCTGGCTAATTAAAAAAAATTTTTTTTTATAGAGACAGGGTCTCTCTATGTTGCCCAGGCTGGTCTCAAACTCCTGGCCTCAAGCAATCCTCTTGCCTCAGCCTCCTGAGTAGCTGGGACTACAGGTGCATGCCCAGCTATTAAAAAAAAAACAAAAAAAAAAACCTTTTTTTTTTTTTTTGAGACAGAGTCTTGCTCTGTTGTCCAGCCTGGAGTGCAATGGCTCGATCTTGGCTCACTGCAACCTCTGTCTGCCGGGTTCAAGCAATCCTTCTGCCTCAGCCTCCCGAGTAGCTGGGACTACAGGCAAGCACCACCATGCCAATCTAGTTTTTTATATTTTTAGTACAGATGGGGTTTCACCATGCTGGCCAGGCTGGTCTCGAACTCCTGACCTCAAGTGATCTGCCTGCCTCGGCCTCCCAAAGTGCTGGGATTACAGGCGTGAGCCACCGTGGCCAACCAAAAACAATCTTTATAGTGATGGGGTCTTGCTATATTGCCCAAGCTGGCCTCAAACTCCTGGACTCAAGCAATCCTCCCAAAGTGTTGGGATTACAGGCGTAAGCCACCACAGCCAGCCTCCTAGTCCCTTCTTAACTTCTCTTAAATCGTCCCTGTTTGATTCTGTTTCCTGCTAGTCCCCTGACGGATACAGCAGGAATTAAAAAATATATATTTAACTTGTACATAAGTGAATGGAAATGAATAAAGAAAACATGTACACAACTTAGCAAAGTAGGATTCAGTTGGGAGCTGGTTCACTTTTCCCTGTTGTTAGTATGCATAATACCACACTTTTCTTTCTTTCTTTTTTTTTTTTTTTTTTGAGACAGCGTCTCGCTTCATCGCCCAGGCTGGAGTGCAGTGCAGTGGCGTGATCTCAGCTCACTGCTACCTCCACCTCCCGGGCTCAAGCAATTCTCTTGCCTCAGCCTCCTGAGTAGCTGGACTACAGGTGCGCCACCACGCCTGGCTGATTTTTTGCATTTTAGTTGAGACGTGATTTCATCATGTTGCCCAGGGTGGTCTTGAACTCCTGAGCTCAGGCGATCCACCCCCCTCGGCCTCTCAAAGTGCTAGGATTACAGGCATGAACCACCACACCCAGCCTAGTATGCATAATACCATAATTTTTTTAAAAAATTTTAAGTTCTGGGATACATGTGCAGAAAGTGCAGGTTTGCTATATAGGTATACATGTGCCATGGTGGTTTGCTGCACCTATCGACCTGTCATCTAGGTTTTAAGCCCCGCATGCATTAGACATCTGTCCTAATGTTCTCTCTCTCCTTGCCCCCCCACCCCCCAACAGGCCCCGGTGTGTGATGTTCCCCTCCCTGTGTCCATGTGTTCTCATTGTTCAACTCCCACTTATGAGGGAGAACATGCGGTGTTTGGTTTTCTGTTCCCGTGTTAGTTTGCTGAGAATGACGGCTTCCAGCTTCATCCATGTCCCTGCAAAGGACATTAACTCATTCTTTCTTTCTTTATTTTTTTTTTGAGATGGAGTTTCTCTCTTGTTGCCCAGGCTGGAGTGCAGTGGTGCCATCTCGGCTCACTGCAACCTCTGCCTCCGAGGTTCAAGTGATTCTCCTGCCTCAGCCTCCCAAGTAGCTGGGATTAATTACATGCATGCACCACTATGCCTGGCTAATTTTGTATTTTTAGTGGAGGCGAGGTTTTAGCATGTTGGTCAGGCTGGTGTCAAACTCCTGACCTCAGGTGATCCACCTGCCTCAGCCTCCCAGAGTGCTGGGATTACAGGGGTGAGCCACTGTGCCCGGCCAAACTCATTCTTTTTTATGGCTGCATAGTATTCCATGGTGGCGTAATACCATAATTCTAATGCATCCCTGATTTAGTTCTTTTTCTGCTAACCTCTAAACACAGGGAGGCAGGCACCAAGCCTGTCTTCCTCCTTTCTCATTCTTTTGACTTCAGGGCCAGGCTGTGTCAATAAAGATGTGTAGAATGAATGAAGGCATTCCTGGCTGATTGTATGCAATGACAACATCTCTTGCTGGGTCTGAGGCCGAAGTCCTTTGCTGTTCTGATCTGAGAGCATTTAGCTCTGAGGATCAAGTGAGAAGCCTCAAAGGCCATGTGCTCAAAGCGTAGAACAGTCTGACCCCTGTTTCCTGCAACAGACAGGGGCGAGTTAAAGGTGATACACTCTCTTGCAAACGGCTCACGGGGTGTCCTGGGAACTCTCATGGGGAGACGTGGAGTTTCTGGTGTGGGTGAAGATTGGGAAAGACATTTGCAAAGTGAGGACCAACAGAGGCCGAGGGCTGGAAAGAACAGGCTTTCATCATTGTCAGGGAACTGTGACAGAGAGAAGCAAGCCCAGGAAACGAGTTGGGTAACCTTCAGCTTCTCCATTACTTTTTTTTTTTTTCTTTGAGACAGAGTCTCGCTCTGTCACCCAGGCTGGAGTGCAGTGGCGCGATCTCGGCTCACTGCGAGCTCCACCTCTCGGGTTCACGCCATTCTCCTGCCTCGGCCTCCTGAGCAGCTGGGACTACAAGTGTCTGCCACACACCTGGCTAATTTTTGTGTATTTTTGGTAGAGACGGGGTTTCACCGTGTTAGCCAGGATGGCTTTTTTTTTTTTTTTTTTTTTTGAGATGGAGTCTCGCTCTGTCACCAGGCTGGAGTGCAGTGGCACAATCTCAGCTCACTGCAACCTCCGCCTCCTGGGTTCAAGAGATTCTCCTGCCTCAGCCTCCCAAGTAGCTGGGATTACAGATGCCCGCCACCACGCCCGGCCAATTTTTCTATTTTTAGTAGAGAGGGGTTTCACCATGTTGGCCAGGGTGGTCTCGAACTCCTGATCTCATAATCCGCCTGCCTCGGCCTCCCAATCTGCATTACTTTTATTAATAACACTTAGCCTTGAAGCATGGATCTGGAGACAGGCATGTGAAGGCATCCAGTTTGCAGAAAGAACTTGGTCAAGTTTGACTTCAACAATTTCTCTTGGAGGAAAAAAAAAAAGCAGCAGCTCTGAACTCCAGTGGGATTTCCTGCACCTTAAATCTTGGGCATCGAGATCGCCTGGGTATGGTCATCACTAAAAGGACAATGGTAGGGTATTGGAAGTAAGTAGCATAGGCCAGATGGGGTGACTAATGCCTGTAATCCCAGCACTTTGGGAGGCCAAGGCTGGTGGATCACCTGAGGTCAGGAGTTCAAGAGCAACCTGGGCAACATGATGAAACCCCATCTCTACTAAAAATACAAAAATTAGCTGGGCATGGTGGCGGGCACCCGTAATCCCAGCTACGTAGGAGGTTGAGGTATTGCTTGAACTGGGAGGTAGAGGTTGCAGTGAGCCGAGATCACGCCATTGCACTCCAACCTGGGTGACAAGAGCAAAACTCTGTCTCAAAATAAATAAACATATAAATAATAAAATGTCTGCTATAGTGTTTGGCACAGAATAGATGCTCAAATTTTGGGGAGCTAGGACTTATCATTCTGGTTCCACTTTGGTATCATTAGTCTGCTCATGGTGTGTTTAGGCCACCTCAAGTCCTCTGGCCAGACTCTTAAAGGAGGCCAGCCTCCATGGGCTCACACCTTGGTGAAGGCGGCATCCCCCACCAGGCATAGGTAAGTATGGACTTCTCCTCCAGGCTAGGCTGTGCTGTGCTAGGCCAGGCAACCCTGACATGCGTGGTATTAGGTGGGGCCGGAAAAAAGGGGCTTAAGAAGGTGATGCAGGGCTGGGTGCAATGTAATCCCAGCACTTTGGGAGGCCGAGGCAGAAGGATCACAGGGTCAAGAGATCGAGACCATCCTGGCCAACATGGTGAAACCCCATGTCTACTAAAAATACAAAAATTAGCTGGGTGTGGTGGCATGTGCCTGTAGTCCCAGCTACTCGGGAGGCTGAGGCAGGAGAATTGCTTGAACTTGGGAGGTGGAGGTTGCAGTGAGCTGAGATCACGCCATTGCATTCCAGCCTGGGTGACAGAGTGAGACTCCGTCTCAAAAAAAAACAAAAAATGATGATACAGAAATCAGGTCCGTAAAGCCCAGTTTCTGCCTTGGGCAGCTTCTAGGTCATGGATGGTGGAGAGATGATAGAAGTGGACACCACGTGACTGGACCCTCACTGTGCATCAGAAAGAGGGAAAGATTGGGAACGACAGCCCAGACCCTTCTGCTTTTCTTTTTTTCTTTTTTTAGATGGAGTCTTGCTCTGTCGCCCAGGCTGGAGTGCAGTGGCGCAATCTCGGCTCACTGCAAGCTCCACCTCCCGGGTTCACACCATTCTCCTGCCTCAGTCTCCTGAGTAGCTGGGACTACAGGCACCCGCCACCACGCCCGGCTAATTTTTTGTATTTTTAGTAGAGACGGGGTTTCGCTGTGTTAGCCAGGATGGTCTCAATCTCCTGACCTCATGATCCGCCCACCTCAGCCTCCCAAAGTGCTGGGATTACAGGCGTGAGCCACTGCACCTGGCCTTCTTTTTCTTTTTTAGAGAAAAAGGTCTTGCTTTGTTGCCCAGGCTGGAGTGCAGTGGTGCGACCATAACTCACTGTACCCTCAAACTCCTGGGCTCAAGGGATCCTCCCATCTCAGCCTCCCAAGTAGCTGGGACTACAGGCACATGCCACCACTCCTGGATAAATTTTTTTTTTTTTAATAGAGATGAGGTCTCACTATGTTGCCTGGGCTTGTTTCAAACTCCTGGCCTCAAGTGATCTGCGGCCTCCCAGAGCACTAGGATTATGGGTGTGAGCCACCGCTCCCAACCTGCTTCTGCTTTTCATTTCCCTTCATTCCCTCCCCCTTGGGTTCTATACTCTCAAGTTCACAGGATCTAGGGACCAAGTCACCCAGTGGCCATTCTCCAGGGCCACCTGGGTGAGCCTCCTGAAATGCTTACCTCTGGCATCTCTCCTTTTTTCCCTTTTTTGAAGACAGTCTCCCTCTGTTGCCCAGGCTGGAGTGCAGTGGTGCAATCTCAACTCACTGCAACCTCCGCCTCCCAGGTTCGAGCGATTCTCCGGCCTCAGCCTCCCGAGTAGCTGGGATTACAGGTGTGCACCACCATACCCAGCTAATTTTTGTATTTTTAGTAGAGACAGGGTCTTGCCATGTTGGCCAGGCTGGTCTCAAACTCCTGGCCTCATGTGATCCACCTGACTCAGCCTCCCAGAGTGGTGGGATTATAGGCGTGAGCCACTGTGCCCCGCCTGGCCTCTCTCCGGCAAGTCTTTCACGCTCCTCGCTATTTTCCCTGGAGTTAAGCTCTAAGCCCCTACTTCCAGTCTCAGCCTCTATCCTTCCATCAGTGCTCCAGCCCTCCAGAATCCTCCCTCCTCCCTGCTCCCCAGACACCATGTACACCAATAGGGCCCCACAGTCCTTTAATGGCCAGCGTCCACCATGACTGGTCAGGGCCCCTCCCTTCTGATTGGACAGTTGTTAAAGCGTTTTCTAACATCCACCCGCATCTGAACGTCCCAGGCACCAGAGTCATCACTGATTCCTTTCTTTGCCCGGGGTTTAATCACTCCATGCAAGGGACGGGCATGTCTTCTGTCCCACTTTGTAAGGGTGCCCAACTCTCCAGGCCAAGGCTATCCTTTGGCCCTCAGAGCACGTCACATGGATTTCATCTCAGAATCGGATGTTGCCTGCAGTCTGTTGGTCTCACTGTGTTTCAGTTATTTTCCAATTTCTTCCACTGACCTGAGCTCCACCTCAGGGCGGAGACCTTGTCATATTTCTCTACAGGCCTGGCACATAGTAGGCATCTAATAAATGTCTTTTTGTTTGTTTGTTTTGAGGCGGACTCTCGCTCTTTCGCCCAAGCTGGAGTGCAGTGGCGCGATCTAGGCTCACTACAACCTCCACCTCCCGGGTTCAAGCTATTCTCTTGTGTCAGCCTCCCGAGTAGCTGGGATCACAGGTACGCGCCACCACACCCAGCTAATTTTTTGTAATTTTAGTAGAGACGGGGTTTCGTCAGGTTGGCCAGGCTGGTCTCGAACTCCTGACCTCAGGTGACCCACCCGCCTCAGCCTCCCAAAATGCCGGGATTACAGCTGTGAGCCACCACGCCCCACCACGTGTAATAAATGTCTGATGAGTGCAGGTAGGAAAAAAGGAGCCGGGCTCCTTCCTCAGTGAAGAGTTAAAGGTCAAGGGTCATGAGGTCTAATCTATCCCTCTGTACAGTTTATTTTCAGGGTCTCCTTTTGTATTTAAGAATGGGTGAGCAGCTGTGGACGGTGGCTCACGCCTGTAATCCCAGCACTTTAGGAGGCTGAGGTGGGAGGATTGCTTGAGCCCAGGAGTTTGAGACCAGCCTGAGCAACATAGCAAGACACCGTCTCTACAAAAAATAAAAAAATTAGCCAGGTGTGGTGGTGTGGGCTTGTAGTCCCTGGTACTTGGGAGGCTGAGGTTGCAATCCTTAAGGAGAATCGCTAGAGCCTGGGAGGTCAAGGTTGCAGTCAGCTTAAATCACACCACTGCACTCCAGCCTCAGTGACAGAGCAAGACCCTGTCTCAAAAAAAAAAAAAAGGGAAAAGAAAAAAATAATGGGAAAACCATACCAGCCACCTCCTACCTTGCTGGAAGGTGACCAGCCTGAGGTCTGGTTTTCCACAATTTCCTGAAAACTTCCCAAACATCTGGCGCCAGTGTGAAAAGAGCCGGGTGAGGCCTGGAGCCAGAATTAGGCCATCAGTGTTCCCTGAACCTGATAAAATCCTAACCGTCCCAGAAGCCAAGCTGGACTGGGGCGTGAGATCATCACATGCCTGAGATACTTGAATCAACTTGTTCACAGCTTTCCTGGGTCATGTTTTTCATAATTCATGATTCACAGGAGACTTTTAACAACAAAAACATTCAGATTAAATTTTTATATGAGATGTTTTTCCTTTCTTCTACAAGCATTATCAACCATTTCGATCACAAAAAAAAAAAAACCCTCTGCCCACCTCCATAATTATTTAAGGATTTTTTTTTTAACTTGTTTTTCTACTTAATTTGATTCAAAGATAGGAACTCTGGGTATCGAAAGGTGGCATTAAATTGTGGTTTCTCAGGTGACTCAGACAATTTGATGATCCAATTTGTTTTCCTTTCTTTCTTTTTTTTCCTTTTTTTTTTTGAGTCAGGGTTTCGCTCTGTCGCCCAGGCTGGAGTGCAGTGGTGTGATCACCAGTCACTGCAGCCTGGAACTCCTGGGCTCCAGCGATCCCCCCATCTCAGCCTCCCAAGTAGCTGGGACTACAGGCATTTGCCACCACACTTGGCTAATTTTTAAATTTTTTGTAGAGATAGGATTTCACTATATTGCCCAGGCTGGTCTTGAACTCCTGGGCTCAAGCAATCCTCCCACCTTGGCCTCCCAAAGTACTGGGATTACAGGGGTGAGCTACCATGCCTGGCGCTTTTTTTTTTTATTAAATAGTACATGATGCCCTGTCCCTCAAATGAAAACAAATAGGGCAGATTGCTTGAGCCCAGGAGTTTGAGACCAGCCTGGGTAACATGGCGAAACCCTGTCTCTACAAAAAAATACAAAAATTAGCTGGGCATGGTAGCACGTGCGTGTAATCCCAGCTACTCGGGAGGCTGAAGTGGGAGGATCACTTGAGTGCAGAACATCAAGTTTACAGTGAGCCGTGATCATGCCACTGCACTCCAGCCTGGGTGACAGAACAAGATCCTGTCTCAAAAAAAAAAAAAAAAAGAAAAAGAAAGAAAAAGAAAAGAAAACCACACCAGAAAATCTTTTAGCAATACCCTCAAGTCAGTTTTCTCTTTTTTCTTTTTTTTCTGCTGAAAGAATACTCAAAGAAACAGCCCAGCTCTTTTTATTTCTCATGGATACTTTTCAGGGACCTATGTGTGTAACCATTAAAAGACATATTGGAACCATGCTGAAAATTCCATCTCTTTGAATAAGGACTGACTTCACCCAGTCCCCAAGAAGTAACAAGACGGCTGATTACTGTCATTATTTTTGCCATTTGAAAACTCTCCACAGATGTTTCTTTCTCTACGGTCAGAGAGGCTGCTGCTTCAAGAGTAAGACTTGTGCCATGTTGCCTTCAAACAGGAGAAGGGGAGGGGAAAACGATTTAAAAACAAGAGGGAGCTGGGTGCTGTGGCTCATACCTGTAATCCCAGAGCTTTGGGAGGCCAAGGCAGGAGGACTGCTTGAGACAAGGAGTTCGAGTCCGGCCTGGGCAACATAGTGAGATCCCATCTCTATGACTGATAATTAAAAAAAACAAAACAAAACATGTTTTAATTAAAAAAAGAAAAATCAACAAAGAGTATTTTTATGATGGTCTTTTGGAAACAAGTTTGCTTTCTCTTGTTTTCTCTGTGCTATAAGGCCAAGGGCACAGGTCCCTCCTCCGAGGTGAGGCTCCTCTCTCTGACCAGGTGGGGAGTAGGTCTGGCTGCACAGTGGAGGGTGGAGCATTGCCCGTCATTCCTTCAGGACTGACACCCTCAGTGCCCCGCTGCTGGGAATGCTGGTGGCTAACAGCTTTTAGCTGAGTCCTTTTGCAAATATAGCCTCCCCAAAGACAGCCACCTTGGTCAAGTCCATGGCCCTCCCCGAAGGCAGCCAACATCTATGGCTTCTCAGTGTAGGGGTTATAAAGGCCCAGTCCCCATGCCTCAGGGTGGGACAACCCTGATGGGTGAACGCAGTTCCGGGGACCTCACAGGATTTGCTGTGGCCTTTGTTTGTGACTTTAGAGCAGCTCAGCCCTTCCCTCACTTCCTTAAATGAATTGATCCAGAAGTATTGACCCAGTCCCAAAAAGCTTTCTTCACTGAAAATTCTGTCTCAGAGTCCGCTTCCCGGAGAACTGATTTTTTTTTTTTTTTTTTTTTTTTTTTTGATACAGAGTTTCGCTCCTGTTGCCCAGGCTGGAGTGCAATGGCGCAATCTCACCTCACCTCAACCTCCGCCTCCTGGGTTCAAGCGATTCTCCTGCCTCAGCCTCCCGAGTAGCTGGGATTACAGGCATGCGCCACCATACCCAGCTAATTTTGTATTTTTAGTAGAGATGGGGTTTCTCCATGTTGGTCAGGCTGGTCTCGAACTCCTGACCTCTGGTATCTGCCCACCTCAGCCTCCCAAAGTGCTGGGATTACAGGCGTGAACCACTGCACCCAGGCTTTTTTTTTTTTTTTTTTTTTTTGAGACAAAGTCTTGCTCTGTTGCCCAGGCTGGAGTGCAATGGCGCGATCTCGGCTCATGGCAACCTCTGCCTCCCAGGTTCAAGTGATTCTCCTGCCTCAGCCTCCTGAGTAGTTGGGATTACAGACGCCCACCACGACCAGCTAATTGAGAACTGAGTTTGACCTAATACAAGCAGAGAGGTGGAAGGGGGCCTGATTGGGAAGAGGCTGCTGAGGGCATAGGGGTAGGGTTTGCTGGTCAAAGGTAAAGCTTTAAGCACATGACTGAGGAGTCGTGGGCCAAGAACTACCCTCATTCTTCTTCTCCTTTTCTTTTTTTTTTTTAATTTCTTAAATTTTAATTTTTTTAGAGACAGGGTCTGGTTCTGTTGCCCGGGCTGGAGCACTGTGGTGCGATCATAGCTCACTGCAGCCTCAAATTCCTGAGTTCAAGGGATCCTCCCACCTCAGCCTCCCAAATAGCTGGAGCTACAGGCATGCACCACCACACCTGGCTAATTTTTGTATTTTTAGTAGAGATGGGGATTCACCATGTTGGCCAGGCTGGTCTCAAACTCCTGACCTCAAGCGATCCTCCCGCCTTGGCCTCCCAAAGTGCTGGGATTCCAGGCCTGAGCATCCGCACACGGCCCCCATGCTTCTTCAGTGGGCTTTTTCTGTGGAACCTCCATGATGTGCCTCACCTCTGACCCATTACCAGTGATCTTTATTTTTTTTAATACCTTGTTAATTTGTTGTTGTTGTTATTTATTATAGATTCATGGGGTACATGTGCAAGTTTGTGATCTCAGTATATTGTGTGATGATGGGGTTTGCTCTTCTAATGGACCCATCACTCAAATAGCGAACATAATATCCATGACATAGTTTTTCAGCCCTTGCCCCTTCCCCGCTTTTAGAGACCCCAGTGTCTATTGTTTCCATCTTTTTTTTTTTTTTGAGATGGAGTCTTGTTCTGTTTCCCAGGCTGGAGTACAGTGGTGTGATCTCGGCTCACTGTAACTTCCGTCTCCTGGGTTCAAGCAATCCTCCTCCCTCAGCTTCCCCGGTAGCTATGATTACAGGCATGTGCCACCACGCCTGGCTAATTTTTGTATTTTTAGTAGAGATGGGGTTTCACCATGTTGGCCAGGCTGGTCTCGAGCTCCTGACCTCAAGTAATCCACCCACCTTGGTCTCCCAAAGTGCTGAGATTACAAGTGTGAGCCACGCTGACTGGCCTATTATTTCCATCTTTATATCCATGAGTACCCATTGTTTACCTCCCAGTTATAAGTGAGAACATGTGGTATTTGGTTTTCTGTTTCTGAGTTATTTCACTTGGGATAATGGCCTCCAGCTGCATCCATGTGGCTGCAAAGGACATTATTTCATTCTTTTTTATGGCTGCATAGTATTCCATGGTATATATGGTTCCACATTTTCTTTAGCCAATCCACTGTTGATGGACACTTAGGTCAATGATCTTTATCTTCATAATTTAAGACCCCTCTGAAATCTCACCTCCCCTGGGAAACCCACCCTGTTTACCCCAGTCCACAGGAGTCCTTTCCACCTCTCTTATTGTACTGATCACTTGGTCTTCATGGTACAACATGAGGAGGGGCCTTGTGCTTGGCCCACCTCAAGGCCCCCAGCTCCAGACCTGGTGCCTGGCAAGGGGAGGAAAATCTTTGTGATGTGCTTTGGATTAATCTGATGGTTTGGTGTTGATCAGGGTGGGCAGGAATGGATTGGGCTTGGGGAATGAGGGGGAGCCATAGGCAACATAGGACAGAGATAGGGTCTTAGTCACAAATTCCCTGCCTGCAGGCACAATGACATTCTTGTAATTTGCTTTCTTCTATTCACCTTGACTCTGGAAAAGACCTCTGTCTGAGTTCTTTGAAGCTACAAACCACACCAGCCCCAGCCTCCTCAGTGGAAGCCCTTTGGAGCTGAGCTTTCAATGTGGTCTGACTCCACAATCTCCCAAATGGCCTCAGGGAGGAGGGTCAGGTGCAGTGGGGCTCTCTTTGCTAACCACAAAACAGAAAACCATCCCAGCAGAACTCTCTCTGCTAATCACAAAACAGAAAACCATCCCAGCACTTTGGGAGGCTGAAGCAGGCCATTAAATTGAGCCCAAGGGTTAGAGACCAGCCTGGACAACATGGCAAAACCCCATCTCTACAAAAGTTACAAAAGTTAACCTGGCATGGTGGCTCACGCCTGTAACCCCAGCACTTTGGGAGGCCGAGGTGGGCCAGTCGCTGGAGGCCGAGGCGGGCCAATCGCTTGAGTCCAAGAGTTCGAGATCAGCCTGGGCAACATGGCAAAACCCCATCTCTATGAAAAATACAAAAATTAACTGGGCCTTGTGGCGGGCAGTAGTCCCAGCTCCTTGGGAGGCTGAGGTAGGAGGATTACCTGAGCCCGGGAAGTCAAGGATGCAGTGAGCTGAGATTGCACCACTGCACTCCAGCCTGGAAGACAGTGAGACCTTGTCTCAAACAAAACAAAACAAAACAAAACAAAACAAAACAAAACAAAACACAGAAATCATTTGTCTATGAGGATAAAAGTAGGCGGCATTAAGAACACGCTGTGAATGGAGGTTCTCTAACTCCTGTTGCTACGTTCACTGGTCCAAGCCAACCAGGACCCGCTGTGCCATTAACTCAATGGTCATTTGATCATAGAATCACAGAAGGACAGACGTTGGGGCTGGGGAGATATGAAAGATCAGTGTTCTCAAGGTGGCTCACGCCTGTAATCCCAGCACTTTGGGAGGCTGAGGAGGGTGGATCACCTGAGGTCAGGAATTTGAGACCAGCCTGGCCAACATGGTGAAACCCTGTCTGTAATAAAAGTACAAAAATTAGCTGGGTGTGGTGGTGCACGCCTGTAATCCCACCTACTTGAGAGGCTTAGGCAGGAGAATCACTTGAACCTGGGAGGTGGAGGTTGTAGTGAGCTGAGACTGTGCCATTGCACTCCAGCCTGGGTGACAGAACAAGACTCCATCTCAAATTAAAAAAAAAAAAAAAAGAAAGAAAAGAAAAGGAAAGAAAAAAGAAAGAAAGATCAGCGTCCTAAGTATGGTCTGGGGACCAGTTGCACCTGCATCAGGTTAGAAAAACCTGAGAGCTGGTTAGAAATGCCTCCCATCTTGGACTTGCTGAATTAAAGTCTGCATTTGCACAAGGTCCTCAGGTGATTCCTGCGTGCATCAAAACATGAGAGGTGCTTCTCTGCAGCACCCTAACCAACTGGAAACCAGGACTCTGCCCTCATCCTTCCAGAGCAGCCTGGTCCATCTCTGGAGCATCACCAGAAAACTCCTCCTTTTAAGGGGCTGAACTTGGAATTTTTTTTTTTTTTTTTTGAAACAGAGTCTCGCTCTGTTGCCCAGGCTGGAGTGCAGTGGCGCGGTCTCTGCTCACTGCAACCTCCGCTTCCTGGGTTCAAACGATTCTCCTACTTCAGCCTCCAAGTAGCTGGGATTACAGGTGTATGCCACCAAACCTGGCTAATTTTTGCATTTTTAGTAGAGACGGGGTTTCACCATGTTGCCCAGGCTGGTCTCGAACACCTGGCCTCAAGTGATCCACCCGCCTCGGCCTCCCAAAGTGCTGGGATTTCAGGTGTGAGCCACCGTGCCCAGCCTGAACTTGGAATTTCTACAGCGTCCACTCATAGTTCCTCACTCCACACACTGGATTCCTTCACAATAGGTTCAGTATCTTTCCCAGATGACACCCATCCAAAAAGGGGTGCCCCCTGCCCTTCTGAAATGAACTAGAAAGACTGTTCGCAAAGAGTGCAGTATCTTCCCCAGCAAGTTGGTGCCCATAACTGTCCAGAAGCTGCCTGGAGATCCCAGGAGTCGAGGATATGACAGCTTTAGAATTGCGTATACCCATGGAGACCCATCTAGGTCCTAGGGACTGGAATCCTTTGCTGGTAATTTTGGTCTTGTGCAGGAATTTGGAAGAAAACTCTAAACTTAATTGGCTTTCATAATTATTATGCAAATGTTGTTTTTTTTTCTTCCTTTCTTTTTTTAGAGATAGGGTCTCTGTCATCCAGGCTGGAGTGCAGTGGCACGACTGCAGCTCACTGAAGCCTCAAACTCCTTCCTGGACTCAAACAACCCTCTTGTCTCAGCCTCCCAAGTTGCTGGGACTATAGGTGTGCACCACCATGCCCAGCTAATTAAATGTTTTTCATAGAGACGGGGTCTCACCATGATGTCCAGGCTGATCTCAAACTCCTGGCCTCAAGCCATGCTCCTGTTTGGGCCTCCCACAGTAGGTATGCGCACCCAGCCCACAAATGTTCTGTTTTTATGTGTGTGTGTGTGTGTTTTTCTTTTCTTTTCTGTTTTTTTCCCACATCATTATACCCATTTTACAGATCAATAAAAAGAAACACATAGAGGCTGGGCACAGTGGCTCACAAGGTGGCCCAGCAGTTTGGGAGGCCGAGGTGGGTGGATCACCTGAGGTCAGGTGTTCGAGACCAGCCTTCCCAACATACTGAAACCCCATCTCTACTAAAAATACAAAAATCAGCCAGTCACTGAGATGCACACCTGTAATCCCAGCTACACAGGAGGCTGAGGCAGGACAGTTGCTTGAATCCAGGAGGTGGAGGTTGCAGTGAGCTGAGATTGCACCACTGCACTCCAGACTGGGCGACAGAGCGAGACCCTGTCCAAAAAAAAGAAAGAAGAAAGAAAGGAAGGAAGGAAAGAGAGAGAGAGAGAAAGAAAGAAAGAAAGAGAGAGAGAGAAAGAGAGAGAGAGAGAAAGAAAGAAAGAAAGAAAGAAAGAAAGAAAGAAAGAAAGAAAGAAAGAAAGAAAGAAGGAAAGAAAGAAAAGGAAGGAAGGCATAGAGAAGAGACTGACATCCTACTCAGAGGCGATGGGCCTTGAATTGCAACCCTGAGAGCTTGGCCTCCAAGCCTGTTGCTCTGGCTAAGCAGGGATAGTTCTCGAAGCCGTTTGTCATGAATTAGCCAAGTCTGAATCTGAAACTGAGCAGCTACCCAGAGAGTGCCGTTTAGATAAACTCCAACATGCGCACGAGATGGAAATAGAGACGGCGCAGGAGCATACACCACACTTTGCCCACAAGAGACGCAACACATTTTCATAGTTGAAATTTACATAGTTCTTTATTCATGAAATTATGAACAGCTGCTATTTTGCTGCATTCCCAAGAAGAGTTGAAAAGGCAGCAAAGAAGAGAACAGACACGTTAGGCAAACTCCATCTGCCCTCGTGTCTAACACTTTCTTCCCTGCAGATAGCAGACAATGGGGTTACCAGATGTCATTGCCTGCTGGGGAAGGACCCAGAAATGTGTGTGACCGTGAGCCAGCCAGCGCGGATGACTGTTTTTCTTCCTTTTTTTGTTTTTCTCCTCTCTGCAAATTGTAAATGTACCCACTCTTGTCCACTTCTCAATGGCTGTCCTCAGACAGAGGCTCTTCCTGGCACAGTGCGGATGGTGGTGGATTTTCAGAGGAGCTTCAGAAATGTCACAGCAGTCTAGACCAACGTCCACTCCCCCGGCTTCCTCTTGACTTTTGAAAGGGAATTTATAGTGTGTGAGTTTCCTGCACGCCTGTCGCCACACTTGGGACTTACAGTGACTCTTGGAAGTCGGTAAACAGCTTTGATGATTGAACAGGAGACGGAGACCAGAGACCAGAAGTGACTGTCTGAGGTCACCCAGAGGTGTTCAGGTCCTCCATGTGGCCTTTGCCTTATCATGTTCTGTCCATGGAGTGACTCCCAGCGGGCTAAGTGTTCTAAGTGCTCCAGCCCTCCCAGCTACTCCAAAGCACCCCTTTCCCAACTGAGTACCCCAGGAAGCCCTTCCTGTACCTTGATTCCTGCCGATGGCTTATGCGGCTGTCTTGGCAAACATGCATTGCACACCTGTGTGACTGCTTCTCCTGACATCACTCAAAATTCCCCCTGGAATTCAGGAAGAGTTTTTTTCCTCCATCACAGTGGACATTGAATGCCAGAAACACAGCAAGCCCTGTCCCCTGCCCACCCACATTCGACCTTCCCTTCGTACACAGTCATCTCTGGACCTTCATTCCAACGTCACAGCCTGGCTTCCCAAGGTCACTCAGAACAGAATCTTCTGGAAGGCCATCCAACCCCACACCCACCTGTGATGATTAATACTGAGTGTCAACTTGATTGGGTTGAATGATGCAAAGTATTGATCCTGGGTGTGTCTATGAGGGTGTTGCCAAAGGAGATTAACATTTGAGTCGGTGAACTGGGAAAGGCAGACCCACCCTTAATCTGGGTGGGCACCAGCTAATCAGCTGCTGGCGTGCCCAGGATATAAAGCAGGCAAAGAGAGCTTATGCAGGGAAACTCCTGTTTTTAAAGCCATCAGATCTCTTGAGACTCATTCACTATTACGAGAACAGTGCAGGAAAGACCCACCCCCATCATTCAATCACCTCCCACTGGATTCCTCCCACGACACGAGGGAACTGTGGGAGTTACAATTCAAGATGAGATTTGGGTGGGAACACAGCCAAACCATAGCACATCCTCCCACCCCTTCTCCAGCAGGAGGAAACCGGGACAGATTCAATAAAAAAGGCTCCTAGGGCTGGGCGTTAAGGCTCACACCTGTAATCCCAGTGCTTTGGGAGACCAAGGCAGGAGGATGGCTTGAACCCAGGAGTTGGAGGCTGCAGTAAGCTATGATCGTGCCACTGCACTCCATCCTGGGAGATAGAGGGAGACCCTGTCCCTGATAATAATAAAGAAAGGTTCCTAGACCACCCAAGGACTCTTGGGGGCCCTCTGGGGCTGTAGGTGTGAGAAAGGCCTGAAGCCATTTAGTACCCTGGTTAACGGAAGGATGTGTTTTTCTTGTTTTTCAGAAAGCAGCCTGCTTCTCCACACCTTGAGGCTGAAATTAAAGCAGGGAGGAGCACATTCTGAAAGATGTCGTAAGGTATATCAATTACCCCACTTTCTTTGCCAATGCAAGCACTGAGCCGCCATTCTCTAGATACTGAAATACCAGGATGGTGACAAGAGGGTATCATCTCATCTTCTTGCAACTTGTTTGTGCTCTGGGCCCCACCACATTTTTTTTTCTTTAGGAGAGGAACAGGAAAGATAGAGAGAGCTAGGAAGCCCTGCCTGCCTTTTGCCTGGCCAGGAACCCCATAAAGCTGGGGATAAACCCCAAGTCCAGGATGCTGGCTGGGGGGAATGGTTGGTAATCCTTGACTTTACCTCTTGGGCTTTGCTTTTTATCAAAGCAAGAAAGGAAAGTTAGATATTCTTTTGTCTCAGGGCCAGGTTCTGATATTCTGATGGTTAAAGAGATAGAATGTTAGGCAATTTGGTTGACTAAGAGAGTCTACTATTTTTTTGAGACATCTCACTCTGTGGCCCAGGCTGGAGTGTAGTGGCACCATCATAGCTCATTGCATCCTCAACCTCCTGGGCTCAAGGGATCCTCCCAACTCTGCCTCTTGAGTAGCCGGGACTACAGCTGTGGACCGCCACACCTGACTCATGTTTTTATTTTTATTTGTAGAGATGGGGTCTTGCTAGGCTGCTCAGGCTGGTCTCGAGCTCCTGGACTCAAGTGATCCTCCTGCCACGGCCTCCCGAAGTACTGGGATTACAGGCATCAGCCACTGCATTAGGCTGAAAGTCTACTTTCTGATAAGGAGTTAGCAGCCACCCAGACAGTACCCACTGTGCAAGAAACAGGGCTAGGACCTAGTGTCTGGCTTTTAATATGAGTTAAGATTTCCTGACTGGAGGTGGGGGAGTCTTCTGGAGAGAGAGGGACCCTTGGGCCAGGGCACATTGTTCTGAGTCACGTCTTTGCCACCCACTAGCCATATGGCCCTAGGCTAGTCACTTCAATATTCTGATTCTCAGTTTTCTCCCTTTTATTTATTTTTATTTATTATTATTATTTCTTTTTGAGATGGAGTCTTGCTCTGTTGCCCAGGCTGGAGTGCAGTGTCGTGGTCTCAGCTCACTGCAACCTCTGCCTCCTGGGTTCAAGCGATTCTCCTGCCTCAGTCTCCCTAGTAGCTGGGATTAGAGGCACGTGCCACCATGCCCGGCTAATTTTTGTATTTTTAGTAGAGATTGGGTTTCACCACGTTGGCCAAGCTGATCTTAAACTCTTGAGCTCAGGTGATCTGCCCCCCTCGGCCTCCCAAAGTGCTGGGATTACAGGTGGGAGTCACGGCTCCCGGCCAGTTTCCTCCCATCTAAGAAGGTGAGGGTCAGGATGCCTCCCTCATAGGGTGGCTGCACATCTCAACCGTGTCGATGTGTACGGAAGCACTTTGCAAACTGCGTGTCTGGGTCCAGGGAGGAGCATCCTCATGAGTGGGAGGGCAGTGGATTAATTTCCTCCTAACGTGTAAGGCTGAGACTCAATGTTATTCTTTGATAGGCACTGTGGGCATCTGCCCAGCGGTCCATGTTCTCTCCCATGCCATTGATTAACAGATAGGATAGCACTCCAGCACAAATCAGCACTGTGGACCTGGAAAGCTGCCATCGGGAGAAATCGATGGAGGCTCCCAGTTCCAGACCAGCTTGGCTACCCCTCACTGGTGAGAAACAGACTTGCTCAGCCTTGGATTAAAAAACCCCAAGGACCCATAAGCCCCCACATTGGAAGGCCCCTTCTTTATTTTAATTAATTAATTTTTTTTGTTTGTTTGAGATGGAGTTTCACTCTTGTTGCCCAGGCTGGAGTGCAATGGCACAATCTCTGCTCACTGCAACCTTTGCCTCCTGGGTTCAAGTGATTCTCCTGCCTTAGCCTCCTGAGTAGCTGGGATTACAGGTGCCCACCACCACACCCAGCTAATTTTTGTATTTTTTGTAGAGACAGAGTTTCGCCATGTTGTCCAGGCTGGTCTCCAAATCCTGACCTCTGGTGATCTACCTGCCTCAGCCTCTCAAAGTTCTGGGATTACAGGCATGAGACACCATGCTGACCAATTTATTTATTTTTGAGACAGGGTCTCACTCTGTTGCCCAGGCTGGAGCGCAGTGGCACCATCAAGGGTCACTGCAGCCTCGACTTCCCAGGCTCAGGTGATCCTCCCATTTTAGCCTCCTGAGTAGCTGAGTGGCTGGGACTACAGGTGTGTGCTACTATTCATGACATATATATATATATATATATATATATAGTTTTGTTATTTATGTATTTATTTTTTTGTAGAGATAGCGGTGTCGCTAGCTTGCCCAGGCTGGTCTTAAACTCCTGGGCTCAAACAATCCTCCTGCCCCGGCCTCCCAAAGTGCTGGGATTACAGGCAAGAGCCACCATGCCCGGCCGGAAGCGCCCTTCTTGGCAGCCAGAATGTTTATGCATTGGTGATGCTGTTCCACCTGGCTTTCAGGATTGTGTCTATTCACTCTCACACCTATCCCTCAATTAGCAGAGACCCCAGTCAGATGATAGAGGCCAGCAGATGCCTGAGCCTGCAAGGTGTGAGGTGTGGTGGTTCTGGTGCCTTCATGCTCCACATTCATGTCATGACATGAGTGGATCTGCCGCATGTCCCCATCCCACAGGCTCCACAGCCACGTGGCCACGTTCTTTGCATCATCCTTTTGGATGCTCTGTCACTCAGAGGGAAGCTGAAAGTCCACCTGACCTCTTGTCAAAGACACATGACTTCTTGTCAAAGACATACAGTATCAAAGTAACCCAAAGCACATTTCTTGTTATTTCATTTTATGGAAACTGTAACCCACCCTGGGCCAGTGGCTATTTATGAGTCTGGCTTATTCTTTTTTTTTTTTTTTTTTTTCTGAGACGGAGTCTCACTCTGTCACCCAGGCTGGAGTGCAGTGGCGCGATCTCCGCTCACTGCAAGCTCCGCCTCCCGGGTTCATGCCATTCTCCTGCCTCAACCTCCTGAGTAGCTAGGACTACAGGTGCCCACCACTGTACCTGGCTAATTTTTTGTATTTTCACTAGAGAGGGGTTTCACCGTGTTAGCGAGGATGGTCTCGATCTCCTGACATCGTGATCCGCCCGCCTTGGCCTCCCAAACGCTGGGATTACAGGCGTGAGCCACTGCGCCCGGACTTTTTTTTTTTTTTTTTGAGACAGAGTCTCGCTCTGTCACCCAGGCTGGAGTGCAGTGGCTCAGTCTTGCCTCACTGCAACCTCTGCCTTCTGGGTTCAAGCGATTCTCCTGTCTCAGCCTCCTGAGTAGCTGGGATTATAGGCACATACCACCAGGCCCAGCTACTTTTTGTATTTTTAGTAGAGACGGGGTTTCACCATGTTGGCCAGGCTGGTCGCCAACTTCTGACCTCAGGTGATCCACCCACCTCGGCCTCTCAAAATGCTGGGATTACAGACGTGAGCCACCGCGCCTGGCCCAAGGCTGGCTTATTCTTTCAAAGCAACTCAGAGTGACTAGCACATCCCTAAGCGTGGCTCCATGCCATGTGCTGATGTGAGAACTCAGGGTAGAGCCCCATTTGCAGGCCTGAAGGGGACCTCCACTTGCCGGGTTGAGGCTGCAGCCAGCTAGAATTGAAGATGCTGAAGGACCTGTGACCATCGGAATGCTGGGTTTGGTCAGGGTCTTGGCATTCTTACTTGCAGCTGCCACTCCTAGACAAGAAGCCCAGCATGGGGGGTTGGCTCAGTGAACAGGGACTGTGTGTCCTGGAACCACAAACATTCCTTTAAGGAAGGAGAAGAACATTGCTGACTGCCTCCTGCCTTTTTTTTTTTTTTTTTGAGACAGGGTCTTGCTCTGGCACCCAGGCTGGAGTGCAACGGCATGATGGTAGATCCCTGCAGCATCCAACTCCTGGGCTCAAGTGACTCTCCCACCTTGGCCTCCCAAAGCACTGGGATTACAGGCGTGAGCCACCATGTTTGGCCCTAACTGGCCTTTTAGATGAGATAATGGGGCAGGCTGCAGCCTAGATGAGCCAGAAGGGACACTTGGCTGTTGGTTCCAAGCAGAAGGTAGTGAAGGTCCTACTCTGGGACTCCCATCAAAGCTCGATCATGAGGCTAGGTGCTGTGGCTCAAGCCTGTAACCTCAGCACTTTGAGAGCAAAAGAGGGAGGATTGTTGAGGCCAGGAGTTCGAGCCAGCCTGGGCACCATAGCCAGACCCCCATCTCTACAAAAATAAGTAAGTAAATAAATAAATAAATATTAAAGAAAAGATTCAATCATGGACTGTGGGGCATAGAATGACTCGACTCTCTCCTGCTCGGACCAGAGGTGAGAGAAAAGAAGTGAGCTTGCTTCTCCTGTTTCCAGCGTCTAAGATCCATCTACTGCTTGGAGGTAGAAGGAGAGAAAAATGAGAAAAGAAAGAGGAAGGAAGGTGGTGGCCGGGCGCAGTGGCTCACACCTGTAATCCCAGCACTTTGGGAGGCCAAGGTGGATGGATCACCTGAGGTCAGGAGTTCAAGACCAGCCTGGCCAACATGGTGAAACCACGTCTCTACTAAAAATACAAAAATTAGCTGGGCATGATGGCGGGAGCCTGTATCGCAGCTACTGGGGAGGCTGAAGTGGGAGAATCGTTTGAAGGGCAGGTGGGGGCTGCTTCGGAGGGTCTGCGGTGGATGGCTGCGCTGCCTACGCTCTTGGGCCCTGCTCCTCGGTGGGCCAACCCCTGCCTCTCTGCCAAAGCCACCAGCCTGTGCCAGGGATGGATCCTCGGGCTTCCCTGCCGCCCTGCTGGCCTGCCAGCCTCCGCGACAGCCTTTTTCTCGTTCTGCTCGTTTCTGAAGCTTCCATTCCAACGCTTTTTGCACAGATGCCTCATGCATCAGTCCAATGCTAAAAAGATGCAGTAAGTGAAATTTTTGCCATATGTTAATACACATGTTTCAGTTTCCATAAATGCTCAGTGTGGTTTTTATGGTACGCGGGATGGTGGTGTTTATACTGTTTTGAGGGGCTTTGAATTCAAATGTGCAAATGATTTTTTTACAAGATGTGATTCGAGGGAGAGCCACAGTTGGGGTCGCCTGCCATCCAGATGGAGGAGGCTTTCGGCTGTTTTGAGTCTGCCACTTGTGACTCTGGGTAAAACCCTTCCATCCCCCGGCACCCTCTTCCTCTTCCTGCTCCCATCGCTGTGTGCCCGGTCCCGGGCTGGTTGGAGGAGTTGACCAAGGCAAGGGTATTTGGGGATCAGGGTGTGTATCATACCCTGATGGACAATCATCCAGGCCCTCACATCCCAAGTGTGACCAGATAAGCTGGTGGGACTGGGAGGAGGGGATGTCACAAAGGAAGGAAGAGGAAGGAGGAAAAGTTGCAGAAGACTGAGGGGATCACTGGAGATGCCAAGGTGTCGGGTTGGCTGAGTGTGGGTTTGTATGAGGAAAAGCTGGAGGTAAGATAGGACGGGTGGAGGGGGGAGAGCTGGCCCAATCCAGCCTCCCCTCTCACCTCTGCCCGGCTAGTGCTGTAAGTACTGCAGGCGTGCTCACTGCAGCGTGGACAGACCTCCATGCCTTCATGCGAGACGCTCTCTCTGCAGAACCTCCTTCTCCCATTTTCCAAACCTGCAAAATCCTTCCTGATCTCTCAAGTTCCCACCTCCCTCTGTCCTGCCCCTGGGTTCTGTCCAGGTCCTCTGGTGTCACATTCATTGCAGAATACATGCTCCTCTGGCCAAGGGCCTCTCTCTGTCTCTCTGAGCTCCCTAAGGATGAATGAGGCTTGCTGTTTTCTTGTTTCTTTTCTTCTTTTTTTTGAGACAGAGCCTTGATCTTGGCTCACTGCAACCTCCACATCCCAGATTCAAGTGATTCTCCTGCCTCGGCCTCCGGATGGCTGGGATTACAGACGCATACCACCACACCCAGCTAATTTTTGTATGTTTAGTAGAGATGGGGTTTCATCATGTTGGCCAGGCTGGTCTCCAACTCCTGACCTCAGGTGGTCCATCCGCCTTAGCCTCCCAAAGTGCTGGGATTACAGGCACCCGCCACCATGCCTGGCTGATTTTTGTATTTTTAGTAGAGATAGGGTTTCACCATGTTGGCCAGACTGGTCTCAAACTCCTGACCTCAGGTGACCCACCCACCTTAGCCTCCCAAAATGCTGGGATCGCAGGCATGAGCCACCATGCCCGGCTCCACTTGCCATTTTCATGTTCTGCTCCCCAGAGCTTCCAGGAAGCCCACAGAAGGGAGGAAGAGAGGTGTGGAAGGCTGGCCAGCTCTAGCACCTAGCGGGAGATCTGGAGTGGTCCTGGTCCCCTTCCTATACCAAGCCTACTATCTCCTTCCGGCCCAGGGTTCCCATGAGGAACTGAGCTGAGCTCAGCAGTCACACCCCCTTGCCATCAGCCAAAGGCCCGGGAGCGTCTGCAGCCCATCTCAGCCAGGTCTAGCCCTCCAGATCACTCTTCAGGATGATGCAGGGTGACTGTGTGGCTAGACCACTGCCGGGCACTGGGAAATGTCCTGATGGAGAGAGGGCATCTCTGAGGGCACCAATGCTCTGTCCTGGGAGGTGCAGGTGTCTTTAAGGGTGTCCTTTGAGGACAGAGGGGAGCAATAGCCCTCCCAGCCTTGCCCTACTTTGGTATCCTAGGGCCTCGTCCTGCTCCACACACTCCAGTCCTTCTCCCTGGAGCTCCCGGAGCCAGGGCACTCTGCCCTTGGTCTCCCCCTGAGAATCAGCCCTCACATGTCCACATCTGTTCCTGCCAACATCTCAGGCTTTGTGCGTGCTGGGGGGTGAGCTGATTTGTTCTAAGGGAGCCTGGGGTTGTGTATGCATGAAGGTGGGAGGGGGCGTCTCTGTTGTTTTAACAGAGCGTCTGTGATATTTGGAAATTGGTAACAACCTCCCCTCTTGCAACGGGCTTTTTCCCAAGGGACCGAGGGGCAAGGATACGTAATCTTGGAGCCCCAGTCTCCTTCAGGGGGATTCATATATATGTTGCCTGTAATTATAGGTCGATAATGATATAATTTATAGTATGTATATCATCATTCGTGAGTGACTGGACAAGCTGGCAGGAGAGTAGGGTGCAACCATGTCATAAGCTCGTAAAAAGGTAATTATATTTCTTTCTGATCTAGCTTTCGCCTACCCAGTCAGGTTGGGCTATTGTGAAATGAGGGAAGATGGGTAAACACCAAAATAGTTGGAGGTTCAATAAACGAGGGAGAGTTTACCATTCAAGGCCAAACAGCTGTCTTCTTTGGGTCTGGAAGAAGAGTCTGACTTGGGGCCAGGGAAATGATGGGAAGGGATCCTATAGAGGCCCCAGTTTAACATAAAAAAGGGTCCCCAAGAGGCCAGGTGCAGTGGCTCATGTCATCTGTAATCCCAGCACTTCTGAAGGCCGAGGCAAGAGGATCGCTTGAAGCCGGGAGTTTCAAACCAGCCTGGGCAACAAAGTAAGACCTGTGTCTCTACCAAAAAAAAGTGGGGGGTGCCCCCAAGAAGAGAAAGCCTGACTGCATGATGCTGAATCAGACTGACCTATGAGGAGGTGGCCTCTGGAGGAAGGCAGAGTAGCCCCTGATTCCCTAAGACCCCCAGAACTGTTGCTCCCAGGAGGAAACTGAGAAGGTAGTCTTTTCTCCATGTCTCACTGCCCCTGGGGGATTTTCATGCTGGAGACGCTTGTCATGTCTTCCAAGCCTGATGGAATCTCCCGGAGCTTAGATCTGGATGAAGTTGGGTCGGCGTTTTGCGCGATGGTTGGAGGAGATTGGGTTTTATCTGCACGCCATCGCCCATTCTCAGTAATAAGCAAAGCTGCAGAAAGCCTTTGGCCCGAGATATAATAGTGTAATGTAATTACAGTAATGATACTTTGTAGTTCTCTAGAGGCTTTCATCTGTGGATCTCCAAGTCCTTTATAAACATTAATTAATTCTCATAACTCGGCGATGAGGTAGGGAAGTATCATCATTCCCATTTTACGGATGAGAAAGCCAAGACACAAAGAAGGTAAGTGATTAGCTCATAGTCATCAGGAGAGCCCGCTGGCTCTGCTGCCAGGAGGTGGGGGCCTCTATTCTCCCATGCTGGGCCTCCCACTGTGTGGGGGGCATGCAGATGCCCAGCAAGTTGGGGTGTCCCTGGGAGGCCCCCTTAGGGGAATTCTCGAATTCCTTCTCCTGTTCTCCACTGTGTGTCCACACCCAGACTCTGGATCAGGGCATCTCTCATGCCCTTTGTTTTTGTGTTGTTCTTTTTTTTGTTTTTGACACAGAATTTTGCTTTTCTTGCCCAGGTTGGAGTGCAACGGAACGGCACAATCTCGGCTCACTGCAACCTCCGCCTCCTGGGTTCAAGTGATTCTCCTGCCTCAGTCTCCCAAGTAGCTGGGATTACAGGCACCCACCACCATGCCCAGCTAATTTTTGTATTTTTAGTAGAGATGGGGTTTCACCATGTTGGGCAGGCTGGTCTCGAACTCCTGGCCTCAAGTGATCCACGCCCCCTCTGCCTCCCAAAGTCCTGGAATTACAGGTGTGAGCTGTCGCGCCCGGCCTGTTTTTGTGTTGTTCCTGTTGCTTTTTTTTTTTTTTTTTTTTTTTTTGAGATAGGGTCTCAGCTCTGTCACCCAGGCATGATCACAGTGCAGTGGCTCGATCACAGCTCACTGGAGCCCCGACCTTCCTAGCTCAAGCAATCCTCCCATCTCAGTCTCCCAAGTATCTGGAACCACAGGCAAGTGCCACCACGCCTGGCTAATTTTTAAAATACTTTGTAAAGACAGGGTCTTGCTATGTTTGCCCAGGCTGGTCTGCAACTCCTGGGTTCAAGTGATCCTCCCATCTTGGCCTCCCAAAGTGCTGGGATTGCAGGCGTGAGGCACCGCATCCGGCTCTGATGCACTTTGGGTCTTTCTGCAGCTCCAACCTAGAGGAGACCCTCTTGTGTAGGCATCTCTATAATGAGCTCCTCCTGTGTCAGACAAATGAGACCCTGGCCTGACTTCCTCTGGCTGTCATGGATCTTCGAAGGTGGTCTAAGCCCTGCTGATCACCTCCCCTCCTACCCTGCTCCAAACCACCATCGATCCCTAAGCCCTGTCTTTAACACTTATTATGCCTCCTTACTGCCACCAACCTAAGCTGGGCAGCACATCAAACCATCACACCCGCATTTATCTTTTGAGTATCTACTGGGTTCTATGGTCTGGGTGGCCTCAGGGAGGGCCTCCCGTAACAGAAAGACACTGGGGCTAGAAATTAACAACAACAACATACCAGGCGTGGTGGCTCACTCCTGCAATCCCAGCACTTTGGGAGGCCGAGGCAGGGCGGATTACTTGAGGTCAGGAGTTTGAGACCAGCCTGGCCAACATGGCGAAACCCTGTCTCTACTAAAAATACAAAAATTAGCCGGGCTGGGTGGCACACACCTGTAGTCCCAGCTATTCGGGAGGCTGAGGCAGGAGAATTGCTTGAACCCAGGAGGCAGAGGTTGCAGTGAGCTAAGATCATGCCACTGCACTCCAGCCTGGGCAACAGAGCAAGACTCTGTCTCCAAGGAAAATAAAAACAAAAAATCTCCCAGCCTGGGCAACACAGTGAGACCTCATCTCTATAAAAAAATGAAATTTGTCAGACATGGTGGTGTGCGCCTGTAGTCCCAGCTATCTGGGAGGCTGAGGTGGGAGAATCACTTGAAGCCCAGGAGCTCGAGGCTTCTGTGAGCTATGATAGCACCACTGCACTCCAGCCTGGGTGACAGAGCAAAACCCTATCTCTAAAAATAAAAAAAATTAAAACGCAGAGGTCAGGTTCAGGC
This sequence comes from Homo sapiens, assembly GCF_000001405.40. Taxonomy (NCBI): domain Eukaryota; kingdom Metazoa; phylum Chordata; class Mammalia; order Primates; family Hominidae; genus Homo; species Homo sapiens. The sequence goes on along the minus strand of NC_000007.14, from coordinate 101,773,294 downwards.
TCTGTTCCTTGGTGGCTTTTCGACCTTGGGCATGTCACTGTCACTTTCCCTTCTGGGACCCCAGTTTTCTCACCTGTGGATGATGGGGGTGAGACCTCAGGGTGATGTTCTATCATTCCTCCCCTCCTACGTGGCTGGCAGGGCAGCCTCCTAATGTGGGCTGCCTTCCTGCTCCACCCACTCCCACAGTCCATCCATACATTTTCTCAATCATGAGCCATTATGTCACTTTGCTGACGAACTTTCAGTGATTTCCTGTGGCCTATGAGAAGTCCAAATCCCTGAGCCTGTCATTCAAGGCCGTCCATCATCTGTCTCCACTCCCCTGTTCACTCCAGGGCTCCCATGGGGAATGCTTGGCTCTGCCAGACCTACTTTTCCTGGAAATAGGCCATGATCATTACCAACTTCACAACTTTGGCCATACCTCCCTCCCTCCTTAAATACTCTCCTCTCTGCTTATTTTCCCTTCCTTTTTTCCTTCCTTCCTTCCTCCCTCCCTCCCTTCCTTCTTCCCTTCTCTTCCTTTCCCTTTCCTCCCTTCCTCCCTCTTTCTTTCTTCTCTTTCTCTTTTTTTCTTCTTTTCTTTTCCTTCCTTCCTTTCTTTTTCTTTCTTTCTTTCTCTTTCTTCTCTTTCTCTCTTTTCTTCCTTCCTTCCTTCCTCTCTTTTTCTCTTGCTCTCTCTCTCTCTTTCTTTCGCTCTCTCTCTCTCTTTTCTCTTTCCTTCTTTCTTTCTTATTTTTTTTGGACTGGGTCTCACTCTGTCACCTAGGCTAGAGTACAGTGATGTGATCTCAGTTCACTGTGTCCTCTGCCTCTCGGGTTCAAGCTATTCTTCTGCCTCAGCCTCCTGAGTAACTGGGACTACACGTGCCCACCACCATGCCCCGCTAGTTTTGTATTTTGGTAGAGGTGAGGTGTGGATCTCCAACTCCTTTGGGAGGCCAAGGCAGGAGGATCACTTGAGGCCAGGAGTTTGAGACCAGCCAGACAAACATGGTGAGACCCCCATCTCTACTAAAAATACAAAAATTAGCCAGGCGTGGTAGCCCACACCTGTAATCCCAGATACATGGGAGGCTGAGGCAGGAGAATCTCTTGAACCCAGGAGGCAGAGGTGGTAGGAGATCGCGCCACTGCACTCCAGCCTGGGCGACAGAGTGAGACTCTCTCTCAAAAAAAATAAGTAAATTAAAAAAAAAAAAGTTAGGCTGGGCACAGTGGCTCACGCCTGTAATCCCAGCATTTTGGGAGGCCAAGGCAAGTGGATCACAAGGTCAGGAGATCGAGACCATCCTGGCTAACACGGTGAAAACCTGTTTCTACTAAAAATAAAAAATTAGCTGGGCATGGTGGCGGGCGCCTGTAGTCCCAGCTACTCGGGAGGCTGAGGCAGGAGAATGGCATGAACCCAGGAGGCAGAGGTTGCAGTGAGCCGAGATCGCGCCACTGCACTCCAGACTGGGGAACAGAGCGAGACTCCGTCTCAAAAAAAAAAAAAAAAAAAGGAATGAATTAATTAATTAAAAGACGGGGCCGCAAGGTGCCATGGCTCACACCTGTAATCTCACCACTTTGGGAGGCTGAGTGGGCAGATCATGAGGTCAGGAGTTTGAGACCAGCCTGGCCAATATGGTGAAACCCCGTCTCTACTAAAAAATACAAAAATTAGCCGAAGCCAGGTGTGGTGGCAGGCACCTGTAGTCCCAGTTACTCAGGAGGCTGAGGCAGGAGAATCGCTGGAACTCAGAAGGTGGAGGTTGCAGTGAGCCAAGATTGCACTACTGCACTCCAGCCTGAGTGACAGAGGGAGACTCCGTTTAAAAAAAAAAAAAGGAGGGACCAAAGAAGGAGAATTGCCCAACGTGTTGGACGGCATCCCAAGAGAACAGACTCCACGAACAGAGCCCCCTGGTCTGGGATCATGGGCCCTCATGGAGCACCGGCAACTTAATAGGCACTTCAGTTACTCCCCCAGTGTTGATTTAGTGTTGGCATTTTCCCTCCAAGCTGGACCTCAGAGATGACCTAGAAAAGGCAAGTGGCCGGGCAAGGGGCTCACACCTGTAATCTCAATGTTTTGGGAGGTTGAGGTGAGAGAATTGCTTGAGACCAGACTGGGCAACGTAGCGAGACCCCGTCTCTACAAAAAATTTAAAAATTAGCTAGGCATGGTGATGTGCACCTGCAGTTCCAGCTTCTTGGGAGACTGGGGCAGGAGGATTGCTTGAGCCCAGGAATCTGAGGCTGCCTGGGCAGCATAGTGAGACTGTGTCTCTAAAAAAATACCTTAAAAATAGCCAGGTATGGTGGCACATGTCTGTAGTCCCAATTATTTGGGAGGCTGATGTGGGAGAATCTTTTGAGCCCAGGAGGTTGAGGCTACAGTGAGCTGTGATCATGCCACTGCATTCCAGCCTGGGTGACAAAGTAAGAGCCCATCTAAGAAAAAAAAAAAGGAAGGAAAGAAGGAGAGAAGAAGGAAAGAAGGAGAGAAGAAGGAAGGAAGGAGAGAAAAAGAGAAAGAAAGAAGAAAGAAAGAAAGAAAGAAAAAGGAAGGAAGGAAGAAAGGAAGGAGGGAGGGAGGGAAGGAAAAGAAAAGAAGGAAGAAAGAAAGATGGAAAAAAGAAATGAAGAAAGGAAGAAAAGGAAGAAAAAAGAAAGGAAAGAAAGGAAGTAAGGAAGAAAAAGAAAGAGAAAGGAAGAAAGGAGAGAAGGAAGAAAGGAAGAAAAAGTAAAGAAGGAAGAAAGAAGGAAAAAAGAAATGAAGAAAGGAAGAAAAGAAGGAAGAAAAGGCCGGGCGCGGTGGCTCACGCCTGTAATCCCAGCACTTTGGGAGGCTGAGGCGGGCGGATCACAAGGTCAGGAGATCGAGACCATCCTGGTTAACACAGTGAAACCCCGTCTCTAGTAAAAATACAAAAAATTAGCCGGGCGTGGTGATGGGCGCCTGTAGTCCCAGCTACTCGGGAGGCTGAGGCAGGAGAATGGCGTGAACCCTGGAGGTGGAGCTTGCAGTGAGCCAAGATGGCGCCACAGCATTCCAGCTTGGGCGACAGAGAGAGACTCCGTCTCAAAAAAAAAAAAAAAGAAAAGAAGAAAGAAAAAAGAAAGAAGGAAAGGAAGGAAGAGAAAGAAAGAAAGAGAGAGAAAGAAAGAAAGGAAGGAAAGAAAGAAAAGAAGGAAGGAGGAAAGAAAGAAAGGAAGGAAGGAAGAGAGAGAGAAAGGAAGGAAGGAAAGAAAGAAAGGAAGAAAGGAAGAGAGAAAGGGAGAGAGAAAAGCTGACAACAGAATTCTGAATCAGGGCATCGGGGCTTGAGTCTGTTTTGCTCCTTTCCTAGCTGTGTGGTCTCGGGGAAGTTATTCACTCTTTCTGAGCCTGGGACTCAGGATGCTGAGTGTGACTGCGGTGGCATCTGTGGATGGCCGTGAGGATTAAATAGACAAGGAGGTAGAATTGCAAACTGTCTGCCATTTTACCTGGAAGGTGGGAGAGACCATTCTAAGATGAGCAATTAGAAGGGCCCAGGGGAGGATGGTGGTGGCTGGTGGTTGGGGCTTGTGTATGTGGGGAAGATAAAGACCAGTAATCTAAAGACAAGATGAAGATGAGGCCCGTTTCCCTCATGCAATTCCCTGGAAACAGCGAATTGTGAGAGGCTGAATCTGCAAACCAGAGAGGAAATGAAAGGAAGAAGCTGGGATGTGTTTGTAGCTCTCCGCACACAATGGTGAGGGAATATTTCACCACCCTCAGACCTGGAAAGCATGGGTGAATTCATGCATTCACTCCACAGATATTTAGTGAAAACCTCTGCTATGTCAAGCACTGTTCCGGCCACAGAAGGCACAGCAACAAACAAAACAAAGTCATTGCCACTCTGGCTTTTATTATTATTTTTTAAATATTTATTTATTTTTAACAGAGACAGGGTATCACTCTGTCGCTCAGGCTAGAGTTCAGTGGCGCCATCATAGCTCACTGCAGCCTCCACTTCCCGGGCTCAAGCAATCCTCCCCCCTCAGCCTCCCAATTAGCTTGGACTACAAGGTGCGTACCGCCACACCTGGATAATTTATGTATTTTTGGTAGAGACAGGGTTTCACCATGTTGGCCAGGCTGGTTTCAAACTCCTGATCCCAAGTGATCCACTTACCTCAGCCTCCCAAAGTGCTGGGATTACAGGCATGAGCCATCACACCTGGCCTGGTCTGAAACTTTTGGACTCAAAGGATCCTCCCACCTCAGACTCCCAAGTAGCTGGGACTACAGGTGTGCACCACCACGCCCGACCTAGTTTTAGTTTTTCTAAAGATTGGTTCTTGCTATGTTGCCCAGGCTGGTCTTGAAATCCTGGCTTCAAGTGACCCTCGTCCCTCAGCCTCCCAAAGCACTGGGATTACAGGTGTAAGCTACCACACCAGCCCTTTTGGCTTTTAAATTCAGGCCAGGGAGAGGCAGAAAATGACCGAAATAAAACAATTAGCAGAGAACATAGTATCAGACAATGTCTAGAGCTGTGCAGAGCCACAAAGCAGGAGTGGGGAGGGGTCTGTTTTAGAAAGTAGAGTCAGACAGGGCTTCTCCAATGAGCTGATCTGTGAGCAGAGATCAGAAAATAAGCCATAGGGATGTCGAGAGGATGGGACTCCCAGACAGAGGGAACAGCAGGTACAAGGGCCCTATAGTGGGTGTTTGGGGCAAGGTTCTGGCCATGGCCACGTTGGGGCACATGGTGGGCCTGCAGGCTGAAGCCCTGAAAAGGAAAGCCTTGGGTGCCAGGCTGGCTGTGCCTCTGGCTTGCTGTGTGACCAGGGCAGCTCCGTTACCCTCTCTGGGCTCTGTCTTTCTCTCTGCACAATCAAGAGTTGGCTTGAGTTCCAAGGGTGAGCTCTAACATGTGCGAGCTTGAAATCTGGAGACCTCATGCCTGTAATCCCAGCACTTTGGGAGGCCAAAGCGGGTGAATCGCTTGAGGTCAGGAGTTCGAGACCAGCCTGGCCAACAGGCTACTAAAAATACAAAAATTATCCAGGTGTGGTGGCGGGTGCCTGTAGTCCCAGCTACTTGGGAGGCTGAGGCAAGAGAATCGCCTGAACCTGGGAGGCAGAGTTTGCAGTGAGCCGAGATCGCACCACTGCATTCCAGCCTGGGTGACAGAGTGAGACTCTGTCTCAAAAAAAAAAAAAACAAAAAAAAAAAACAAAGAAATCTGGAGACCAGCAAATGGTCCCATGGTGTAGGGGTTAAGAGTAGAACAGAGGGCAGGAGGCAGCCCTCGCTGAGGCTGGAAATGGACTTTGCAGCTCACAGCAGCAGAGAGAAACCCTACAACCCCTGCAGACTCCGGCCCCGACTCTCCCTGGTTTCAGCTGCTGCAGGGTTAGGCCTGAAAGCAGGGACCAGTAGCTGAGGTTCAAGCTCTCCCTGGGTTTCCCTGCACAGCCAGGGGATGGACACAGCCATCTGTGCAGTTTGCTGGGATCAGGACTGATACCAGGAAGGCTCCTGGGTCTGAGCGGGCGTTGCAGGGAACTGCCCTGATATTCCTGGAAATCAAGCCACCCGGGAGTGAGGCACTTGGACAAGCAGGGTCTTGTTCTGAGGAGGCCTTCGGAGCCCAGGCTGGTCCCTTCTTCCCCAGGCATGCTTTCAGAGGTTAATGAAGACAACCCAGCCCATCGTCTCAGGTCTACTGATAAGGCCTTTTGGAGCAAGGCACCAGACCACCCTTATTGGGCCATTTAGGAAACCTTCAACTCTGAGCTGAAGCTTCCTCATCTGTAAAATGGAAAAAAGGCTCATTGTGATCTTTTTTTGTTGTGTTTTTCTGTCTTTTTTTTTTTTTTTAGGAGGCAGGGTCTCACTGTTGCCCAGGCTGGAGTGCAGTGGTGCGATCACAGCTCACTGAAGCCTTGACCTCCTGGGCTCAAGCGATCCTCACGCCTTAGCCTCCTGAGTAGCTGGGACCACAGGCGTGTGCCACCACGCTTGGCTAAATTTTGAAATCTTTTTAAAATAGAGATGAGGGTCTTGCTGTGTTGCTTAGACTGGTCTAGAATTCCGGGGCTCAAGCCATCCTCCCGCCTAGACCTCCCAAAGCGCTCGGATTACAGGTATGAGCCACCCGGCCTGGGCAGACTCTGTGTTTCTAACAAGTTTCCAGTGTTAAAGAAAAAACTGACACCTTGAATAAAAGCGAGGCCCACTGCGACAGGGTAAATAACCACCACGATGGGATCTTGCAGTACAGAAAGAGATTGGACTTAACTACAAATACCACAGGAAAAAGTGGGAATTCATAGGCTGGGAGCAGGGTGGGTGAGTGGATAGAAAATTACTAGGAGGAGGCTGGGCATGGTGTCTTGTGCCTGTAATCCCAGCACTTTGGGAGGCTGAGGCAGGCAGATCACTTGAGGTTAGGAGTTCGAGACCAGCCTGGCCAACATGGTGAGACCCTGTCTCTACTAAAATTGTAAAAATTAGCTGGCGGTGGGCCGGGCGCGGTGCTCACGCCTGTAATCCCAGCACTTTGGGAGGCCGAGGCGGTCGGATCACGAGGTCAGGAGATCGAGACCACGGTGAAACCCGGTCTCTACTAAAAATACAAAAAATTAGCTGGGCACGGTGGCAGTCGCCTGTAGTCCCAGCTACTCAGGAGGCTGAGGCAGGAGAATGGCGTGAACCCGGGAGGCAGAGCTTGCAGTGAGCCAAGATCGCGCCACTGCACTCCAGCCTGGGCGACAGAGCGAGACTCCGTCTCAAAAAAAAAAAAAAAAAATTAGCTGGGGGTGGTGGCAGGCACCTATAGTCCCAGCTACTCGGGAGGCTGAGGCATGAGAATCCCTTGAACACGGGAGGCGGAGGTTACAGTGAGCCGAGATCGCGCCACTGCACCACAGCCTGGGCAACAGAGCGCTCCAGCCTGGGTGACAGAACAAGACACTATCTCAAAAAAAAAAAGAAAACAAAAGCACTTGTTGAAGAAATGAACGTGGATGTTTCACACCTCCAGCTTTTGTGTTGATTGTTACATTGTTCAATGAGGAGATGATTTACCTATTTCCAGCATGATCACGGACTTGTTTCCATAGATACCTGATCATAATGACTAATTAAACAAAAAAGGTTTTCTATTCCATTACCTCTCTGATATTAAAAAAAAAAAAGTCTAACCTTTTATTCTGTTCAGTTTCTTCTTTTTGGAAATATTCATTGTCTTTTATGACTTTAGGAAACATTGCATAAATAGAAATCAGCATTCTCCTTTATCATGTGGCTTTTAGTGTTTGGTCCTCAAGCTGATACAAGGTAAATGTGTTAGTCCATTGTGCGTTGCTATAAAGGATGCCTGAGCCTGGGAGCGGTGGCTCATGCCTATAATCCCAGCACTTTGGGAGGCCGAGGCAGGTGGATCACCTGAGGTCAGGAGTTCGAGACCAGCCTGGCCAACAAAATGAAACCCCGTCTCTTCCAAAAATTATAAAAATTTACCTGGCATGGTGGCTCGTGTCTGTAATCCCAGCTAGTTGGGAGGCTGAGGCAGTAGAATCACTTGAACCCAGGAGGCAGAGATTGCAGTGAGCCGAGATTGCGCCACTCCACTCCAGCCTGGGTGACAGAGCAAGACTGTCTCAAAAAAAAAAAAAAAAAAGCCTGAGACTGGATAATTTATAAAGAAAAGAGGTTTATTTGGCTTAGGGGTCTTCAGGCTGTCCAAGCATAGTGCCAGCATCTGCTCAGCTTCTGGGTAGGCCTCAGGGAGCCTTTTTTTTTTTTTTCTTTTTTTGAGACAGAGTTTCCCTCTATTGCCCAGGCTGGAGTACAGTGGCATGATCTCTGCTCACTGTAACCTCCGTCTCCCAGACTCAAGCAATTCTCCTGCCTCAGCCTCCCAAGTAGCTGGGATTACAGGCATGTGCCACCATGCCTGGCTGATTTTTGTATTTTTAGTGCAGAGGGGGTTTCGCCGTGTTGGCCAGGCTGGTCTTGAACTCCTGGCCTTAAGTGATCTGCACGCCTCGGCCTCCCAAAATGCTGGGATTACAGGTGTAAGCTGCCGCGCCCGGCCTCTCAGGAAGTTTTTATTCATGGTGGAAGATAAAGGGAGAGTAGGTGTGTCACATGGTAAGAGAGGGAGCAAAAGGGATTCCAGGCTTTTACATTTTTAAAATTATTATTATTATTATTATTATTTGTATTTATTTATTTATTTTTTGAGATGGAGTCTGGCTCTGTCACCCAGGCTGGTGTGCAGTGGCGCAATCTCGGTTCACAGCAACCTCCACCTCCCGGGTTCAAGTGATTCTCCTGTTTCAGCCTCCTGAGTAGCTGAAATTACAGGCGCCTGCCACCATGCCCAGCTATTTTTTTTTTTTTTTTTGTATTTTTAGTAGAGACGGGGTTTCACCATGTTGGCCAGGCTGGTTTCGAACTTGTGACCTCAAGCGAGCCTCCTGCCTCAGCCTCCCAAAGTGCTGGGATTATAGGTGTGAGCCATGGCACCCAGCCAGGCCCAGAAACTTGTCAATGGCATGGCCAGGATCTTAACTCAAGAGGTCTGGCTCCAGAAGCTGAGTCCATAACCACTGTCTACACGGCGCCAGGGGTGCCTGGACGTGCTGGGATGAGGCAGCAGGTAGATGGTGGGTAGGAGCATCAGTGGGGCTATTCAGAGACAAGGAAAGGAAGTCGGATGTCTGAAAGGTCTTAAATGCTGGGCTGATGAATTTGGACATTTCCTCATAGACAATGAGGAGTCATTTAAGGATTTCGATGGGGAGAAATCAGATCAATTTGCATTTATGGATGATTGCCCAGGCAGCAGAATGGCATATGTGTTGGAGGCACAGAGACTAGAGGCAGAGGGACCATGGAGGAAGCTGTAGGAGCTGGGGAGACCTGACCCAAGGCTGTGTCGTAGGGGAGGGGGAAGCGGGTGTGGGCTGTGAGCCAGGAAATGGAAAAGCGGGTAAGGTCCCTGAGTGCCTTGTTGCTGGCAAAATCCAGATGCTATGTTTGATTTCCTTCCTCCCTCTGGATTGGTTTGGGTGGGAGTCAGGCTGGCCTGACGGATGGAGGACGTCCTCCCTGGTGAGGCTGTTGGACAGAGCCCAAATTCACAACCAGGCAGGCTTTTCAATTCCAGGGCCCAGCCTTCCAATGGGCATCAGTGACCCTGGCTGTCCTAGGGGTCTGGCTTCCCAGGGAGCCCCACTCCTCTTTATGAAACAAAAGATAAGAGCAGCAGTTCTCAAACTTCAGTGTGCATAACAGGTGATCGGGCAGGTGTTTAAAAGTGCAGGGCTAGGCACGGTGGCTCATGCCTGTAATCCCAGCACTTTGGGAGACTGAGGTGGGAGAATTGCTTGAAGCTGGGAGTTCAAGACCAGCCTAGGGAACATAGTGAGACCCTGTCTCTTCAATTTTTTTTTTTTTTTGAGACGGAGTTTCACTCTTGTTACCCAGGGTGGACTGCAATGGTGTGATCTCGGCTCACTGAAACCTCTGCCTCCCGGGTTCAAGTGATTCTCCTGCCTCAGCCTCCCGAGTAGCTGTGATTACAGGCATGTGCCACCACGCCCAGCTAATTTTTTATTTTTAGTAGAGATGGGGTTTCTTCAGGCTAGTCTTGAACTCCCGACCTCAGGTGATCTGCCCGCCTCGGCCTCCCAAAGTGCTGGGATTACAGCTGTGAGCCACCACACCCGGCTGACAAAAATTTTAAAACATTAGCCAGGTGTAGTGGTGCGCACCTGTAGTCCCAGCTACTTGGGAGGCTGAAGCAGGAGGATCAGTTGAGCCTGGGAGATCAAGGCTGCAGTGAGCTATAATCTGCACCTCAGCCTGGGCAACAGAGTGAGACTCCGTATCTCTTTAATAAAAAAATTTGGCCGGGCACAGTGGCTCACACCTGTAATCCCAGCACTTTGGGAGGTTGAGGCGGGTGGATCACCTGAGGTCAGGAGTTCAAGACCAGCCTCAACATGGAGAAACCCCGTCTCTACTAAAAATACAAAATTAGCCAGGCTAAGTGTGGTGGTGCATGCCTGTAATCCCAGATAGTCGGGAGGCTGAGGCAGGAGAATTGCTTGAACCTGGGAGGCGGAGGTTGCAGTGAGCCGAGATCGCACCATTGTGCTCTAGCCTGGGCAACAAGAGCAAAACTCCGTCTCAAAAAAAATAAATAAATAAAATAAAATAAAAAATAAAAATTAAAAAACTTGTTTTAAATGCATGCAGACACCTAGGTCCCATGCCCAGAGATTCTGTGGCAATGTGTCTGATCCTGGGACAGGCACCGGTGTTTGTCATATCAGCCCCATCCAAGGTGGAACAAGGTCTGCTTTTGGGGGCCGGGAGCAGGGAGTCCTTTCTGGATGTGAAGGATGGTGCTAGCTAACACCAGCATCCTCTTAGTGCCAGAGGAGGAGGCTGTCTCTCCCCAAAGGTGGGCAAAGGGCCTGAAAAAGCACCCCCTCCCCCCCCAATTTCTATTTGGGAGAGGGTTGAGGGTTGAAATCAGGTTGGGTAGAGAAACTGGGAACTTGTCTTCAAACTGAATTTTCATGGCCTTTCCACTGAGGTTGTATGATTTTGGAGGTGGTGGCTTGGGTGTTGGTTGGGTTTATGGGTGGCCACAAGTCATCCCCTGCTCCTGCCACTGCCAGTCACTTCTTTTTTTCTTTTCTTTTCTTTTTTTGAGCCAGAGTTTCTCTCTGTCATCCAGGCTGGAGTGCAGTGGCGCGATCTCGGCTCACTGCAACCTCCGCCTCCTGGGTTCAAGCAATTCTCCTGCCTCAGCCTCCCGAGTAGCTGGGATTACAGGCGTGCACCACCATGTCTGGTTAATTTTTGGTATTTTTAGTAAAGACGGGGTTTCACCATGTTGGTCAGGCTGGTCTTGAACTCCCGACCTCAGGTGATCCACCCGCCTCAGCCCCCCAGAGTGCTGGGATTACAGGGCATGAGCCACCGTGCCTGGCTTTTTTTTTTTTTTTTTTTTTTTTGAGACAGATTCTCACTCTGCCACCAAGTCTGGAGTGCAGTGATGCAATCAGCTCACTGCAGCCTCAACCTCTGAGGCTCAAGCTATCCTCCCACCTCATCCTCCTGGGTAGCTGGGACTATAGGTGTGCACCACAATGTCTGGCTAATTTTTCAATTTTTTTTTGTGGAGATGGGGGTCTTGCTATACTGCCAAGGCTGGTCTTGAACTCCTGAACTCAAGCAATCCTTCTGCCTCAGCCTCCCAAAGTGCTGGGATTACAGGCCTGAGCCACCCTGCCTGGCTGCCAGTCACTTCTATGAAACCTTTGCTCCTTCCTCCTCACCCCACCAGGAAGAAATGACCTACCAATCTCCTGCAGTTATCCCACTGTAACTGTGATATAGTAAGAAATAGATCTATATTTGGTCTGTCTCTGGTTCTAGGCACAGGCCTCCAAAACCCTTGGAATTTCCTGAGTGCTAGGAGTGTCTTTTATTTTTATTTTTTTATATGTATTTTTTGAGACGGAGTCTTGCTCTGTCACCCAGGCTGGAGTGCAGTGGTGCCATCTTGGCCCACTGCAACCTCTGCCTCCTGGGTTCAAGTGAGTCTCCTGCCTCAGCCTCCCAAGTAGCTGGAATTACAGGTGTGTACCACGACACCCAGCAAATTTTTGTGTTTTTAGTAGAGACTGGGTTTCACCATGTTGGCCAGGCCGGTCTCAAACTCCTGACCTCAGATGATTCGCCCACCTCGGCCTCCCAAAGTGCTGGGATTACAGGTGTGAGCCACCACACCCGGCCCAAGAGTGTCTGTTATTATTCATCACAAACTCCTTTCCACCAAATCTGAGTTTATGCTAATGAGGTGACACTTTCTGGGCCACTAGACAGTTTCAGGATGGGGGTGGATGCCAGAAAAACCAACCACATGATTAGAAGGTGGGAACTTTCAGCCCCAACTTGGACCTGCAAGGAGGGAAGAGAGACTGGAGAGTGAATTAATCACCAATGGCCAATGATTTCCTCAATCATGCCTATGTAATGAAACCTCCATAAAGCCCTTAAATGACTGGGTTGAGGGGGCTTCGAGGCTGGTGAACACATCAAGATGCGGGGAGAGGCTGGGTGCAGTGGCTCAAGCCTGGAATCCCAGCACTTTGGGAGTCCGAGGTGTGTGGATCACCTGAGGTCAGGAGTTCGAGACCAGCCTCAACAGGGAGAAATCCCATCTCTACTAAAAATACAAAATTAGCCGGGCGTGGTGATGCATGCCTGTAATCCCTGTTACTAGGGAGGCTGAGGCAGGAGAATTGCTTGAACCTGGGAGGTAGAGGTTGCAGTGAGCCGAGATCGCGCCATTGCACTCCAGCCTGGGCAACAAGAGCGAAACTCCATCTCAAAAAAAAAAAAAAAAAAAAAGATGCGGGGAGCGTGGCTTGCTGGAGAGGGCACGGAAACTCCACCAGTCCCCCACCCCTCGCCCTGTGTAATCTCTTCTGTGTCTTCATCTGTATCCTTTATAATATCCTTGAAGATGAACCAATAATAGTAAGGAAAGTGTTTCCTTGAGTTCCGTGAGCCATTCTGGCAAATTACTGAATCTGAGGAGGGGATTGTGGGAACCCACAACTTTATAGCCAAGTTGGACAAAAATGCGGATATGGGGCTGGGTGCCGTGGCTCACGCCTGTAATCCCAGCACTTTGGGAGGTCAAGGCAGGAGGATCGCTTAAATCCAGGAGTTTGAGACCTGCCTAGGCAACATAACGAGGCTCTGTCTCTACAAAATAAAAAATAAAAATTAGCCGAGCATGCTGGCACGCACCTATGGTCTCAGCTGCTTGAAAAGCTGAGGTGGGAGGATTGCTTGAGTTCAGGAGATCGAAGCTGCAGTGAGCTATGATCCTGTGTGCCATTGCACTGAAGCCTGGGTGATAGAGCAAGACCCTATCTCAAAAAAAAAGTGGGTCCTCTGTGCACTCAATACATGTGATTGGCATCTGAAGTGGGGAGCAGTCTTGTGGGCCTGAGTCCTTATCCTGTGGGATCTGCCCTAACTCCTGGCAGTTAGTGTCAGAATTGAATTGAATTGCTGTGTGTGGTGGCTCACGCCTGTAATCCCAGTACTTTGGGAGGCCGAGGCGGGTGGATCACTTAAGGTCAGGAGTTCGAGAGCAGCCTGGCCAACATGGTGAAACCCCATTTCTACTAAAAATACAAAAATTAGCCAGGCGTGGTGGCGCACGCCTGTAGTCCCAGATACCCAGGAGGCTGAGGCAGGAGAATCGCTTGAACCCTGGAGGTGGAGGTTGCAGTGAGCTGAGATCATGCCATTGCACTCCAGCTGGGCAACAGAGAGAAACTCTGTCTCAAAAAAAAGAAAAAAAGGAATTGAATTGAATTGGCCGGGTGCTGCAGCTCATGCCTATAATCCCAGCACTTTTAGAGGCTGAGATGGGAGGATCACTTGAGCCCAGGAGTTCAAGACCAGCCTGGGCCACATAAGAAGATTCTGTCTCAGCAAAAAGAATTTTTTAAAAATTAGCCAGGTATGGTGGTGCTGTAGTCCCAGCTACTTGGAAGGCTGAGGCAGGAAGATTGTTTGGGTCTGGGAGGTCAAGGCTGCAGTGAGCTGTGATTGCACCACTGCACTCCAGCCTGGGCCACTGTCTCAAAATAAATAAATAAATAAATAAAATAAAGAAGAATTGATTTGAATTGTGGGACACCCAGTTGGTGTCTGGAAAGTTGGAGAATTGGTTGATGTGGGGAAGAAAACCTCACACGTTTGGGTTTGGTGTTAGAAGTGTTGTAAATAAAAACGGTTTAGAATTGTCAACAGCTGTCTTACCTTTGGAGTTATGAGCTTTCCAGGCCAGGAAATGGATTGTTCATCTGTGTGTCCAGGGTTTAGCTGTGTCCCTGGCATGGAAATGTTCCTCAAAAGTCCAAGGAGTAAGAGGGTGAATGGAACATCCTAGGAGTGACCCCGATTTCCCAAAAAGGCAGAGAAGAAAAACTGCATTAATGTCAAAAACCTGTTAGAGAAGTCAGACAATGTGGAATTAGCTACATATGCGTGAAACACAATTCATCATTCCCTTTTTAAAACAATTTATTTTATTTTATTTTATTTTATTTTGGAGACAGAGTCTTGCTCTGTCCCCCAGGCTGGAGTGCAGTGGTGCGATTTCGGCTCACTACAACCTCTGCCTCCCAGGTTCAAGCAATTCTCCTGCCTCAGCCTCCCAGGTAGCTGGGATTACAGGCGCTCACCACCGTGCCCAGCTAATTTTTGTATTTTTAGTAGAGACAGGGTTTCGCCATGTTGGCCAGGCTGTTCTCGAACTCCTGATCTCAGGTGATCCACCCGCCTCAGCCTCCCAAAGTGCTGGAATTACAGGCGTGAGCCACTGGGCCCAGCTCTTTTTAAAACAATTAAAACTTTTTTTCTTTCTGTAGAGATGGGGTCTTGCTGTGTTGCCCAGGCTGGTCTCAAACTCCTGGCCTCAAGCAATCCTCCCACCTCAGCCCCCTGAGTAGCTGAGACTACAGGCATGCACCACCAGGCCTGGCTAATTTTTAAATTTTTTGTAGCTGGGGTCTTGCTATGTTGGCCAGGCTGGTCTGAAACTCCTGCCCTCAAGCAATCCTCCTGCTTCGGCCTCCCATAGTGCTGGGATTACAGGTGTGAGCCACCACACCTAGCCCATTCTTCTCTTTCTGCTGTAGTAGTATAAAATAATAGTAATAATAAAAAATAGTTATCTCCTTATCAAGATAGAAAATGAAAGCTGGCTGGGCACGGTGACTCATGCCTGTAATCCCAGCACTTTGGGAGGCCACAGTGGGAGGATTGCTTGAGTCCAGGAGTTCGAGACCAACCTGAGCAACATAGTGAGACTCCATCTCCATAAAAGAGAAATTAAAAAGACACTTACAAAAGAAAAATGAAAGCCAACACCACGGGATCCATCAGTTTAGCATCCTCAGTTGACAAATATTGTGCCTGCTGACTGAAGTAAACTTATTCATGTTGATAAGTGCATACCTTTGTATTGCGGGGAAAACAAATGTTTTACTCTCCTTCAATCATTGGATACATTGATCATGGTCAGCTATGGTTTCTCTCTTGGTAAGTGCAATTATTGGAAAAAAGATGTGAAAATCAAATGCTGTGTTTATATTTCTAAGAGTTTGGCTCAGTCAGTCTAAAAAGCCTGTGGATAAGTGGAAACGTGGGAGCGTTTTGAGTCCAGGGCAGTCCGATTCTGAAGGTATTGACCCCATTCTTAGGAATGCCAGCAATGTTTTTTCTGTTTTGTTTTGTTTTTGAGACAGGGTCTCACTCTGTCACCCAGGCTGGAGTGCCATGTCGCTGTCATCGCTCACTGCAGCTTCGACCTCCCAGGTTCAAGCAATCCCTCCAGCTCAGCCTCCCAAGTGGCTGGGGCTACAGGTCTGTGCCACCACACCTACCTAATTTTTTATGTATTTATTTTTCTTGAGATGGAGTTTCACTCTTGTTGTCCAAACTGGAGTACAATGGCGCGATCTCATTTCACTGCAACTTCCACCTCCTGGTTCAAGCGATTCTCCTGCCTCAGCCTCCCAGGTAGCTGGGATTACAGGCGCCCACCGCCAGGCCCAGCTAAATTTTGTATTTTTAGTAGAGACAGGGTTTTGCCATGTTGGCCATGATAGTCTCAAACTCCTGACCTCAGTTGATCTGCCCGCCTCAGCCTCCCAAAGTGCTAGGATTACAGGCGTGAACCACTGTGCCTGGCAATTTTTGAATTTTTTGTGTAGACAAGGGTCTCCAACTATGCTGCCCAGGCTGGTCTCAAATTCCTGGACTTGAACCATCCTACTGCCTTGGCCCCCCAAAATGCTGGGATTACAAGTGTGAGCCACCATACCCGATCTGTTTTTCATTCTTGAGTCATGTTGTCAAATGGTGGGACTCAATGTTTCAAGTATGCCTTTATCACCAATACTTAATCTGTATGTAAATGATGGCAATATAGATATAGAAAATTATAGGGTTTCATGCCAGGATGCCACACATAGTTTGACATTTGTGAGAGATAAGCTAAAATTTATTTCTACTTTATTTTTAATTTTAAGTTTTTTGAGACAGGATCTTGCTCCATTGCCCAGGCTAGAGTGCAGTGGTGTGATCATAGCTCACCGTAGCCTTGAACTCCTGGGCTCAAGCAATCTTCCCACCTCAGTCTCCCGAGTAGGTGGGGCCACAGGCATGCACCACCATGCCTGGCTAATTTTTTTAATTTTTAGTAGAGATGGGGTCTCGCTATGTTACCGAGTCTTAAAATGTATTTTTAATGTGTGAAGAGTTTAAGGCAAATCTGGAAGTGATGAAAACTCTTGGAGTCAGATTTGCAGGGTAGGAAATGGGGTAAAAAAAACACCCTCCCTGGCCAGGCGAGGTGGCTTACACCTGTAATCCCAGCACTTTGGGAGGCCGAGGCAGGTGGATCACTTGAGGCCAGGAGTTCGAGAGTGGCCTGGCCAACATGGCGAAACCTCATCTCTGTTAAAAATACAAAAATTACCCCGGCATGGTGGCATGTGCATGCAGTCCCAACTACTCGGGAGGCTGAGGCATGAGAATTGCTTGAGCCTGGGAGGCAGAGGTTGCAGTGAGCTGAGATCATGCCGCTGTACTCCAGCATGGGCGACAGAGCAAGACCCTGTCTCAAACAAAACAAAACAAAACAAAAAAAACCCCTCCTCATTGTTTCTGTCAATGTTTTGCAGAGCAGACTCATTTGCACAGTACAAGGAGTTTCTGCTTCGAAAAAGAAAATCTCTGTAAAAATTCTGAAAATACAAAAGAAGTAAAATGCACCTGAAATCATTTGCAATTGGGAGAGGATATTGATTTCCTAGTGAAACTGTCACTAACAGATTATTATCTGCTCACTCATAACAGCTTGAGGAAACAAGAACACACCTGAAATTCAAGGTTAAACTATTTTATTTCTTGCAAAACAGTGTTTATCGTTAAGGAGTCATGACAAGAATATTCCTTCTGTGAATAAAGCCAATTTGGAGGGAGTTTTGGGAGGCCATAAAAGAGAGTGATTCTAATGTATGAATCTGTTGATGCCTATAGAAGTCAGCAAATTCAAAATGAAATCACCAGAAAAATAAAAGCCGAAACATTGCAGGGCATGGCAGATGAAATCAATGTTTCCTGATAATATGCAAAGGCCATCTCTGGGATGGGAAAGAACCACTGTAGTTTAGGTAAGAAAAATCTGAATCGCTATCTCAATTTATAGAGACTCTTTGATTTTGCTGGTATTGAAAAGATGACTAAGACTAACTTATATATATGGTCATAAAGACATACATAAGTTGAGGCCAGGGGCAGTAGTTCATGCCTGTAACCCCAGCACTTTGGGAGGCAGAGGTGGGAGGATTGCTTGAGAGCAAGAGTTTAAGACCAGCCTGGGCAACATTGCAAGACCCCATCTATCTCTAAAAAAGGAGACATATGTAGACTGGGTATGGTGGCTCACGCCTATAATTCCAGCACTTTGGGAGGCCAAGGCGGGTGGATCATTTGAAGTCAAGAGTTCGAGACCAGCCCGGCCAACATGGTGAAACCCCATCACTAATAAAAATACAAAAATTAGCTGGGCATGGTGGCAGGTGCCTGTAATCCCAGCTACATGAGAGGTTGAGGCAGGAGAATCGCTTGAACCCAGGAGGCAGAGGTTGCAGTAAGCCGAGATTGAACCATTACACACCAGATTGGGTGACAGAGGGGGACTCCATCTAAAAAAAAAGACATATATAAGTTGCCCATATATTATAAAGTTGTGTGTATATATATATATATAAAGTCGTGTATATATATATATATAAAGTTGTATATATATATATAAAGTTATATATATATATATATATAGACTCATTCACATAGCACAGGAGTTTCTGCTTTGAAAAATAAAATCTCTGTAAAAATTCTGAAAATACAAAAGAAGTAAAGCACATCTGAAATCATTGCAGTTTGGGCGAGACGAAGATATTGACTCCCTAATGAAACTGTCAGTAACAAATTATTATCTGCTAATCAAAGTGGAATTTGTCACATGGGTGGCCGAATTCGCAACAGAAGGGTGGACACATCTGTGGGGAACCCTGGCTGCACCGCAGTATTGTACAAGGTGGAATAACGGGGTCTGTGCAGGCACATCGGGGACCATTGTCCTTTGCAATTTGTGATGCTGACACTTTTGTAGAAAAATAAAAAAACCGCGACGTGCTTTCGTTGCATTCAAGCCTTTGTTCCATGTTCTGGCATTCATCTGTGAAAAGACTGGCGATTACCCAAAAACACATGTAACGGGAGTGGCGGAGAGACCCGCAGGACGCTGGGTAACTGCTGAAAACATATCGGGTCTCACATCGCGAGGCTGGATGTGATTGAGTGGCTTCCAGCGATTGCTGAAACTTGGGAAGCAGTATTAAACGATCATCAGACACACAGGTGGCCCATGAATGGAGAATTCCTTTACACGTGCTAAATGTGATAGGAGTGTTTTTCCTGATGTGTTTCAAAGTGAAACCATAGACGTGTTTTCATTGCCTTCAAAAGTAAAAGCAATCTCTCACTGTTTATCATCTCAGGGAAATGATGACTGTTTCAAAACCGTTTGGTAGAGAGAGAGGAAAGGAACCTTGCCAGAAACGAATCTCAGGAGTTCAAAGTGAAAACAAAACAAAAAAAAGAACCTTCCTTTTGGGAAAGAAAAAGTCTGTTGTGGCGCAGGATGTGTATGTGTGTAGGAGGAGGGAACATGGAAATTCAGACAGGGAGTTTTCCCCTCCTTTGTCAGAACAGCATGCAACGATATTCAACCTAGAAAGATTTGGTTACTGCATTACTAAATTTAAATGCATATTTTTCAGTGAATAATGATAGCAAAAGAAAGTACGTTTTAAAATCACTGCTTAAATGCATTGAACTGGCTGGGTGCAGGGACTCACACCTATAATCCCAGCACTTTGAGAGGTTGAGGCAGGAGGATCACTTGAGGCCAGAAGTTTGACACCAGCCTAGGCAAAATAGCAAAACCACTCTACAAAAATAAAAACTAAACATTAGCTGGACATGGTGATGCACACCTGTAGTCCTAGCTACTTGGGAGGCTGAGGTGGGAGGATCATTGAGCCCAGGAGTGAGAGGCTGCAGTGAGTTATGATTGCATCAGTGCACTCCAGCCTGGGTGACAGAGCGAGACCCTATCTCCAGACAAACCAAGCAACCAATAGATGAAGCAATGGCCACATGCATGCAGATAAACGGGATAATAGTCTTTTTTTTTTTTTTTTGAGATGGAGTCTCGCTCTATCCCCTACGCTGTAGTGTAGTGACATGATCTTGGCTCACTGCAACCTCCACCTCCCGGATTCAAGCCATTCTCCTTCCTCAGCCCCCTGAGTAGCTGGGATTACAGGCGCCCACCACCATGCCTGGCTAATTTTTGTATTTTTAGTAGAGACGGGGTTTCACTCTGTTGGACAGGCTGGTCTCAAACTCCTGACCTCCCGTGATCCACCAGCCTTGGCCTCCCAAAGTTCTGGGATTACAGGTGTGAGCCACTGTGCCCGGCCGGATAATGGTCTTTCTTACTTGATGCAAGAAAAACTCTAAAACTTCAGTTTCACCAAAGCTACACAGAGCTCAGCCTCTGCCTGGATCACTGGTCTTGGCTGGTGGTTCAGCTCTGTCGCCTAGTAAGTGCCTACCTCTCGGCTCTGCAGTTCGCCCTGCGAGGCACACAATTGCCCTGCAAATAGGAAAGTAGGGACTTCAGAGAGGACAGACCCCGCAGAGGCCTCTCTCTGACTCTGCATGACCCCTCTGAGTGAGATGAGATGGTGGACTCTCTCTGCATCGTTTTAACGTCCATTTAAACAGGGTCGTTCAAGCAGCTGGAGCTGAAAGCCTCGTCCCGGAACCCCGCTTGTGGGTTTCAGGATAAAAATGTGTAGTCTACTGAGAGCTCAGAGTGAGAAATCAGACCGGGGAGAGCCTGCACGGGAGGCCAGATGCCGTGGCTGAGCACCAACTCCGCACCTTTTCAGCTGGGTGGGGAAGCTGGAAGCTGGGCTTCTAGGACCCTCAGTTTCTTCAACTCTAAAATGGGAATAAAATCCTACTCTCCTGGGTACTGATAATGATCCTTGAGTGAGATGACAAATTGAAAACACCTTGTGGGCTACAATGTACAGTACAAATGTGAGACTTTATTATAAAAAATCCCACCCTGGGCCAGGCATGGTGGCTCACGCCTGTAATCCCAGCATTCTGAGTGGCTGAGGTGGGAGGAAAGCTTGAGGCCAGGAATTTGAGACCAGCCTGGGCAACATAGTAAGACCCCATCTCTCTTAAAAATAAAAAAATTAGCCAAGTGTGGTGGTGCACACCCATGGTCCCAGCTACTCAGGAAGCTGAGGTAGGAGGGTTGCTTGAGCCCAGGAGGTCGAGGCTGTAGTGAGCTATGATCATACCACTGCACTCTAGCCTGGGTAACAGAGTAAGACCCTGTCTCAAAAAAAAAAAAAAAAAAAAAAAATAACCCAACCCGTATCCTAACTCCTGACATGCTTTCCTTTCTGGGGCTTTGATTCTCCCATCTTGCATAGGGTTGCCAGATAAAATACAGACTGTGTCATTTTTTTAGTACAAGTATATCCCAAATATTTCATGGGATATACTTACACTAAAAAATTTTGTTAATCTGAAAATCAAATTTTACTGGGTGTCCTGTATTTTTTATATTATGTATTATTATTATTATTAATTTTTCTTTTTTGAGACAGAGTCTCGCTCTGCCACAGAGGCTGGAGTGCAGTGGAGCGATCTCAGCTCACTGCAAGCTCCACCTCCCAGGTTCATGCCCTTCTGCCTCAGGCTCCCAAGTAGCTGGGACTACAGCTGCCCGCCACCATGCCCAGCTAATTTTTTGTATTTTTAGTTGAGATGGGGTTCCACCGTGTTAGCCAGGATGGTCTCGATCTCCTGACCTTTTGATCCGCCCACCTCAGCCTCCCAAAGTGCTGGGATTACAGGCATGAGCGACTGTGCCCAGCAATTTTTTTTTTTTTAGAGACAGGGTCTTGATCTGTTGCCTAGGCTGGAGTGCAGTGGTACGATCATAGCTCACCGTAGTCTCGAACTCCTGGGCTCAAGCGATCCTTCCCACCTTAGCATCCTGAGTAGTCAAGACTACAGGTGCATGCCACCAATTCTGGCTGATTTTTATATATATTTTTTGCTTAATCTGACAACTTTACCCCTATAGGAAGCCCAAGGTGAATTCAGGTTTATCTCAGGTAATCTTCACCACACCCTCAGGTGATGAAAAGAACAGAGATTTATTTACATCTCACTGTCTCTGCATCAGGTCAGGAGAAACCCCTGGGCCGCAAGGGCCGATTAGGTCACCCAGAAAGGAAGGCTGGAGGGCTGGGCCTCAACCCACCCCACGGCAGCCCCTCCAGACTAGCCTGTTGCAAGAAGGGTGGAGAAGGGGGGCTGCTTTCTCAGGGCTGAGGACAGCCTCTCTCCTCTAGGTAACTATTAAAAACTACTTTCCCTGGCCAGGTGCAGTGGCTCATGCCTGTAATCCTGGCACTTTGGGAGGCCAAGGTGGGAGGATCACTTGAGTTTAGGAGTTCAAGACCAGCCTGGACAACACGGTGAAACCCCGACTCTACTAAAAAAATACAAAAATTAGTCAGGCATGGTGGTGCATGACTGTAGTCTCAGCTACTCAGGAGGCTGAGGCAGAAGAATCACTTGAATCCAGAAGGCAGAGGTTGCAGTGAGTGGAGATTGCACCACTGCACTCCAGCCTGGGCAACAAGTAAGACTCTGTCTAAAAACAAAAACAAAAACAAAAACCCTACTTTTCCTGATACACATGTTGAAGTATTTACGGGAAGGTGTCTGCAGTTTACTTTGAAAGGCGTTATAGGGCCGGGTGCAGTGGCTCACGCCTGTAATCCCAGCACTTTGGGAGGCCGAGGCATGCGGGTCACGAGGTCAGGAGATCAAGACCATCCTGGCTAACACAGTGAAACCCTGTCTCTACTAAAAATACAAAAAAAATTAGCCGGGCGTGGTGGCGGGCGCCTGTAGTCCTAGTTTCTCGGGAGGCTGAGGCAGGAGAATGGCGTGAACCCAGGAGGCGGAGGTTGCAGTGAGCCGAGATCGCACCACTGCACTCCAGCCTGGGGGACAGAGCAAGACTCCATCTCAAAACAAAATAAAAATATAAAATGAAAGGCATTATGAAAACTAGGATGGATTTATGGCTGGATAGAGCGAGGTTAGGTAGGTGAATGGTTGTGAGATAAAAGATAATAAAATGTTAGTGTGGAATCTAGGAAGAGGTATATATTTGCTCATTGTAATATTATTTCAACTCTGCTGCATGTTGGGAAATTTGCATAATAAAATGCTGGAAAAAATTTCCACTAATAGAAAAATATATTCACTCATAGAAAAATTGGAGAATACAGAGGAGTGAGCCCCCAAATCTCCAATTATCCCACAACTCAACAATATTTTCTAATATTTCCTTCTGCCTTTATTATTATTATTATTTGAGACAGGGTCTTGCTGTATCACCCAGGCTGGAGTACAGTGGTGCAATCATGGCTCACTGCAGCCTCAAACTCCTGGCCTCAAGTCATCTTCCCATCTCAGCCTCCAGAGTAGCTGCGGCTACAGGCATGCGCCACCACGGTTGGCTAATTTTTAAAATTTTTTGTAGAGATGGGGTCTTGCTATGTCGCCTAGGTTGGTCTTGAAAACCTGGGCTCAAGCGATTCTCCCGCCTCGGCCTCCCAAAGCTCTGCGATTACAGGCATGAGCCACTGTGCCCAGCCCCTCCTGCCTTTTAAAACGTGTTTGTTGTTGTTTACAAATCTGGAATTATTCCATATATATATGTTTTTTCATTCCTGCCTTTATCACACACCACAGCTAATAGTTTTTGAGTGTTTATATTGTGGCAGGCACTGTGATAAATCCTTTACATAAATTATCTCATTTAATCTTGTATCGTGCTGACAGCACTTCTCCCATGCTAATAAAAGAAGTCCACAGGCATTGCTTGTAATGGTGATTTGATAGTCCATCACATGGGATTAGTTAACTATTGCTGGAAATTTAGGTTGTTTCCCATTTTTCACCATTATAAACAGAGTCTCTGAAACACTCTTAGGCAGAAGGCTTTTTTTTTTTTTTTTTTTTTTTAGATACAGGGTCTCGCTATGTTGCCCACGCTGGTCTTGAACTCCTGACCTTATGTGATCCTCCTACTTCTGCCTCTGAAAGTCCTGGGATTACAGGCATGAACTGCCATGCCCGACCAACAGAAGTCCTATCTCCTCTCTCTCCCCTGCTCCTAGGGACAACTTCCTCACCTGATCACTTCTCTGGTCCTATCGTCCACTAAAGCATTACCACCCCCCCCACCTTGCAGGCATTTTAATGTCTTGGCTACCTCTTGGAGGCTCCCTCTGTCCATTGGGGGTTGGAGGCCACATCCACTAAGTCAGAGCCTCTGTCTTTTCAGCAGAGCCAGGCAGGGACTGCACCCAGGTGGCCCACAGCACCAGCAGACAGCGGCTTCAACTACCCTCCATCCACTGGAAAGGGACTTGTGGGGAGTATGCGGGGAGCACAGGTGGGGGACCAGGGGAACTGGAGGGACCAGATATCTGGAGGCCTGTGGGGTGGGCAGGGGTTAGAGGACATCCTTTGGAGGGGGTCTAGACGGAGATGGTTACCCACAAAGAGCAGTAGGGTGGGAGAGATCTTTTATGTTTGTTTCTATAGTTGAATGTGCCAGTTAAATCTCATTCTGTCTGCTAGTATGGCTACTTCTCAATATTTAGGAGAAATTTCTGTTTTGTTTCTCCAGCTCTATTTTAAACCTCAAGTTTCAAATCGAACTGCTGTCTCGGTGCCAGCCGCTAACAGGCAGCGACAAGGATAGAGAACTGTACACACTCAACAATCCCTTGGCTGAGCACAGTGGTTCCCGCCTGTAATCCCAGCACTTTGGGAGGCTAAGGCGGGAAGATCACCTGAGGTCTACCTGGCCAACATGGTGAAACCCCATCTCTATTTTTTTTTTTGAGACAGAGTCTCGCTCTGTCGCCCAGGCTGGAGTGCAGTGGCGCGATATCGGCTCACTGCAAGCTCTGCCTCCCTGGTTCACGCCATTCTTCTGCCTCAGCCTCCCGAGTAGCTGGGACTGCAGGCACCCGCCACCACACCCAGCTAATATTTTTTTGTATTTTTAGTAGAGACAGGGTTTCATCATGTTAGCCAGGATGGTCTTGATCTCCTGACCTCGTGATCCACCCACCTCGGCCTCCCAAAGTGCTGGGATTACAGGCATGAGCCACTGTGCCCAGCCCCCCATCTCTATTAAATATACAAAAAAAAAAAAAAAAAAAAATAGCCAGGCATGGTGGTGGGCACCTGTAATCCCAGCTACTTGGGAGGCTGAGGAGGAGAATCGCTCGAACCCGGGAGGCGGATGTTGCAGTGAGCTGAGATCGCGAGACTGCACTCCAGCCTGGGCAACAAGAGCAAAAATCCGTTTCAAAAAAAAAAAAAAAAAAAAAAAAAACCAATTCCTTGCTATGGCTTTCCAGAGTCAGGGTGAAGTTCCAGAGACCCAGGCACCTGGGCTGGAACCCCAGCCGTGCCAGGTACCCCTGGTGATCTAGGGCACATCCATTTGCCCTCCCCCCACCCGAGCCTCAGTTTCCCCATCTGTAAAGCAAAGGCAATGCATTCCTTCACTTTCTAGTTCTCAGGGGTTGCTGTGGGTGGTGAGACAGGGCCCACGAAGGTTTGCGGTGCGGGGTGGGACGCAGTAGGACCCTCATGGGGTGACTGGTGAGTACAATTGGCCATCCTTTCTCTCCAGCCTCCGTGGGGAGGTCGCCTTGACTCGCAGACTTGGCTTTGCTCCATCTGTGCACGGCTCTCTTCCCTGGAGCCTGAGTGGAATGTTTTCTCTTCCCTCCTCCTCCTCCTCCTCCTCCTCTTCCTGTGACCGTCTGTGGGATGCCTCCAGTGTCCTGGGGTCCCCCGGAGGCGGCCCGAACCCTCTCCCCGCCCAGCGCGGCCCCTCGGCCCACCAGGCTGTTTCCAATTTGAACACCATGCATCTTGTCTCTGAGATCACAGCCGCCTCTTTGATGGAACTAATGATGATCTAGGACTTTGGGGGCCCCAGACCTCCCCAAACTGAGATAAATCCTGCCTCTGTGCAGACAAGGGGCCTCCAGCCCGGCATCTGATCCCCCTCCTCCGGGCTGGACAGGGAGGGGAGGTGTCTGTGGGAGTCCCCTCCCGGCAGGCTGGGAGGGTGGTGGCTGAGTCCAGGGAGACAGGAAGAAAGGGATTTCTCTGAGGCTCCAAAGAGGGTCCCACAACCCGGTGGGGGAGGGTGGCAAGCTTGTGAAAGGGCCTCTTAGAAGGCGGTCTGATCCCATCACAACCCAGGACACAGCTGGAGCAGAAGGCAACTTACACAGGCCAGCCTGCTTCTCAGACTCAGTGCCACTAACTGTTCCTGGCACCTTGCTTGCACCGCTGGGGACGCAGGGAGGAATGACTCTAGTTTCTGCCGCCAGGAGCTCGTGATGAGGGAGAGGGATGGGTAAACCAATGACTCCAATATTGCGTATTGAGGACTGCAATGGTGAGGACCCCAGGGGCTGTGGGAGCACGGCAGATAGGACCTGACGCAGCCTGTAGAGCCTGGAAGGCTTCCTGGAGGAGGTAGCCCTGATCTGGGTCTTGCGCAGGTCCCACAATGAGCAGATGATGTGCCCTGTCCATACAGAATAAACAATAAAAAATGATACTAAACCCTATCAAGCTTGCCCAACCTGCCTTGTTTGGCTGTTGTTGTTCTGTTCTGTTTTAGGCTTTTAGCAGCCTGAAACCATGGTTTTTAGTTTCTGTCTCTAGTGACAAGCGGAAAAGAGGGATGAGGAAGGGGATTTACTGACCCAACCAGAAACAGAAACTAAGAGCCTGTGACTGTATTCTCTCCCTTGGACACCCCTGAAACCATGAAACTTACACATATGCTGAAATTAAAATACCTTCTTTCTAGATTTTCTGATCGGAAAATTTTGGATCCGTTCATCAAAGAAGCTTTATTTTATTATTATTATTATTAATTTTTGAGACTGAATCATGGTCTGTTGCACAGGCTGGAGTGCAGTGGTACGATCTCAGCTCACTGCAACCTCTGCTTCCCAGGTTCAAGTGATTCTCCTGCCTCAAGCTCCCGAGTGGCTGGGATTACAGGTGCCCGCCACCAGGCCTGGCTAATTTTTGTATTTTTAGTAGAGACAGGGTTTTACCACGTTGGCCATGCTGGTCTCGAATTCCTGACCTCAGGTGATCTGCCCTCCTCAGCCTCCCAAAGTGCTGGGATGACAGGCATGAGCCACCACACCCAGTCTATTATTATTAATATTTAGAGATGGGATCTCTGTCAACCAGGCTGGAGTGCAGCAGTGTGTGATCATAGCTCACTGCAGCCTCGAACTCCTGGCCTTAAGCGATCCTCCTGCTTCAGCCTCCCAAAGTGCTGGGATTTTAGGTGCATGCCACCATGCACTTAGCCCATTTTAAGTTTTTAAAGAAATGTGAGTTGGACTCTGGTGAGCAGCAGAAGGTGGAGGAAGAGGAAGTGAAAGGTGAAGGAGGCAGAGGAGGAGCATTGAGTGCTGGGAAGGAGGAGGCACTGGCTGGGGGCTTGCCCTGTCTAAGGAGGGGCGTCCTCCAGGAAAATCAGACTGTTCTGTCATTCATGATCTGTCCTCCAACCTCTAGGAGCATCGCCCCCACCCCTTCCATAGCCGGGGGCCTGGCTCAGAAGCACAAGGTGCTCAGAGATACCAGTGAACCCCAGGGTAACAGTCGGAGTGGGCTTCCTGGAAGGGTCTGGAAGGACACTGACTTATCACCTCATAGCGGCTCCTCACTCTTCACAAGATAAAACTAGACTTTAGAGGGCAACTGTGGTGTGGCTCACACCTGTAATCCCAGCACTTTGGGAGGCCGAGGGCCTCTTGAGGCCAGGAGTCCAGGACCAGCCTGGGCAAACATAGTGAGAACCCATCTCTAAAAAACAATTTAAAAATGAGCCAGGCATGGCAGTGCATGCCTGTAGTCCCAGCTGCTTGGGAGGCTGAGGTGGGAGGATCACTTGAGCCCAGGAGGTTGAGGTTATAGTGAGGCATGATTGTGCCACTGCACTCCAGTCTGGGTGACACAGCAAGACCCTGTCTCAAAAGCAAACAACCCAACCAAAAAACCAACAAAACCCCCAAAATCCCTCAAAGAACAAAAACCCATAATTGTCTCCCACTCCCCCCAAAAAAACAACAAGAAAACTAGACCTTGGAGTGTGGCTTCATGGGCCCCTCTTCCATCTGCCCTTAGATGGATCTTCAATAATGCCCTATCTATATCAGCTCTTGGTTGGCGTGATAGAGATAATACATTCGCTGCTCCAGAGTCACTCGTGGTTCAGGCAAGGTCAAAGAGTCACCAGGAGTCAGTCATCACCTAAGTGGTACCTCCTGCCTGGGAAATGCCTCTATCACTGCCCACCTCCAGGTACCCAGAACTCCGGCCACTACCAAGGATCACTTGAGCCCAGCAGTGTGAGGCTGCAGTGAGCTATGATCATGCCATTGCATCCAGCCTGGGTGACAGAACCACACAGCAAGACCTGGTCCCCCCTGGACCCCCACAAAAAACCCCCAAAAAACTTAAAATGAATTCATTAAAAACTTATTAAAATAAAAATTTAGCATTTAAGGCCAGGCACGGTGGCTCATGCCTGTAATCCCAGCACTTTGGGAGGCCGAGGTGGGTGGATCACTTGAGGTCAGGAGTTTGAGACCAGCCTGGACAACATGGTGAAACCTCATCTCTACTAAAAATACAAAAATTAGCCAGGCATGGTGGTGCATGACTGCAATCGCAGCTGCTCGGGAGGCTGAGGCAGGAGAATCACTTTAACCCAGGAGGCAGAGGTTGCAGGGAGCTCAGATTGCACCACTGCACTCCAGCCTGGGCGACAGAGTGAGTAAGACTTCGTCTCAAACAAATAAACAAACAAAAACAAACAAAACAAAACACAAAACCTTAGTATTTAAAATAAATAATTAAAATGGTATTCATTAAAAAGCTGAAAATCAACCCAGGCTTAATGAAAGAAAGAACTTAGTATGCGTAAAAAAAACTTTAACGAAAACTCTTAGTATTCATTTAAAAACTTTAAACCAAAACTGAATATTCACTTAAAAACTTAAAAAATGAGCTCAGGCTTAAAAAACAAAAACAAACAAACAAAAAAAGAACTCTCCGGGCTTTCTGGGGATGTAACCAAGCTGAGGTTGGGCTTACTTCCCTCCAGCAAAGGGCCCCTTTCAAACCACTTGTGGCTGAGCCATCAGACCCAGATGTGACCTCCCCCCGTCCCGTGGGGGTCAGCAGCTCACCTGGGCCCTCTCCAGCCTGCCCTCCTGCCACCCCTGTTTATGTGTGCACCTCAGGGATTCCAAAAAGGAGTTAGTGTGGGCCTGCCTCTCAGCCACCTGCTTCCACTCTTACCTACATGACTCCATTTTCTGAGCCCGGTAGCTTTTTTTTTTTTTTTTTTTTAACAGAGTCTCGCTCTGGCCCAGGTTGGAGCGCAGTGACACGACCTCGGCTCATCACCGGTTCAAGCGATGGGCTGTAGCTGGGACTACAGGCACACACCATCCCACCTGGCTAAATATTGTATTTTTAGTACAGACGGAATTTCTCCTTGTTGGCCAGGCTCGTCTCGAACTCCTGACCTCAAGTGATCCGCCCGCCTCGGCCTCCCAAAGTACTGGGATTACAGGCGTGAGCCACCACGACCGCAGAGACCCGTAGCTTTCTAAAAGAGACTCTGAGGGTGCTTTCAGTGATGACCCTTGGCAGAAACCGGAGGAAGGGCTGAAGGTGATGGGGGAGGGGCGGAGCTCTGCCTTGAGCTTTGCTGCGGAGCCAAGCCTTCCCTCCTTGTCTAGCTCTGGCACTTTGAGCAGGTTCTGTCGGGGGTATCCCTGCCCTGGAAGCCCCTCTCACCTTCCCAGGTTAGGGGTGGCGTCCCCCAGTCTCCCTGAGGGCAAGGGCTGTTCTCATTTGTTTTGGAGGCCAGCTCTGCTCAGGGCCTGGGAATACAGTAGGTGTCTAATAAATATTTGCAGCGTTGAACTCTGTGCCCAGCAGCCCCTAGCCGTTCACCAGACAGCCTTGGCCTCCGGAGAGTGGGCTTTGGGGGAGGTGGCCTGGGCCGGGGGAGGGTGTGAGAGGCCTCATGGAGGGGGGCGGGGGCGGATCCGGGGTCGCTCTGGCTCAGCCTCCGGGGCCGTCCCCGCTGCCTTTGCAGAAGGCGCCTCCGCTGTGGCTCTTCCCCCTGGGCTGGAGCCAGAGCCTAGCGCACCCGGAGGAGGAGGAGGAGGAGGACGAGGAGGAGGAGGAGGCGGCGGCGGCGGCTGCGTTGCCGTCTGTGCCCATCACCTGAGCTGCACCGGGCGGGGAGGATAACAATTATTGGGAGAGGTTTGAAAAAAAAATCATTATCAAATAACTACAGCTTGCAAAAGTTGGCGGGCGGAACGGAAAACGCGGGCTGGATCGCTCTGGGGACGCCGCCGCCGCTCCCGAGCAGCTCCGCGGTAGCCAGAAATGGAAGGACGTACATCTGCAACGCATTTGTGCGAGGTTCACCTTGGAGACCGCGCTGCTGGATGCAGGCGGCGAGTTCACGCGAAAGGAAAAACTCTTTTAAGAGGGATTTCTCCTTGGGGGACCCTGCCCGGCACGCGCGGCGGGGAAGGGCGCCCCCTGCCAGGCGCGCGCGTGGAGCTGGGACGCTCCGATGGGGTGGGGGCCGCTTCTCTGAGCCTCAGTTTCTCAGTCTGTCCGAGGACTTGTACAGATTCGTGGCTGGCCTTGCAGGACCCTTCCAGTGGGGATATTCTTTTATTATTTTTATTTTTTATTTATTATTTTGTTTAGATGGAGTCTCATTCTTGTCGTCCCAGCTGGAGTGCAGTGGCACAATCTCGGCTCACTGCAACCTCCGCTTCCCGGGTTCAAGTGATTCTCCTGCCTCAGCCTCTCGAGTAGCTGGGATTACAGACCCCCGCCGCCATGCCCGGCTAATTTTTGTATTTCTAGTAGAGGGGTTTCACCATGTTGGCCAGGCTGGTCTTGAACTCCTGGCCTCAAGTGACCTGTCCGCCTAGGCCTCCCAAAGTGCTGACATTACAGGCTGAGCCACTGCGCCCAGCCTCCAGTGGGGATAGTCTAAGAATCTTCTTATTTCTGGCACCAGGTCCCGATGGAGGTAGAGGTACCAGCCCTTAAGGTACCAGGACCTGGTCATCGCATTCCCAGCCCTGTTTACATTCTAGGGTGCTGCGGGTACGTGATGGTCTAAGGAAGATCAAATCCACTTTCCACTTCTCAGGGCCCTGCCGACAAGTGCAACGGTTTGTTCCTTCTCAGGGGAGGAGGGGACCCCTGTCCCCCTTCTCAGGGGCAGTTCCATCCATTCTCACCTCTTGGGTCTTCAGTGTGCACCTCCCACAGCTCACAGACATCCCTGTCTCCCCTAAACCCCTTTGCCGTGACGCCCACCGCCCATCCACCTTCCCCCGCGGGCTTCCTTCTCAGAGTGGTCAGTACGTAGTCTAGTGTCCACATCTTCCTCCCTGCAGTCACTTTGAAGGTGGCCCAAGCTTCAGGGCCCCCCTCCTTCTCCAAACACGGCTGGGCCTCTGGGCTTTTTGGAGTTAGAAAAGGGGAGGGGGGCTGTGGGGAGCGAGAGGTGCAGGAGTGAAGTGTGGGGACCCTTCCTGGGACCCCTCACCCTCACACACACACCACCCCACTTGCCTAAGACAGGCACAACTGGAGCCATCTTGAGACCCAGAATTCCTCTCCAGGTTATGGTGTTTCTCACGGTCCTTGCCCACCAGGAGATAGAAAGTTCTGGAAAGATGCTGTTGGAAAGGTGAAGCTAGAAGCACGGCCTCTTTGCACAGGCTATGCTTTAAGTACTCATAACTGGCTCACATCTACTGAGCCATCACTGTGTACCAAGCACTGTTCTAACGTTTTATTTTTATTTTATTTTTTATTTTTGAGACAGAGTCTTCCTCTGTTGCCCAGGCTGGAGTGCAGTGGCATGATCTCAGCTCACTGCAACCTCTGCCTCCGCCCCCTCTCAAGTGATTCTCCTGCATCAGCTTCCTGAGTAGCTGGGATTACAGGTGCCAGCCACCACACCCAGCTAATTTTTGTATTTTCAGTAGAGATGGGGTTTCACCATGTTGGCCAGGCTGGTCTCGAACTCCTGACCTCAGGTGATCCACCTGCCTTGGCCTCCCAAAGTGGTAGGATTACAGGTGAAATGTTTTAAATGTGTTGTTTTGAAGAGACAGGACCTCCCTCTGTTGCCCAGGCTGGAGTGCAGTGGCGCAATTATGGCTCACTGCAGCTTGAAACTCCTGGGCTCAAGTGATCCTCTCTCCTCAGCCTCCCAAGTAGCTGGGACTACAGGCTTGTGTAGCCACGCCTGGCTAACTTTATAATTTTTTATAGAGTGGGATCTCACTATGTTGCCCAGGCTGATCTCAACTCCTGGCCTCAAGTGATCCTTCTGCCTCCACCTCCCAAAGTGCTGGGATTACCAGTTTAAGCCACCACGCCCAGCCACCAACTCACTTTCACTTGGCTAAATCGCGCCCTGTTTGGAAGACGGAGCCTGAAATTGGCAGGAGAGCTGGATGTGGCCATGGTCCTTCACTGCCCAGGGCGTGCTTGTCCCATCCAGCCTGTACTCCTGTGGCTGTGTGGATGACCAAGGGCTCACCTGGTCTTGCTTTTCTTCACCTCACTCTTCCCAAGAGGCTGGTTCTGACACTAACAGTCACCCATTGGTAAACAGCCCAGCACCAAAAGCCCCTAAGAACCTTCAGATAAGAGACATCCCTTGGGGGAAGGAAGAAAAAAAAAACACAACCTAACAGGAAGCCAAGTGGGTAAACGGTTACTTGCATGATTCTAAAGCCTGCATGTTTCTTCCCCAGGCGAGAGAGACTGAGCCTTTCACTCTCAGAGCCAGCTTGGCCAGAGTCTCAGAAGCAAGGTCTCTGTGCACCTTGGGGCTGTTGGCAGGGCTGAGGAGAGGAGTAACCAAATCATGGGTCTGGGAGAGAAATTTCCTCCGATGCTTTTCTGGCTCCTACCTAGAGAGTTCTCTCACTTCTGAGAGGTATCCTGTGAGGGCACAGTGGACAGGAGCAGAGACCTGGGGTCAGGCAGGCCCAGCACAGAGATGCCTAATGCCCTTGGGAAGTCACTTGACCTTCCCGAATCCACCTTTTTTTTTTTTTTTTTTTTGAGTTGGAGTCTCACTCTGACACCCAGGCTGGAGTGCAGTGGTGCAATCTTGGCTCACTGCAGCCTCCGTCTCCTGGGTTCAAGCAATTCTCCTGCCTCAGCCTCCCAAGTACCTGGGATTATAGGCATGTGCCATCATGCCCGGCTAATTTTTGTATTTTTAATGGAGATGGGGTTTTGCCACGTTGGCCGGGCTGGTCTCGAACTCTTGAGCTCAGGTGATCTGCCCACCTTGGCCTCCCAAACTGCTGGGGTTACAGGCATGAGCCACTGCACTGGGCCCCGAGTCTTCCTTTTAAACCATGAAACGGGGATTGCCCAGGTGTGATGGCTCACATTTATAATCTCAGCTCTTTGGGAGGCCAAGGCAGGAGGATCGCTTGAGGCTAGGAGTTCCAGACCAGTCTGGGCAACATAGCGAGACCTCGTCTCTACAAAAAATAACAATTAAAAAATTAGCCAAGTGTGGTGGCGTGTGCCTACAGTTCCAGCTACTTGGGATGCTGAGGCTGGAGGATGGCTTGAGCCCAGGAGTTGGAGGCTGCAGTGAGCTATGATCACACCACTGCATTCCAGTCTGGGCAACAGAGCAAGACCCTGTCTCTAAAAACCAAACACAAAAAGCCAAAAAACAAAGCTAAAACAACCCCTAGAGGTGTGATCAAAGGGCTGGGGAGGAGGGAGAGAGGAGGAGCTTCCCCAGGGGAGACTTCATCACCAAACTCTGTACCTGCAGGCACCTTGTCCTGCCCTGGAGGTGGGGGTTGGTGAACCGGAAACCCATGACTCACTCCCTCCCTGCCCAGCCAGGCCTGGACAGCTGTGCAAACAGACTGAGGAAGGGGCTTCCAGGCCACACTCTGTGCCTCTCCTCCTCCTCCTCCTCCTCCTCTTCCTCCTCCCTGGAGTCAGCCCAGGCTGGCTCCATCCCTCTGGGCCCCTTCTCTCCCTGAAAATTGCAGGAATGTGCACCACTGTGTTAGAACCAAGTCCTTGGAAGACTCCAGATTTCCCCTAGACTTGGGAGTACTGGGACTTAGGAAGAAGGGGTTGGGGCTGTCCAGGTCTCCCTGGCCCGAGGGTCTCACCCTTAGGTCCTCCGAAGCTCTGTTTCCAAGGATAGCAGACCCGCCCTCACAATAGCACCCACTCACTGAGTCCCTTCTGTCACGGTGCATACCCTGCTGTCCCTGGGACCTGTACTTGGATGTCTCAAGGGCATGTTCAACTCCCCGTGTCCCAAACTCAACTCAGGCTCTCTCCTCTCAGGATATGTCCCCGCCCTCCACCCAGGGCTCAGGCCAGAAGCCTTGGAGTCCTTCTTGACATCACCCTCTCCCTCACCTTCCCCACCCAATCTGACATCAAACTGTGTAGACTCCAGCTCCGAAAAATACCCCAATCCAACTATTCCTGGCCATCTCTGCTGCCCTACCCGTGGGGGCCTCTGCCCTCGCTCCACCTCCCATTCACTCATCCTCCACCCTGCAGCCAGAGTAACCTTTTTTCTTTTTTCTTTTTTTGAGATGGAGTCTCACTCTGTCGCCCAGGCTGGAGTGCAGTGGCACGATCTCGCCTCACTGCAACATCTGCCTGCCCGGTTCAAGCAATTCTCCTGCCTCAGCCACCCAAGTAGCTGGGATTACAGGTGTGCACCACCGTGCATGGCTAATTTTTGTATTTTTAGTAGAGATGGGGTTTCACCATGTTGGCCAGGCTAGTCTTGAACTGCTGACCTCAAGTGATCCTCCTGCCTTGACCTCCCAAAGTGCTGGGATTACAGGCATGCACCACCATGCGTGGCTAATTTTTGTATTTTTAGTAGAGACGGGGTTTCACTTTGTTGGCCAGGCTAGTCTCGAACTCCTGACCTCAAGTGATCCTCCTGCCTTGACCTCCCAAAGTGCTGGGATTACAGGCATGCACCACCACGCATGGCTAATTTTTGTATTTTTAGTAGAGATGGGGTTTCACCATGTTGGCCAGGCTGGTCTTGAACTCCTGACCTCAAGTGATCCTCCTGCCTTGACCTCCCAAAGTGGTAGGATTACAGGCGTGAGCCACTGCGCCTGGCAACCAGAGTAATTTTTTTTTTTTTTTTTTTTTTAGACAGAGTCTCGCTCTGTTGCCCAGGCTGGAGTGCAGTGGCACAATCTCGGCTCACTGCAAGCTCCACCTCCCGGGTTCACGCCATTCTCCTGCCTCAGCCTCTCAAGTAGCTGGGACTACAGGCGTCTGCCACCACACCCGGCTAATTTTTGTATTTTTAGTACAGACGCGGTTTCACCTGGTTAGCCAGGATGGTGTTAATCTCCTGACCTCGTGATCTGCCAGTCTCGGCCTCCCAAAGTGCTGGGATTACAGACGTGAGCCACCGCACCTGGCCCAGAGTAATTTTATTAAAATGTCAATCAGATCACATTTCTCCCTGCTTACAACTTTTTGATAGTTTCTCATTGGATTTAAGACAAAATCCAAATTCCATATATCACAGCCTGCAAGTCCTTCCATGCTGTATCTCCTTGCATAGTTTAATAGTCCCCTGCACTGGACTGTAAGCTCACAGAGGGCAGGAATAGCCCATTTTTATGCACTGGGGCTCCTGTAGGGTGTGAGAGAATCCCAACCCCTTGCCTTTGATCTGAGCTGGACACACTGCAAAGACATGCTCCAAAACTTTTCCCATGTGACACTCATGTGACCCACCTCAAGGGGTGCCACCACCATTTCACCTGTTACGCAGATGGCGAAGCCAAGTTTCCAAGACGGCAGGAGACTTGTAAAAGGGCACACGGATAATAACTGCAGTAGACAGGCTGTACTGGCGTTCACTGTGTGCTATGACCGGTTCTAATCACTCTGTGTGTAGTTTTACATTGAATGCTACATACTAACCCTGAAAAGTAGACAGTCTTCCTTCCTCCCTCCCCTCCTCCCTCTTTCCCTTCCTTCCTCCCTCCCTTCCCTCCTTCTTCCCTCCCTCCCTCCCTCCCTTCCCTCCTTCTTCCCTCCCTCCCTCCCTTCTCTCTCTCTCTCTTTCTTTCTTTTTTTTTTTTTTGGAGACGTTGTCTCGCCCTGTTGCCCAGGCTGGAGTGCAGTGGCACAGTCTCGGCTGACCTCCGCCTCCTGAGTTCAAGTGATTCTCCTGTCTCAGCCTCCTGAGTAGCTGGGATTACAGGCATGTGCCACCACACCCAACTAATTTTTGTATTTTTGTAGAGACAGGGTTTCTCCATGTTGGCCAGGCTGGTCTCAAACTTCTGACCTCAGATGATCTGCCCGCCTCAGCCTCCCAAGGTGCTGGGATTACAGTGTGAGCACCATGCCCAGCCAAACCTCTTTCAATTCTATCATGCATAGCTCTGAGATTCTCATCTGAACATGGCTTCCTTCTCTACATGGATTTGTGCTGAGACATGTGCTAGAAAATGCCATTTCAGTCTTGATGAAATCTCTCGAAACACATTTGAAATCCATTTTCCTTTCTCTCACTTTAATTCCGGGAGGAGTTAAGTCCCAATTGAATTTTCTTTTCTTTTTTTTTCTTTTGTGTGTGTGTGTGTGTGTGTGTGATGAAGTTTCAATCTTGTTGCCCAGGCTGGAGTGCAGTGGTGCGATCTTGGCTCACTGCAACCTCCACCTCCCGGGTTCAAGTGATTCTCCTGCCTCAGCCTCCAAAGTAGCTGGGATTATATGTGCCCACCACCACGCCTGGCTAAATTTTTGTATTTTTATTAGAGACAGGGTTTCATCATGTTGGCCAGGCTGGTCTCGAACTCCGGACCTCAGGTGATCCACCTGCCTTGGCCTCCCAAAGTGCTGGGACTACAGGTGTGAGCCACTGTGTCTGGCCCCAGTTGAATTTTCCTTTGATGTGGGGGCAGCTGTGGCCTGGCCTTTGTGGGGAATGGGTGTGGGCAGGTACAGGTTCCACTTAGTGTTTCATGATGGGAGAAATCTTGGCTGGCTAGAGTAGCTCACGCCTGTAATCCCAGGACTTTGGGAAGCTGAGGCTGGTAGATCACCCGTGGTCAGGAGTTTGAGGCCAGCCTGACCAACAAGGTGAAACTCCGTCTCTATTAAAAATACAAAAATTAGCCAGATGTGGTGGTGGGCGATTGTAATCTCAGCTACTTGGGAGGCTGAGGCAGGAGAATCACTTGAACCTGGGAGGCGGAGGTTGCAGTGAGCCGAGATCATACCACTAGACTCTAGCCTGAGCAACAGCCAGACTCCACCTCAGAAAAAAAAAAAAAAAAAAAGAAAGAAAAGAAATCTCTTAAGGTCTCAGTTTCTCAGCCAGAAGGTGGAGGCCATAGTACTTACCCCTTCTTCTTGCCTTCCTTTCCAGAGCTGATATGCTGGGCAAACGAAATAAACCCACGTGTAGTGGACATCTGGGACTCTGTCTGCCCTGGGCCATTTCCTTGTTTCTTGAATCAGACTCAGTTCTGGTCATCGTGATTGGGCCAATGGGGTGGTCACATGACACCACCTGGGCCTATCACAGCCCTTCCCTGGGACTTCACACTCTAGAGCAGGAGAACAAAATCCCTTTTCTTTTTTTTCTTTTACAGGGTCTTGCTGTGTTGCCCAGGCTGGTGGGCAGTGGTATGATTGTAACTCACAGCAGCCTTGAATTCCTGGGCTCAAATGATCTTTCTGCTTCAGCCTCCTGAAGAGCTGGGACTACAGGCGTGCACCACCATGCCTGGCTAATTTTTAATTTTAATTTTTTTTTATTTTTTTTTTGAGACAGAGTCTCACTATGTCGCCCAGGCTGGAGTGCAGTGGCATGATCTCAGCTCACTGCAACCTCCACCTCCTGGGTTCAAACGATTCTCCTGCCTCAGCCTCCAGAGTAGCTGAGACTACAGGTG
The DNA here is from genome assembly GCF_000001405.40 of Homo sapiens. NCBI lineage: Eukaryota > Metazoa > Chordata > Mammalia > Primates > Hominidae > Homo > Homo sapiens. Next base: position 101,735,878 of record NC_000007.14, on the reverse strand, counting down.
CGTGCCACCATGCCTGGCTAATTTTTTATATTTTTAGTAGAGACGGGGTTTCACTGTGTTAGCCAGGATGGTCTTGATCTCCTGACCTTGTGATCTGCCCGCCTCAGCCTCCCAAAGTGCTGGGATTACAGGTGTGAGCCACTGTGACCGGCTGCTAATTTTTGTTTTTTAGAGACAGAATATCCCTCTGTCACCCAGGCTGGATGACAGTGGCATGATGTTCATAGCTCACACTGCAGCCTCGACCTCCTGGGCTCAAGCAGTCCTCCCACCTCAGCCTCCTGAGTAGCTGGGACTGCAGGCCCGCACCACTGGGAATGCAGTGCATGGCTAATTTTAAAATTTTTTGTAGATTTGGGGTCTTGCTTTGTTGCCTATGCTGGTCTGGAACTCCAGGCCTCAAGCGATCCTCCCGTCTCGGCCTCCCAAAGTGCTGGCATTACAGGTGTGAGCCACCGCGCCTGAAGGAATTGTACAATTCATTGTTACTGTGGCCCCATCAGAATAAAATCCCAGTTCCAAAACCTTCCTTGTTTCACATTTCTTCTTCCTCTCTTCCCTCCTTTCTTCTTTCTTTCTATAGCTGGGGTCTGAGCTAGCATTTTAGCCTGCAAAAATTAGGCCAGGCTCAAGCCTTGCCTTTACAGAGCTTGGATTCTGGTTGAGCCAGCCGGCTACAATTCACGTGCCCACATGAGACGTCAGGTTGTACATATATCCTTCAGGTACAGACACAACATGCTGGGGCCCAGAGAGGGAACATAGATTCAGAGTAAGCTCTGGACAGATCTCTTCTGTTCTGTGGGCCTCAATTCCTGCCTGGTGAGAAGAGGTGGCACAAGGCCTGGCCAGCTGGGAATAGGATTCAGGGTATGGGGGTTGCGGTCTCAGGAGGAGGCTTGGTAGAGTGGGAGGTAAACCCTCTCAGAGATCCCTGAGCTGGCCTGTCTGTTCAGACGCTCTGAAAACCTCTCATGACCTGGGACCCAGCTCTGGCTGTAAGGGAGTCATTTTGGAGGCTGTCCAAAGATTCTAAGTCTGCAGGGAGAACTCAAAAAGCGTGGGGAGGGCTGGGCGAGGTGGCTCACACCTGTAATCCCAGCACTTTGGGAGGCCGAGGCGGGCCTGATCACTGCAGTGAACTCCTGATCACTGCAGGTCAGGAGTTCAAGACCAGCCTGGCCAACATGGGTGAAACTCCGTCTCTACTAAAAATACTAAAATTAGCCAGATGTGGTGGCACGCGCCTGCAATCCTAGCTACTTGGGAGGCTGAGGCAGGAGAATCGCTTGAACTCGGGAGGCGGAGGTTGCAGTGAGCCGACATTGCACCACTGCACTCCAGCCTGGATGACAGAGTGAGACTCCGTCTTGGAAAAAAAAAAAATAGTGCTCAGGGAGCTGGCGCTACAGGAGAGGGCAGGTGGCCAGAGGGCTCCCTTCTCTGCCCCTCTGAGGCTCTGTGTGGATCCAGCTCAGGCTGTTTTGGTCATTCCAGCTCTGGTCACCGCCTCTGATTTATTAGCTGTGGGTTTGTCGGATGGTGAAGCGAAGGTTCCCAGCAAGGCCGGGAGGTTTGCAGGAATTTATTTCACACTTGACTATTTTTTCTAACACCTACTAATGTCCTTCATGTTGGACCCAAAGTTCCCGGCCTCTCCCTTCTTCCAAAATGTTTCAGGGACTGGAGAGGGGAGAGCGCCTGGAAGTCTTCCAGTAGTGGCCAGCCACCAGCCTGCAGGCAGATGGGTGAGAAGGGGGATGGGAGTGGCGGGGGGCGGGGGGTGAGGGTGGGGATAGTGGGAGGGTGGCAGGAGGCTGTGCTGAGAGCCAGGGCAGGGAGGTCAGGTTTCAGGTTTCAGTTTCCCTTGAAAACAGCCCTGCGCCGGCCCGGCCGGCAGAGAGCCTGGCTTCCCTATGCAATCATTACGTTTCTCAGAGACTCAGTGCCACCACCGGTAAAATGGGCATGCCGAAGGGCTGTGGTCAGGACAAAATGAATCAGGAGGTGTGTGTTAATGCCTGGGGCAGCGGCGGGCCCCTCACAAGGGCTGGATGTGAGCGGCCGAATCTGTCTTTAATCCCCCTGCGGAAGCTGGAACGGGAAGCTGTGTTCCGGGCCAAGCTTTCTCTGCCCACTTGGCCGGCATCTCCTTTCTCTGGTGTTTCTGTTGAAATTTTACTGTTCAGAAGCATTTCCACTGCCTGGCTAGTTATTCAGCAGGACCCTGTTTGATCCATTCCCCAGTCCTGTCTCTTCTTCCTGCTGTCATGGAGCTCACTCTGTTGTTAGGGGGCAGGGGTACAGGGAATATGAGGGTTCCCAGAGAGGCAAAATGAAAAAACCCCTGCTGGCATGTGACCAGCACCCATTGGCTGTAACTTTGCTCCAGTTCACATCTTTTTTTTTTTTTTTTTTTTTTAAAGATGAGTCTTGCTCTGTTGCCCAGGCTGGAGTGCAGTGGCACGATCTTGGCTCACTGCAACCTCTACCTTCTGGGTTCAGGCGATTCTCCTGTCTCAGCCTCCTGAATAGCTGGAATTACAGGCGTGTACCACCATGCCCAGCTAATTTTTGTATTTTTAGTAGAAATGGGGTTTCACCACATTGGCCAGGCTGGTCTCGAACTCCTGGCCTCAAGTGATCTGCCCACCTCAGCCTCCAAAAGTGCTGGGATTACAGGCGTGAGCCACTGCGCCCAGCCTGCTCCAGTTTACCTCTTAAAAAAAATAAAATGCACAGAACTGGACCTCCTTGAGAGAGTGGGGAATAGGTGTAGGTTTGGGGCAAGGAGAAGGACAAGCATAGGGAACAGCCAGGGAAGGATGCTCAGAGGCTCTTCCTATTTTGCTCTTGTTCCCTGTAATCAGCATCTGCCATGGCCCCTCAGCAGCCCAGCCCAGCTTCACAGCAGGGACTCTAAGGAAGGGTCCTAGGCCAAAAGCTGTGGCTCAGGCCTGTAATACTAGTACTTTAGAAGGCCTAGGTGGGAGGATGGCTTGAGGCCAAGAGTTCAAGACCAGCCTGGGCAACATAGCGAGACTACCCACCCCATCTCTACAGAAAGATTTAAACATTAGCCAGGCATGGTGGCATGCACCTGTAGTCTCAGCTACTTAGGAGGTTGAGACAGGAGGATCGCTTGAACCCAGGAATTGGAGGCTGCGATGAGCTAGGATTGCGCCACTGCAGTCCAGCTTGGGGAACAGAGTAAGATCCTCTCCAAAGAAAAAAATAAAGGAATGGTCCTAGAGTTCTGCTGCCTTTGAGAACATCCACACTAGTCACAGAGGAAGCTGACAGAAGGGTGTGTGGTGGGTGTCTTACTTCTTTTATTTATTTGTTTGTTTGCTTGTTTATTTATTTTGGGACAGAGTCTCACTCTGTCACCCAAGCTGGAGTGCAGTGATGCGATCTCGGCTTACTGCAACCTCCGCCTCCCGGGTTCAAGCGATTCTCCTGCCTCAGCCTCCTGAGTAGCTGGGATTACAGGCAACCACCAGCATGCCGGGCTAATTTTTGCATTTTTAGTAGAGACGGGGATTCACCATGTTGGCCAGGCTGGTTTCGAACTCCTGACCTCAGGTGATCTGCCCACCTCGGCCTCCCAAAAGTGCTGGGATTACAAGTGTGAGCCACCACACCTGGCCATGGATACCTTACTTCTTTCCAAGGCCCAAATCAAAAACCTGTCATGTGGATACTCCTTGAAATCCTGCCCTGTGACCACATGACTGAGGGCCTGCTGCCCCCCTCATCACCCTGGTGGGGTGACATAAAATCCATGCTGGTGCCTGCCTCATTCTGTATCAGGTGACCCTATGGGGTGGCCATGAGGTCACATCCTCTGTTCCTATACCTGCCCAGTGGAGGGACGGATGGTGGACGTCTTCCTTTGGAGCTGGGGCTGGCAGTGGTGCAAGTGGTCCCTCCCAGGTGCAGGTAATGAGGGAATGCCTTGTCTGTAGCCAATTTAATAACAATAATAAAATTACTCAAAGCCGTCTGCTTTTTATTATCACCTTGTCCTGGCAATTCCGAATGACGCTGGTGAAAAGAAAAACTCCTTCTCTTGCAAATGCCCCTGTGAAGAGGCTGAAGGGCAGTGGGTCGTTGGTTCTCTGGCATGCGATCAGTTTCTGAATCACCTGGCCCTGCAGAGAGGGAGACGGAAATGAACTTGGAGAGGGTCGGGGCACAAAGTGGCTGAAATGTCAATCCAGGAGGGAAGACGCCTCTCCCCCTAGAACCCTCTAAGAGTTTCCCACTGTGATGTAAGAGGAGGCAGGGACCATGTCCCTGTAGGACCTGTAGGTGATGTCGCCTGTGAGTGATGGTAAGGAGCTTAGGTTTTATTATAATCACAATGGGAAGCTCTTGGTGGGTTATAGGTAGAGGAGGACTGGGATCAATTTATGCTTGGGAAAAATGGGAGAGTTCGAGAAGCTGAAAACAGGAATGGGCTTAAGTGCAACTCCAGGACAATGCTTTTTCATTCAGCTTACACCAACCTTGAATTTTCCACTCTTTTCTTTTCCCTCCCTCCCTCCCTCCCTCCCTCCCTTCCTTCCTTCCTTCCTTTCTCTCTTTCTCTCTCTGTCTCTCTTTCTTTCCCTCTTTTCTTTCTTTTCTTTCAGAGACAGGGTCTCACTCTGTTGGCCAGCCTGGAGTGCAGTGGTGCAGTCATAGCTCACTGCAGCCTGGAACTCCTGGGCTCAGGTGATCCTCCTGCCTCAGTCTCCCAAGTAGCTAGGATGACAGGTGCACGCCAGCATGAGTGGCTAATTTTTAAATTTTTTGTAGAGATGGAGTCTCACTATGTTGCCCAGGCTGGTATCAAACTCCTGGCCTCAAGTGATCATCTCAGCCTCCCAAAGTGCTGGGATTATAGGCGTGAGCCATCATGCCCGGCCTACGTGGGCTTTTTGCATATCCACTGGGTGCTGGGCTCCATGGCAGCTACAGGGGGTGTCATCATGCACGGCCTGGAGGGAGGGACAGACATTAATTCAGCAATCACAGCAACGTGGACACACTGGCCAGCACCAGGGAAGAGACAGGAGAGAGTCCAGGGTCAACAGGGCTCAGTGGCCTTGGCAGGGATGGCCATTCCTTGAAAGATGGGTTTCTGTAGGAATAAGTGACCTAATTAGCTGGATGCAAAGATAACAGGCTGAAGACGTTACCCAGAGGCTCACAGGTAAGAGGGGACAGGAGGACTATAAAGAGCTAAAATAGGCCAGGCATGGTGGCTCATGCCTGTAATCCCAGCACTTTGAGAGGCCAAGGCGGGTGGATCACGAGGTCAGGAGTTTGAGACCAGCCTGGCCAATGTGGTGAAACTCCGTCTCTACTAAAAATACAAAAATTAGCCGGGCATGGTGGCGTGCACCTGTAATCCTAGCTACTCAGGAGGCTGAGGCAGGAGAATCACTTGAACCCGGGAGGCGGAGGTTGCAGTGAGCTGAGATCACACCACGGCACTCCAGCCTGGGCAACAGAGCAAGACTCCATCTCAAACAAACAAAAAACCAAAGAGCTAAAATAAGACCCATGTATCTGGAGTGAAGGGGCCATGGGGAGGATGAGCTGTGGGGGCTCCCAGTAGGGGTAGGACTCCCAGGGGTCAAACCAAGTTGGGCCCAAGAGCTCAGTATTTATCCCCAGAAGGCACTGAAGGGTTTTAAGCTGAAAGACTTGGCCCTGATTGAAGTTTTGTGTTTTACAACATAACGTAAATGCCGAGGCCAAAGCCAGGCTGGGTGCGGCGGCTCACACCTATAATCCCAAGGCTTTGGGAGGCCAAGGTGGGAGAATCGCTGGAGGCCAGGAGTTCGAGACCAGCCTGGACAACATAGACCCCCTACATTTACAAAACATTTAAAACATTAGCTGGGCATGGTGGCACATGCCTGTCATCCCAGGTACCCTGGAGGCTGAGGTGGGAGGATCACTTGAGCCAGGAGTTGAAAGCTGCATTGAGCCATGATGGCGCCACTGCACCCCAGCCTGGGTAACACAGTGAGAGAGACGCTGTCTCTAAAATAAACAAAACAAATCCCAAAGCCAGAGCACTGGGAGTCACAGAGCTGACTGGGGGTGAGGTGGGGGGTGTCAGACTCTCAGGCTCCAAGTGGAAGAGCTGAGAGGGCTGAGAGGCCTGTGGGAAGGTGTGGCCCAGGGCTGTGTTTGGTTAGTCCAGCAGGATCCTTGGGCACCACCCCCAGTGTGCACCAGGGTGTGGCCCAGCCCTCCGGCATGAAGGCGCCACGCACTGTGAGCTATTCCTTCTACATGCACGGCGACCGCAGCCTTTGGTCTTGATAAGTAGATTATGTTGATTCACGGCCTTGGACTTCAAATTACAAAACCACGGTCTGGCTTGGGATAGTTCACCAGAGAGCGGAGAGATAGCTGGTCACAAGGCAGCCATGCGTCATCCCTGCCTCGATCTCAGGGAACTCTGTCCAGTGGGCTCTGCGTTTGCCTAGCATGAGAGAGGGCCATTTTTCTGCTTGGCCCCAGCCGCATTTAAGAAGCAGCTGAGAGCAGTGGCTAACGTCTGTAATCCCAGCACTTTGGGAGGCCAAGGCAGGCAGATCACTTGAGGTCAGGAGTTGAAGACCAGCATGACCAACATGGTAAAACCCCATCTCTATAAAAATACAAAAATTAGCCGGGCATGATGGCAGGTGCCTGTAATCCCAACTACTCAGGAAGCTGAGGCAGGAGAATCACTTGAACCCGGGAGGTGGAGATTGCAGTGAGATGAGATTGCGCCACTGCACTCCAGCCTGGGTGACAGAGGGAGACCCCGTGTCAAAGGAAAAAAAAAAAAGAAGCAACTGTAAGCAGGAACTCAGGCAGGCTGGGTGGGGACGGCAAGGCCTCCTATTGCCAAGGAGCTTGAGGAAGATTGTCGCTGGGGTTTTTTGTTTTCTCCTGTTTAAGTAATAGCTTTATTGAGATATAATTCACATACCATGCAATTCATCCATTAAAAATATACAATTCAATGGCTTCTAATGTATCCATTAGTGCAATTTCTACAATCAATTTTATTTTTATTATAATTTTAATTTTTTTTTTAATTTTTTTTTTGAGACAGGGTCTCGCTCTGTCACCCAGGCTGGAGTGCACTGGTGGCATCTCGGCTCACTGCAACCTCCTCCTCCCGAGTTCAAGCGATTCTCCTGCCTCAGCCTCCCGAGTAGCTGGGATTACAGGCACCTGCCATCACGCCCGGCTAATTTTTGTATTTTTAGTAGAGATAGGGTTTCGCTATGTTGCCCAGGCTTGTCTTGAACTCCTGACCTCAAGCGATCTGCCCACCTCAGCCTCCCAAAGTGCTGGGATTACAGGAGACAGAAGCTTCTTTCTCTGAGTTCCAGGATCCAGTGCAGGTGAGGAGCCCCACACGCCTGAACAGTAATTACAGCACAATGCAATCAACGTGTAATTAACTGTGTTACACGGCATGTTGCCCACTCTCACTGCTTTGCAAGTCCCGGGAGCGGGGAGATTGAGGGAACAGAGAAACCTACTGACTAATGCTAATCCCACCCAGGGTGCAGAGCCTGGAGCCTACAATTATCTTACCTCCAGCTGCTCCCTGAATCCTGTGGCAGGATGGTGGAGTATAGGGTCTACACCGTAGCTCTGAGCACGTGGGCTTTAAAGCCTCCTCCTAAATGCAGAATTCTGGACAGATGCGCGATTATGATGCTTGTCAGAGCGACAGGACTTACAATGGGATTTTTGGTGGGTCACAAGTGTTTCACATAAAAGGCCTTTCGAATCCCAGTGCTTTGGGAGGCAGAGGCAGAAGGATCGTTTGAAGCCAGGAGTTCGAGACCAGCCTGGGCAACATAGTGAAACCCCATCTCCACAACAACAACAACAAAATAGCTGGCCAGACCCTGTCTCAAAAAATAAAAAATAAAAAAGCCTTTCATAGGTGTGGCCCAAGGACCCACAAATTGCTCACTTTCAGTTTGAAACCATCACGTCCGCTGACACGTGTAGGATAGAAATCCAGCTAATGCTCCCCCTTGTTTCTGCCTCAGTGTCAGAGGCACCCAGGGCCTCTGAGCTGCGACTACAGTCCCATCCCCTAACTTGCTTTTTCCCTTTCCTCCTCCCAGGGCCAGAGGCTGATTGAACTTGCACCTCAGCCCCTGTCATTCACCTTCCATGAGTTTCCAGTCTGATGGAGGAGGCAGACACTAAACCGGATTATTTTTTTTAATTTAATTTAATTTTTATTTTTTAGAGACAGGGCCTCATTGTGTCACCCAGGCTGGAGTGCAGTGGTGCAATCATAGCTCACTGCAGCCTCTAACTCCTGGTCTCAAGCAATCCTCCCACCTCAGCCTCCCGAGTAGCTGGGACCACTCGCTCGTGCCACCATGGCTGGCTAATTTTTTTTTTTTTTTAGAGGTGGGATCTTGCTATGCTGCCCAGGCTGGTCTCAAACTCCTGGTCTCAAGTGATCCTCCTGCCCTAGTCTCCCAAAGTGCTGGAATTACAGGCGTAAGCCACCATGCCTGGTCTGAACCCAATGATTACGGTGCAGTGTGAGTGCTACATCTTGGAGAGGTATTGCTGGCTGACCGTCCCAGCTGCCTTTTCTGCTCATGAAACCCCTCCAAGACTGGCTTTCCTGTGACCTCTCTGGCAAAGCTTTCTCTGGCTCCTCCAAGGAGAGGCTACTGCCCTCATTAGTCCCTGCCAGGGCTGGTTTGCCTTCTCTCATCCTGTTATCACCCCACCGGCTCTGCTCTGGTCCACGTAGGGCTCACTTCTCCTGGACTCTCTGAGGTCTGGGTCTCTGTCCATTCAGTTCAGGTCCTTGCAACATAAGAAGTGCCAGGAACTGTGCTGAGAAGATGACTCTGATCCCAGTGTCATGGGATTAAAAAAAAATCCATTATTTTAAGAACCAGTACCAAATTCTGCTTAGACGCAAATCCTCCTTGTTTAGGAAAATGGATCAGATGCTTTGGGATTGAAGACAGGACCATGGGGGCTGGACTGTTCTGCTTGGATGGTAGGCAGGATTTCAGGGGCGGGAGGAGGAAGGAGAAGGCGGAGGCCAGAGCAGAGATGACACAGAAACATCTAGGGAGAAGGATTTTTTTTTTTTTTTTTGAGGCAGAGTCTCGCTCTGTCGCCCAGGCTGGAGTGCAGTGGCGCAATCTCGGCTCACTGCAAGCTCCGCCTCCCGGGTTCACGCCATTCTCCTGCCTCAGCCTCCCGAGCAGCTGGGACTACAGGCGCTCGCCACCACGCCTGGCTAATTGTTTTTGTATTTTTAGTAGAGATGGGATTTCACCGTGTTAGCCAGGATGGTCTCGATCTCCTGACCTCGTGATCCGTCTGCCTCGGCCTCCCAAAGTGCTGGGATTACAGGCGTGAGCCATTGCACCCGGCCAGGGAGAAGGATTTTAATAGGTCCTGATAATTGCAAAGCAAATCCCTGTGCCTCTCCAAGCGACAGTAAACCTACCCACACAGATGCCTGTCGTGAGTGGTTTTGGGCATGGAAACTAAGGTAAAGGATTTTGACATCTGGTGGCTGTGCTGGAGGCTGAAGGCATCTCATGCAAGAAGCTGAGGCTGTCCCTGAACTGAAATTCAGTGGAAGCTGGGCTCTGGGTCCCGGGCAATTGTGACATATGACTAACGCTGTGTCCACAACAAGATGTCACAGACATCTTGGGAAGGGAGTCCAGAGTCTTCCACCATCCACGGTTTGGTGTGGGCTATGAGTCATTCTGGGCCAGCCCTGTAGGGCCAGGATAACCCCACTGATGCCAGCTTGCAGGACCAGGTGCGAGTCTTGGGCAGCTGTGGCCTGGAGGAGCAGAGACCCTATGCGATTGTCCTCTTCTGCTGACGATGGCAGCCAAGCTGGTGGGTTGGAGCTGCCAGATTCCCTCGGAGGGGCCCCTTGGGAACTTCCTTCTGCCTGCCCATGTTAGGGAAAGAAGAGAGACTCCAAAGCCGCTCAATCACTGCCTCATTCCTTGACGTGTGCTGGACAGGTGTCCCTGGCAAATAAATGGAGAGGTGCAAGTCTCCTAGATACAGACCATTAGTGGTTGGGAGCCAGGCGCGGTGGCTTATGCCTGCAATCCCAGCACTTTGGGAGGCTGAGGTGGGTGGATTGCTTGAACCCAGGAGTTTGAGACCAGCCTGGCTAACAAGGCAATACTCTACCTCTACAAAAAATATAAAAATTAGCCGGGCGTGGTGGCGCACACCTGTAGTCCCAGCTACTCGGAAGGCTGAGGTAGGAGGATCACCTGAGCCTAGGGAGGCTGAGGCTGCAGTGAGCTATGATAGTAACACTGCCCTCCAGCCTGGGCGACAGAGCGAGAACTTGCGTCTAAAAATCCACATCAATAGTGGGATAAGTGGAGCGTTAAAGCAAGTCCGCAGCTCCAGATTCCTGGGAAATACTTTTCCGCGGGGCTCATGAATAAACCCACAGTGGCGGGAGCAGCAGGCATTGGCCAGCCCTTCTCATGCCTTTTGCATAGGTGATCAATGGCCTGGGGGCTTCAGGTAGGAGTGTGTGCTGCCCACCAAGCCACGGGGCCACTCTGCAACTGCTCTTCTCCTTCCTGGCTCTCACCATGCCAAGACCTCAGGCTTCTCCCACAAGGGAGCACATCCATTCTGTCACTCATGTAGTCACTCAGCAAACACACTGAGCATCTACCGCGTCATGACTGTGCTTGGCACTGGGCGTTCAGAGTGGTCCGGATATGACCCTTGCTCTCTGGGAGCTGCCATTCAATAGGGAGATGGACGGACACGACCTGAAATGGACAGTTTCAATCTAGTGTGGACGTGTGTTGGCTGATGGGGCCCCAGTGCCTCTGGATGTTCCTGGGAGGCAACTGACTCAGAAAGCGTAGGGCTAGAAGCTTCCTGAAAGAGAAGATGAGATGTCAAGTCTTTTTTTTTTTGGTGGGGGACAGGGTCTCACTTTATTGTCCAGGCTGGAGTGCAGTGGCACAACCATGGCTCACTGCAGCCTCAACCTCCTGGGCTCAAATGACCCTCCTGCCTCAGCCTCCCAAGTAGCTGGGACCACCATGTCTGGCTATTTTTATTTATATTTTGTAGAGATGGGGTCTGACTATGTTGCCCAGGCTGGTCTCAAAGTCCTGAGCTCAAGTGATCCTCCTGTGGGGCACAGCTCTGGAGTCCCCTCCTCGGAGCCACCTGGATGTGCAGGACCATTGGGCCCTGAAAGCCACTCTTGCCCAGACCTCTGTCCTGGGCTGGGTTTGGTGTTGGGGCATCTCACAGGCCAGGGAGGATCTGGCCTGGTGGGCCTCCATTCCCTTCCATCCCCAGCGTGTGGCCCATCACAGGGCCGTCTTGGAGGAGGCAGGGCAGGCCTCTTGCTCATGCACAAATGCCTCTGACTCTTGTCAGCTGGGTTGAGCCAGGGCTTCCCAGAGCATTTTCATTGTCCTGAGGTGAGCACATCAGGGTCTGTAATTCCAGACACAGAAACCCACTCTGGCTGGGTTAGGCAGATAAGGAATTTATTCAAAGCTCCTATGTAACTCAGTATCTCCCCGAAAGCCAGAGTCCCAGGCTCTGAGGCTGTACAATCAGAAGCGAGGCCCCAAATCCCACCACATGCCAGGCTGGCCTTCCACTGGGCTCTGACGTGGGTCATGGTGCTGCCTTCAGAAACTGGATGTGGGAGCTGACCCTTTGCTAGCCAGAATGGATTCCACATGGCCTCTACTTCCTGGGTCATTGCTTCTCATTCTGAGTCTGATGGGTGCATGGATTGGTGGAGCCCAGGTCACATGATTAAACCTTAGCTGCAAGAGAGTCTGAAAAGGTGGATGTAATTCACAAGGTGGGGAATTCCCCAGACAGAGGAGGGGCATTTGGAGGTGTTCAGGGAGGCAAAAGGAATATGTCTGACCCCCAGCCAGGAGCTCTTCATCTGGAGGGAAGAGTAGGAAGTAGATCTATTATATAATTCTTTTTTTTTCCCTCAAGACAGAGTCTTGCTCTGTCCCCCAGGCTGGAGTACAGTGGTGCGATCTCGGTTTACTGCAAACTCCGCCTCTCAGGTTCAAGCAATTCTCCTGCCTCAGCCTCCCGAGTAGCTGAGATTACAGGAAACTGCCACCACACCCAGTTAATTTTTGTATTTTTAGTAGAGACAGGTTTTGCCTTTTTGGCCAGGCTGGTCTCAAACGCCTGACCTTGTGATTTGCCTACCTCGGCTTCCCAAAGTGCTGGGATTACAGGCGTGAACCACTGTGCCTGGCCAAGCCTTTCTCTCTCTCTTTTTTTTTTTTTGAGACCGTTTCTTGCTCCATCTCCTGGACTGGAGTGCAGTGGTGTGATCATAGCTCAGTGCAGCCTCTAACTACTGGGCTTAAGTGATCCTCCCACCTCAGCCTCCCAAGTAGCTGAGACTACAGGAGTGCACCACCACCATGCTGCACTCACTTTTTTTAATTTTTAGTAGAGATGGGATCTTCCTATGTTGCCCAGGCTGGTCTCACACTCCTGGCCTCAGGCAGTCCTCCCACCTTGGCCTCCCAATCTGCTGGGATTACAGGAATGAGCCACGGCTCCTGGCCTGGCCTCTTGATTTTTTTTTTGGAGGGATACTGTTACTTGTTTCCTCCTGCCCCTTGGGACATCGGGGCTCCCATCTAGGAAACTGAAGTTTCCTTCCAGGCAGGCCTCCATACTGTAAACTGGACTATTACCACTCACACTTGGTTTGCTGCCTCCTGTGACTGGAGTTAATGTTTGCCACACCTTTTTTGAGGCATGACAGTGACCCTGGACTCCTACTGGCTCCCGTCTCTATGAGACGTGTGTCTCTACTTCCATCACAGGGTGGCATCAGGGGAAGAAGCATGAGATCTGGGGTCAGACCCCCGGGTCCCGGGAAGGGAACTCTGCCCCTTGTCCCCAAGTTTTATAATTTTGCAGATGCTTCGTCATCTCCAGGACCCTCAATTGCTCATCTGTGCAATGGGGATAATAACCCTCCTTACCAGGCAGAGCTGTGGGAAGAGGAGGGTATGGTCCAAGAGCCCAGGGCACATGGTTGGGGCAGGCAGAGTGTGCCGTGCCCAAGTCAGCAGCTCGTGGGGACCCCATTCTCCTGCCTCTGGGCAGGGTTGCCCTGACCTGGTGTTGGACATGGTTTGTGCATTGGTCCTTTTCTCAGAGCCTTCGTGGGGGTGATGGCACTGTGTCCCTGGTCTCTGTCCCCTTCCACCTGCCAGAGCCCTGCGGTCCCCTCCCCAAGAGGGTGGAGATGGCTCCACGGCTCCTCCTAGCTCCCCAAGAGAGCAGCCGCCATCCCGCCTGTGAGCCGGAGGAGTGGAGGGAAATCGTGGAACCAAAATAGCTCTTTCCATAAACAAAGCTGCTTTTCGTTGGGGAAATGTAAACTGGCAGATGCGTGAGGAGACGGTACCATCCAGCGCAGCCGAGGGGGAGGCCACGGCGGGAGGCCCTTGGCCTGACCCACGGCATCCGGGCTGCCCCGCGCCAAGTGGGAGGCCGGGCCGGGAGGCTGCTCCAGAGCGAGGGGTCAGAGCCAGTCTGGATGCCCTCCTGGGCCCCATTCTCAGAAGCTAGGGGCCTCTCAGCATGCTGTATGCAGCCCTGCCTGGGTTCAGAGCTGGGGGGGTAGGAGTAGGGACTGTGGGCATCTCGTTCCTGGCACGTGGCCTGCCATGGGGCATGCAGGAGGGAATGTCATCCTTCCTGTCACCCCTGTCCCAGCCCTCAAACTCCTCACTCTTGGGTTTCCAGTGCATTCTCCTTGCTCTGTATTTGTATTTCTGTTTTTTCTCCTTGAGACGAAGGGAGTCTCACTCTGTTGCCCAGGCTGGAGTGCAGTGGCGTGATCTTCGGCTCACTGCAACCTCCACCGGCTAGGTTCAAGGAATTCTCCTGCCTCAGCCTCCCGAGTAGCTGGGATTACAGACGCCCGCCACCATGCCCAGCTAATTTTGTATTTTCAGTAGAGATGGGGTTTCACCATGCTGGCCAGGCTGTTCTTGAACTCCTGACCTCAGGTGATCCACCTGCCTTGGCCTCCCAAAGTGCTGGGATTACAGGTGTGAGCCACCGTGCCTGGCACAAACCGGTTTTTTAAATTTTATTTTTATTTTTTTGTAGAGATGGGATCTCACTATGTTGCCCAGGCTGGAGTGCAGTAGTGTGATCATAGCTCACTGCAGCCTCCAACTCTTGGGCTCAAGCAATCCTCCCACCTCAGCCTCCTGAGTAGCTGGGACTATAGCCATGCACCACCATGTCCAGCTAATTTTTTAATTTTCTGTAGAGACTGAATTGCCCAGGCTGGTCTTGGCCTCAAGCAGTCCTTCTGCCTCTGCTCCCCAAAGCACTGGGATCACAGGCATGAGCCCCTGCGCTCGGCCCACAGTCCACAGACCTGTTTTTAGCAAGTAGTTCGTGGTCCAGCCTTCCAGCTGGGGACGGTCTGTCAAGGAACCACAGAAGGTTCTAGAACAGGATGGGGACATTGCCTGTCACACTGAGAACATCATACGTCACTCTCGTGGCACCTGCACTGGGCTGTGTCTGAGAGAGATGCCATTGTACCCCAGTTAAAGATGAGAAGGCCAGGCACGGTGGCTCACGCCTGTAATCCCAGCACTTTGGGAGGCTGAGGCAGGTGGATCACCTGAGGTCAGGAGTTCAAGACCAGTCTGGCCAACATGGTGAAACCCCGTCTCTACCAAAAATACAAAAATTAGCCAGGCGTGGTGGCACGCACCTGTAATCCCAGCTACTCGGGAGGCTGAGGCAGCAGAATCACTTGAACTCAGGAGGCGGAGGTTGCAGTGAGCTGAGATTGTACCATTGCATTCCAGCCTGGGTGACAGAGCGAGATTGTCTCAAAAAAAAAAAAAAAAAAAAAGAGAAGACAAGGCCTGGGGAAGCGAGGTTGTCCACTTCAGAGGCAGGACTAAAACCCCAACCTGGTGGCTGGCTGTGCTTGGGGGGCCTTTCTCCACCACGCCACAATGTCATCTCTTGACTAGAAACTGTAGGCCACTGCCTCTTTCTGCAGGGCAGGAATTGGAAGCCTGGAATTGATAGATAACTTCCTCCTGATGGCAGAATATGTTAGGGTCAGGGCTGGGGCTGCCACAGCATCCGTCTCCCGACTCCCATCCCAGGGCCCCTTTCTATTTCATGGTTGCTTCACCATGGGCCCCTATACCCAGGCAACGTTGGTCTTTGGCATGGGAGGGGAGGCAGGTGGCAGACAGGAAGCCACACTGGAGTGTTGGTGAGGGGCAGGGGCTGGATCCCTCCCACCTCACGCAGGGGAGCTCCAATGAGGTTTCCTGCCCAGAAAGTAAAGGAGGGCCGGTCCTGACACTTGAGGTGCCCCAGGCAGGAGAGAGATCACAGGGATGGCTGCCTTGGGCTCTGCACCTGTGAGCAGCAAGTCTTCTCATCTGTAAAATGGGATGATCACAGTGCCTGCCACACAGGACAGGAGAGAGCATCAGGTGAGCCCCAGCTGCGAGTCAGAGGAAACCATTCCGTCCCCAACCTTGTCTGTCTGAAGATGGCAGGGCTGGCAGCTTCTCCTCTGTTTGGAGGTGGTGATGTGATCATATAAAGGCAGGGGCTTGGGCCGGGCGCGGTGGTTCACACCTGTAATCCCAGCACTTTGGGAGGCTGAGGCAGGACAATCACTTGATTCCAGAAGTTCAAGACCAATGTGGGCAACATAGTGTCTCTACAAATAATGAAAGAAAAAAATGGCCGGGCGCGTTGGTTCACGCCTGTAATCCCAGCACTTTGGAAGGCCGAGGTGGGTAGATCACCTGACCTGAGGTCAGGAGTTCGAGATCAGCCTGGCCAACATGGTGAAACCCCATCTCTACTAAAAAATACAAAAAAATTAGCCGGGTGTGGTGGCGCATGCCTGTAATCCCAGCTACTTGGGAGGCTAAGGCAGGAGAATCACTTGAACTCGGGAGGTGAAGGTTGCAGTGAGCCAAGATTGTGCCACTGCACTCCGGCCTGGGTGACAGAGCGAGCCTCTGTCTCAAGAAAAAAAAAATTGAAAATAAATAAATAAAGCCAGTTATGGTGGCGCACGCCTGTGTGGTCCTGGCTACTTGGGAGACTGAGGTGGGAGGATCACTGGAGGCCAGGGGCTTGAGACTGCAGTGAGCTATGATTTTGCCACTGCACTCCAGCCTGGGTGACAGAGTGAGACTTTGTCTGGAAAAAAAACCCAAACAAGCCACAAAACCAAACCAAACCAAAACAAAAAACCATATTCTTGGTTGATGTGTGCCCTGGGAGAATGTCTGAGTGACTCTAAGGGTCCGATTGAAGCGGAGGATCGTTGTCCCCATGACAGAGGGACACAGAGACCATCTGGGTCCTGTGTGGCCGATTTCTAGGAAGATCCCAAAGTCCAAGCAAGCCCCTCCCCATCTGTCCTCCCTCTCACCTCTGTAGACTGGTTCTGAGAAAGGGCCCCTCCTCGTCCAGCTCCTCCCAGCTCGGGCCCCAGTCCTGGGGTGTCTACTTCCCAGCGTCCTTAGTCCCATGCCCCCTCCGCCTTCTCATCCTGGCGGTTGTCCTCACTTAGGTTATTCTCCGACTTCTTGCACCTCCCACCTCCTCCTACCCACCCCTAGAACTCTTCCCTAGCTGCTGCCAGACCGATCCTGAGAAGGGGCTCAAAGTCCCTTGGTATATGTGTAACTGCAGGGATCAAAGACCTTCTGTGGCTCCCCAGTGCCCCAAGGGATCTGCACTCGTGGGCTGCCCTGCCCAGGCCTGCCCGGTCCGTGTCTTAATGGCCTGCATTCTGGTTTCCAGGCACACAGTCCTGCTGGCGTACCCGATGCGTTCTCCGCGTTCTCCATGTTCTTCCTTCTCCCTGGGTGTTCTTCCCGGCACCTCCCCGCCTGTCCCATCCAGGGCTGGGGATCCTGTGCTCTCTTTCCTCATGAACTCCCATCCTCATGAACTCCCACCAGACCCCTAGTTGGAACCACCTCTCCGGAACACTCTGGGGATAAGCGTGTTGGGGTGGAACGGGGAGGGTGGATGGGCACCGAGCTGGTTCTCAGCTGGGGCTCTGGTTTTCTTTGAGGGAGTCTGATCACTCATCCCTCAGGCCTCCCCAGGGCCCTCCTATGAATCCCCATACCAAGAGGCCTCTGTAGCTGAGCCATTGCCCCTCTTCCCGGGCAGTGGGGCTGTCTGAGGCCCTAGAGTCTCTGCTCTGCCCAGTTTAGTTCATTTCCGGTGTTGCCGGCATGGGGCAGGGCCTCTTACTTGCCCCGGGAGAGCCAGTGGTGGGGAACTCTGCACAGCCCTCACAAGTGTGGTCGGCGACCTCCCTCCCGGGGACCTCGCCTCCTGGTTTCGGGAGGCGCTACCCCGCCCTCCACCCTGTGTAGCCTTTTAGAGAGGCGATTGAGTTCAGACAAAGTCTTGGATCAGGGCTGAACCGAATCAAACATCCTGGAGCACCCCTACTCCCCGACCTGCCCCCCATCTCTCTGGGTGTTGAAGCTGCCCCTCCGGTGATCAACACGCTTGCCCACCCCCGGGGAAATGTGAATGTGGTCTGGGCCATGATTCACCACCGTTGCTTCCATGAGGTCATCTGCGGCCTCTTTCCCCCACGGGGCTGGCGCAGGGGGCTGGACCGGCTGGTCCCCCTCTCTCCCTCCCTCTGCCGGGCAGGAGGGAAGGCAGGAAGACAGGCTATCTGTGCCACCATCTAATTACCCCGGGAGGTAATTGCTCGGGATTTTCTCTGACATCTTGAGATTTCTCTCTGAGCCTTCCACAGTGGAGACAAATAACCCTTAAGGAGGCTACGGGCCCCAAGACAGGGCCTATTGCTAAACCCTGACAACTCCCCATCAGCCCCGCCGCGACGTGCCCGAGCTTTGAGACAGCGTGAGTTTATGACAGGTCCCATTAAGTCTCTTGCACAAGCACTGAGTGTTGAAATACCCAACAGATGATGACAGTGTTGAAATAACCTGTCGTCTCAGCACTTTCCCCACCATTAGCCAGATGTTCCAGCCCTCAAAAGCGTTCGCAGCCTTTTGCAGGGAGGGAGGGGGCTCGGATTAAGGCAGCCCAGGTCCCAGTGGGAGTATGGTTCGGGGGGTCTGGGGCTGAGGGCAGCTGGGGTTCCCAAGAGAACAGGGTGAGGGGTGGTCTAGGATTGGAAGGATGTGAGAACAGGCAGAAGGGGGCATGGGTGCAGCTGTCCCTTCATCCCAGAGTCCACAATCACTGTGGAAGGGGTGCAAGGGCAGAGACGGCTCTGTGCCCTCTAGATGTGGGACTGTTTTTGGAGGGAATCTTGTGTGGCTCAGAGAGGTGATTTCTCAAGACCCAACCAGGAAAGGATGAGACCTTGTCTTTTTTTTTTTTTTTTTTTTTTTTGAGACAGAGTCTTGCTCTGTTACCCAGGCTGGAGTGCAGTGGCGCCATCTCAGCTCACTGCAACTTCTGCTTCCTGGATTCAAGCAACTCTCCTGCCTCAGCCTCCTGAGTAGCTGAGATTACAGGCGTGTGCCACCACGCCCGGTTAATTTTTTGTATTTTTAGTAGAGACAGGGCTTCCTCATGGTAGCCAGGTGGGTCTCAAACTCCTGACCTCAGGTGATCTGCCCACCTCAGCCTCCCAAAGTGCTGGGATTACAAGCATGAGCCACTGCGCCCAGCCGGCCTTGTCTTTTAAAAATTATTATTAGGCTGGCATGGTGGCTCACACCTGTAATCCCAGCACTCTGGGAGGCTGAGGCGGGCAGATCACCTGAGGTCAGGAGTTCGAGACCAGCCTGGCCAACATGGTGAAGCCCCGTCTCTACTAAAAATACAAAAGTTAGCCAGGCATGGTGGCGCATGCCTGTGATCCCAGCTACTCGGGAGGCTGAGGCAGAAGAATCACTTGAACCTGGGAGGCAGAGGTTGCAGTGAGCTAAAATCATGCCACTACACTCTTGCCCGGGCAACAGAGTGAGAATCCATCTCAAAAAAAAAATTATTATTATGCATATTTTATTTACATATAGATGAGGTCTTGCTATGTTGCCCAGGTTGGAGTGCAGTCATGCGATCTTGCCTCACCGCAGCCTATGCCTCCTGGGTTCAAGAGATTCTCCTGCTTCAGGCTCCCGAGTAGCTGGGACTACAGGTGTGCACCACCACACCTAGCTAATTTTTGTATTTTTAGTAGAGATGGGGTTTCACATGTTGGCCAGGCTGGTCTCGAACCCCTGACCTCAGGTGATCTGCCCACCTCAGCCTCCCAGAGTGTTGGGATTACAGCTGTGAGCCACTGTGCCAGGCCAACAGCCTCCTTCTCTTATTCAT
Organism: Homo sapiens; assembly: GCF_000001405.40. Taxonomy (NCBI): domain Eukaryota; kingdom Metazoa; phylum Chordata; class Mammalia; order Primates; family Hominidae; genus Homo; species Homo sapiens. The sequence continues at coordinate 101,716,459 of NC_000007.14, read as the reverse complement.
CTTTGTGATCCGAGACAGAGGTCCCTGCCAGGGATGCTGAGAAAGCCCAGCATGTGAGTGGGTGGAAGGGAGGGGACAAGAGAAGATGTGTGGATCAGGGGAAGCCATGGTGGCATGCATTTGGGGTCCACTGAGTCGCCCATGTTGCCCTCATTTCTTCCAGGCTGTCTTGACTGGGGACTCCAAGTGCATGTTCGTTTTTTTTTTTGTTTTTTTTTTTTTTTGAGATGGAGTTTGGCTCTGTCGCCCAGGCTGGAATGCAAGCGGCACGATCTCGGCTCACTGCAAGCTCCGCCTCCCGGGTTCGTGCCATTCTCCTGCCTCAGCCTCCCGAGTAGCTGGGACTACAGGCGCCCGCCACCAGGCCCAGCTAATTTTTTGTATTTTTAGTAGAGCCGGGGTTTCACCATGTTAGCCAGGATGGTCTCGATCTCCTGACCTTGTGATCCACCCGCCTCGGCCTCCCAAAGTGCTGGGATTACAGGCGTGAGCCACCGCGCCCGGCTCCAAGTGCATGTTCAAAGTTGGGTCAGGAAGACCCCGCTTCCTCCTGGGGCACATGGCAGGGCATTGGAAGTGGCCTTTGGGAGACCACACTTTACTTGGGGAGTAGCTAATGATGTAGTCAGCAGGCCAGGGTCCGGGGCCTTCAGATCACTCACTGGAGAGGTTTCAGGAGCCAGGATCCCTGCCTTGGTTTACATCCCAGCTTCATTCTTTTTTTGAGACGGAGTCTTGCTGTGTCGCCAGGCTGTAGTGCAGTGGCATAATCTCGGCCCACTGCAACCTCCACCTCCTGGGTTCAAGCGATTCTTGTGCCTCAGCCTCCCAAGTAGCTGGGATTACAGGCAAGCACCACCACACCCAGCTATTTTTTGTTTTGTATTTTTAGTAATTTTGTATTTTTTTTGTATTTTAGTTTTTTTTTTTTTTTTTTTTTGTATTTTCACCATGTTGGCCAGGATGGTCTTGATCTCCTAACCTTGTGATCCGCCTGCCTCGGCATCCCAAAGTGCTGGGATTACAGGCATGAGCCACTGTGCCTGGCCAGCTCCATTCTTTCATGGGTGACCTCGGGCAATGCCTTCACCTCCTGGTGCCTCAGTTTCCCCATCTGTAAAAGGGAAACCAATAGTTCCAGCTGTGTTTGCTTTATACCTACTGCTTTGTTGCTCACACATGCAAAGGGACTTTCTAATAGCAATGTTGTTAAATAACACTAGGTTTTTTAATGAACATTATAAGGGTTGGTCATTGGAGGTGTTCAAGCCAGGAGGGGACAATTGTCCACTGTTGACAGGACTCCAGCATTAGGTGGGGCTGGGCTGAAAGTTGAGTTCCTCCATCTGTTGCTGATTTGAGGAGTTAAGTGGAGGAGTTTGCAGCTAATAACTGAGCCCCAAGGAGCTCCAGCTGTGAAGAGGATGTAAAATAGAAAAGGGGCTAAGTTTTTTTTTTTTTTTTTTGAGACGGAGTCTCATTCTGTCTCCTAGGCTGGAGTGCAGTGGCGTGATCTTGGCTCACTGCAGCCTCCGCCCCCCAGGTTCAAACGATTCTCCTACCTCAGCCTCCTGAGTAGCTGAGATTACAGGCGCCTGCCAACACACCTAGCTAATTTTTGTATTTGTAGTAGAAACGGGGTTTCACCATATTGGCCAGGCTGGTCTCAAACTCTTGACCTCAAGTGATCCGCCCGCCTCAGCCTCCCAAGGTGCTGGGATTACAGGCGTGAGCCACCACACCTGGCCAAAGATTTTATTTTTAGTACCTTCCCCTTTCTTTTGCTTCTGGAACTCAGTGTCCCCATGCTGTCACTCCCTTTCAGGAAAGGACTGGCTATCAGCCATTCACACCTTAGTAAGAATTGCTTTCCTGGGAACTTGGCTTTCCTGGGCTGGGATGTCTAGGAATTCAGGGATCAGGCTGGGCAGGTAGAACTATGTCTCTGGGCTGAGGCCCAGGCACCCTGGAGATGACAGTGCTGCCATCTTCGGCTGCGTGGGCTCAGCTTGGCTCTGGAGATCAATCCTGCTCTTGTTTGCTCGGAGCACTAGGGTGGCTTTCTGCCAACACCTCCCCTCATCCTCCAGGCTCAGAGGAAGTGGTGGGTCCTGACTGGGGAACCAGCCTGGGGCAGCGAGACAGGCGGTCCTGGGTTCCACAAGCTGTGTGATGTTGGCTGAGTGTCTACTCCTCTCTGAGCTTTAGTTCTGCCATCAGTATTAGGGACTCCGGGAGCATGTGGCTTACAGGGTGACTGTAGGATGTGACATGTTCAGGCATATGGGTGACTGCAGGAGGGGAGCCTGTGGCCATGATGATGCTGGGCTGGGGGACTGGCATGCGATAGGTGTTAACAAGTAGGCACTGGCTGGATTTGAAAGGGCAGTTGCTGGCCAGGAACAGTGGCTCATGCCTGTTATCCCAGCACTGTGGGAAGCAGAGGTGGGTAGATCACTTGAGGCCAGGAGTTCAGGACCAGCCTGGCCAACATGGTGAAACCCTGTCTCTACCGAAAGTATAAAATTAGCCAGGTGTGGTGGTGGGCACCTGTAATCTCAGCTACTTGGGAGGCTTTAGCAGGAGAATCGCTTGAACCCAGGAGGTGGAGGTTGCAGTGAGCTGAGATTGCACCACTGGACTCCAGCCTGGGTGACAGAGCAAGACTCCATCTCAATAATAATAATAATTATAAATGAAAGGGCAGTTGCTCTGCTGAGGAGCTAGGTGGCCAGGGCACTGCTTACCCCAAACCTTAGCTCAACGGGGTGCCAGTTTCAATGTGTTCAACTCCTCCTCTGTCACCGCCTTTCTGGTCTGGGCCACCATCATCTCTCTCCTATACAGATCTTAGAGCCTCCTAACTCATCCCCCATGGATCAGCCTCCCTCTGGCAGCCAGAGTAACCTTTTTGCTTTCCAGAGTAATCTTTAAAAATCCTAAATCAGGCCGGGTGTAGTGGCTTGTGCCTGTAATCCCAGCACTTTGGGAGGCCGAGGTTGGGGGATCACTTGAGCCCAGGAGTTGGAGGCTAAAGTGAGCTATGATTGTACCACTGCACTCCAGCCTGGATGACAGCATGAGACCCTGTCTCTAAAAAATAATAATTAAAAAAATATATATATATGAGGCTGGGTGTGGTGGCTCACACCTGTAAATCCAGCAGTTTGGGAGGCCAAGGTGGGTGGATTACTTGAGGAAAGGAGTTCAAGACCAGCCTGGCCAACATGGTGAAACCCTGTCTCTACTAAAAGTACAAAAATTAGCCGGGTGTGATGGCGGTCACCTGTAGTCTCAGCCTATCAGGAGGCAGAGGTGAGAGAATCACTTGAACCCGGCAGGTGGAGGTTGCAGTGAGCTGATATCACGCCACTACACTCCAGCCTGGGTGACAGAGCGAGACTCTGTCTTAAAAACAAAAACAAAAACAAAAACAAAATCAGATCAAAGAACATCCCTGCCTTGCCCTTCATCCCTTCAATGATCACTGGAGTCTTTCCATTGCACAGAAAATCTAGTCTCTCCCTGGCTCTTCTTATGATTCCATCTTTCTCATCATTCCAATTTAACTGTCAGCTAAAATGTCACCTCCTCCAGGATGTCCTCCTGAACTACTCCATCTAATGGAGCTTGCACCTCCATCCCCAGTTACTCCCTATCATATCCATTTATTTCCATTAAAGTCTCCTTTTTTTTGTAAAGTCCCATGTGTGTTCATTTCACGCATTTATTGTTTATCTTGTCCCCACCCCGCTCTGGAATATGAGGACCTTGTCTTTCTTGCCCACCGTGGCATCCCTGCTATGTCTCACAGTGCCTTGCACGTAGTAGGTGCTCAGTAGTCTGTGAGTGCATGAAGATGTCAGGTGATGAACCCACACATTTATATTGGGGAATGATCATTTATTGAAGAACCAGGCCAGCCATGGTGGCACATGCCTGTAGCTTTGGGAGGCTGAGGTGAGTGGATCGCTTGAGCTCAAGAGTTCAAGACCAGTCTGGGGAACATGGCAAAACTCCATCTCTACAAAAAAAAAAAAAAAAAATTAGCCAGGTGAGACGTTGCATGCCTGTAGTCCCAGCTACTCGGGAGGCAGAGGTGGGAGGATTGCTTGAGTCCAGGAATTTGAGGCTGCAGAGAGTCTGAGATTGCACCGCTGTGTTCCAGCCTGGGCAACAGGGTTAGACCCTGTCTCAAAAAAAAAAAAAAAAAAAAAAAAAAAAGAGCCTACTCTGGGCCAAGTAATTTACATATAGCCCACCCTTCAACAGGGGCTGCCATGAACATCGACTGGGGATTTTTAATAACTAACCATGCCTGGGCCTCTCCCAAGATACTGGTTCAACTGATCCCAGGAGGGGCCAGGACACAGTATTAAAAACCTCTCTTGGGGGCCAAGCACTGTGGCTCACACCTATAATCCCAGCACTTTGGGAGGCCGAGGCAGGAGGATGGTTTGAGGCCAGGAGTTTGAGACCAGCCTGGGCAACGTAGCAAAACCCTATCTCTAAAAAAAATAAATAAATAAAAGCAAGACACACAACTCTCTTGGCCTCTTGGTGATCAAATGTGTCTCTGAGGCTAAGAACAACTGATAACTGATATAGTCCTTTTAAAAAAAAAAACTTTTTTTATTTTAAATTATTAATAATTTTAGATTTACTGAAAAGTTGTACAAATAAAGTTTCTGTATAGGTCACACCCAGCTTTCCCTAAAGTTAATGTCTTATATAAACACAGTGCAATAATCAGAAGCAGATTAACGTGGGTGCAATACCATTAAGAAAACTGCAAAGCGTGTTTATTTGAATTTCACTGGTTTTTTCATGGCTCTCTTTATTCTGTCTCAGGATCCTGCTCTCAGGATCCCACGTTGCATGTAATTGTTATTTCTCCTTCACCTCCTGCTGTTGGTGGTAGCTCCTCAGTCTTTCTTCTTTCATAACCTTGACACTTTGGAAGTCATTTTTTTTTTCTTTTTTGAGACAGGGTCTCACGGTGTTGCTCAGGCTGGAGTGCAGTGGCACAATAATAGCTCATTGCAGCCTCCACTTACTGGCCTCAAGCAATCCTCCCACCTCAGCTTCCTGAGTAGCTGGGACCACAGGCATGTACCACCATGCTAGGCTATTTTTTTATTTTTATTTTTTAGTAGAGACGGTGTCTCCTTATGTTGCCCAGGATGGTGTTGAACTCCTGGGCTCAAGCAATGCTCCTGTTTAAGCCTTCCAAAGTGCTGGGATTATGGACATGAGCCACTGCCACTGTGCCCAGCCTGGAAGTCACTTTTTTTTTTTTTTTGAGACGGAGTCTTGCTCTGTCATCCAGGCTGGAGTGCAGTGGTGCCATCTCGGCTCACTGCAACCACCACCTCCTGGGTTCAAGCGATTCTCCTGCCTCAGCCACCCAAGTAGCTGGGATTACAGATGCGAGCCACCATGCCCAGATGATTTTTGTATTTTTAGTAGAGACAGGGTTTTGCCATATTGGCTAGGCTGATCTCAAACTCCTGACTTCAGGTGATCTGCCTGCCTTAGCCTCCCAAAGTGCTGGGATTGCAGGTGTGAGCCACCGCGGCCGGCCGGAAGTCACTTTTGAAGACTAACCCCAATCAGCTATTTTGTCCAATTTCCCTCAATTTTGAGTTTGTCCAGTGCATTCTCTTGCTCAGAGCGAGTGTATGCATTTGGGGTGAGAATATCACAAAGATAACATCACGTCCATCTCAGTGCAGTCTGCGCGCATCTTGCGGTATGAGTCTTGCTCACTGATTACAGGGGTTTCTCCCTGTACAGTTACTGTCTCCCTTCTCTTGCTAGTTAATCGTTATTTTGGGGTGATACTTTGAGACCAGGCACATCCTGTTTCTGCTTAAACTTTCATCCATCAATTTTAGCATCCATTGGTGATATCATTTGCCACAATCGTTGTCTACTGGTGACTTTCCTATTTCCTTCTTTTCTTGTACACATATTAATCAGAATTCTACTGTATGAAAGAGCGGTCCTTCTGTCCCCATTTATTTAGCTATGCAATTATTTATTAAGTATGGTATAGCCCCTCTTTTATTATTTTTTTATTTTTTGAGATGGAGTCTCTCTCTTGTTGCCCAGGCTGGAGTGTAATGGCACGACCTTGGCTCATTGCAACCTCCCCCTCCCAGGTTCAAGTGATTCTCCTGCCTCAGCCTCCCGAGTAGCTGGGATAACAGGTGTGCGCCACCACGCCCGGCTAATTTTTTGTATTTTTAGTAGAGACGGGGTTTCACCATGTTGACCAGGCTGGCCTCAAACTCCTGACATCAGGTGATCCACCCACCTCAGCCTCCCAAAGTGCTGGGATTACAAGCATGAGCCACCACCCCCGGCTAGCCCCTCTTTTAATCTCTATTAAATCTTGCTACCTGGGGAACCAAGCATCACTATTGCAATTTAGGAACAAGGAAACGTGGCTGGGAGTTACATCAATCACATGCCTAAGGTCTCACAGCTGGTAAATGGCCAAGAAGGGACACAAAGTTACCCCGGCCCAGCTCAGTGGCACATGCCTGTAGTCCCAGCTACTCAGGAGGCTGAGGTAGGAGCATCATTTGAGCCCGAGAGGTCAAGGCTGTAGGGAGCTGTGATTGCACCACTGCACTCCAGCCTGGGTGATAGAGCAAGACTCTGTCTCTAAAAAAAAGTAACCCCAGATTTGGTTCCCATCCATCTTTTTTTTTTTTTTTTTTTTTTTTTTTTTTTTTTTATGGAATCTCCCTCTGTCACCCAGGCTGGAGTACAGTGGTGTGAGATTTCTGTTCGCTGCAACCTCGGCCTCCTGGGCTCAAACGATTCTCCTGCTGAAGCCTCCTGAATAGCCGGGATTACAGGCGCCTGCCACCACGCCCAGCTATTTTTTTGTATTTTTAGTAGAGACGGGGTTTCACCATGTTGGCCAGGCTGGTCTCGAACTCCTGACCTCCCCAAGTGCTGGGATTACAGGCATGAGCCATTGTGCCCAGCCCCCATCCATCTTTTGAAACTGGTCCACAACTGCAACCTCTTACCAACCCTCTGCCTCCAGTCCTGGCCTCGTAACCCACATTTCCCCTTAGCGCATCAAAGCACTTTGAGTCCTTCTGGTGGCTCCTTGTGTGCTCTGGATGGTGCTCGGACTCCATAGCCCAGGTGCAAAGGCCCTTTAGGATCTGGCCTCGGGCCTCCTGTCTCCCGCCCTCCCTTGCACACTCCAGTCTACTGTTCCCAAAGCCCCTCTGTCTCACTTCCGGACCTTCGCACGTGTTGCTCTCCTCCTGCACCTGCCTCACTCCTCTCCCAACCCAGGGCACAGCATCAGGAAGGCATGGGCCAAGGGACACCTTCCTACACCGTCTGTGTGGGGCCAGATCCCCAGCACCCTGGCCACAGGAAGTTAATATTTACTGAATAGATGAAAAATCTCCAGGTGTGGTGGCTCATGCCTGTAATCCCAACACTTTGGGAGGCTGAGGTGGGTGGATCACCTGAGGTCAGGAGTTTGAGACCAGCCTGGCCAACATGGTGAAACCTTGTCTTCACTAAAAATACAAAAATTAGCTGGGCGTGGTGGCAGGCACCTGTAATCCCAGCCACTCAGGAGGCTGAGGTAGGAGAATCACCTGAACCTGGGAGGCGGAGTTTGCAGTGAGTCGAGATCACACTATTGTGCTCTAGCCTGGGTGACAGAGCAAGACTCCGAAAGAAAAGAAAAAAAGAAAAGAAAAGAGAAAAGAAAAGAAAGAGAAAAGAAAAATCAACTCCAAAGCCCACGCTCTTTCGGCCACCCTGCGTGCCTACCGCGTGCATAGCAGTGAGTGAACACCTGTAGGAAATGACATGAATTGGTGGGAGAAACAGACAGCACTAGCTATGGGAGGACCTGGGAGGACTTGGCATTGACAAAGGTCTACTAAGTAGCAGCCTCTCCCCACGGTCATTTCAGTCCTTTGTCTTCAATATACCGTTCTAGAGATTAGGAAATGGAGGCTCAGAGAGGGCAAGTCACTTGCCTGGGGTCACACAGCTGGTTGGCACGAGAACCACAATTTGAACTCAGGCCTGTAGGATGCCAGAGCACATGTGCTAGCCACTACCTCACACAGCCTCTTCACACCCGCCTATGGGGAGCGCTCTGTCCAGACACAGAACTTCCTCTAGGCACCAAGTGCAGTGGCTTTTTTTGCGTGTCATTTTTCACCCTCGGACCCTGCCTCTTTAAGTGTTTCTGTTATCGTTAAAAGAGCAATAAGGCTGGGCATGGTGGCTCATGCCTGTAATGCCGGCACTTTGGGAGGCGGGCGGATCACCTGAGGTCAGGAGTTCGAGATCAGCCTGGCCAACATGGTGAAACCCCATCTCTACAAAAATACAAAAATTAGCCTGGCATGTTGGTGGGCAGCTGTAATGAGGCAGGAGAATCACTTGAGGTTGCAGTGAGCTGAGATCGCGCCACTGCACTCCAGCCTGGGCGACAAAGTGAGACTCCATCTCAAAAAAATAAAAGAAAAAAAGAAAAAAAAAAGCAATAAAAGACAGCATAATTGGAACACAAAGGCGACGGCCTGGCCAGCCCTCCCTGGGGAGTGGAGTGCCAGGAACTTGGGTGTGATCCTACCTGTGATTAATGCTGCAAAATTACAGCTTTCCGCGTACAGGTGTGTACAAGCCACCGGGTGGGGTGCCGAGCAAACACAGCATTTCATGAGGGCAGTAAAACCCAGGCCTGTGGTGGAGAACCACAGTCAGAGGCTTTCTCCTCTCCCTCCCTCTCCTCCTAACCTCAGGAGACATTGCCGGTACATGGCCCTTTAGCATTTGCAAAGTGCTTGTGGGTGCACAGTCCTTTACAGTTTGCAAAGTGCTTGTCAGTGCACAGCCCTTTACAGTTTGCAAAGTGTTTGTCGGTACGCAGCCCTTTACAGTTTGCAAAATATTTGTATGGACAAGCTCCCACACAGGGGCAGGAAAGGTGAGGGGCTGGGAGCTGCAGATGAAGGACTAGCATGCCAGTGCTGGGGGGCTGGTCATGGGGTGGTGTGAAGTCAGGATCAAGGGTCGCAGCCCTGGACGGAGGACTCGGAGAGGGCAGCAGGGCAAGTTTTGGTCCAGGAGACGGAGGCTGAAGAGGTGTTCCACCGTCCTGATGGCCCAGGAAGGCTTCCTGAAGGAGGTGGGGTGTGGAGAGTGATCCTAAGAGTCCCTCTGTCTTCACTTATACCTGAGCTGCAGCTGGAAGGATGTCTTCATTTTGAAAGGGAGAAGAGGGACACCCACTAGGTCCCCATTGGGTATCAGAGCTGCCATGCAGGGCTTCTCAGCAACTTGCCATGGTTGAGGGGCCTGGGCTCAGCCAGCCCAGCCCGAGCCCCAGGTCTTGGAAACCGGCTCTTGTGGACTTCCTTGAGCCCTGTCGGGTGCCGACTCTCTCCCGATCGTAGAAATCTCCTCCCTATGTAGGAAGCAGAAGGCAAGAGCTGAGCGATAAGCTGCTTCCAGGGCAGCTTGGACATTGGATACGGGGGTGCATGGGGACTTGAGCCCCCAAGGAAGTTCCGCTTTCATCCAAAGCTGCCCCTATTGCCGCAGCCATAGGTCCCCTGGCCCTGCAGCTGTCCATTGGCCCTGAGCACTGGCTGCAGGGCTATGGGCTTTCTTGGGTTCACCATGTGCCTGCCCTGCTCAGAGACTTTCAATGGCTCCCCATTGCTGTTTCCCCCAAAATGGGGGGCAAGTTCCCATGGATCTAGGACTTGGTATTCAGGGATGAACAAACCACCAGACCTATACCTGATAAATATCGATGTTTACTTTCTTGGTAAGTTGTTTATGTTAATATCATTACAAAAGTGTGGATATGTAACATGTTCACACGGTTTGACGTCCAAACTGCTATGAAAAGGCATTGATCACAAGTCCCACTATCCATGTCCCAGGGATCTCATCCCCCTGATCCCTAGAGGAACAATTAGTTTCTTGTGTATCCTTCTAGTATTTCTTTATGCAAATGCATAAAGCAATCTGTATTTGCTGACATAGATGCTGTTCTTTTTATTTATTTTTATTTTTATTTTTTGGGACCCAGTCCCAATCTGCCACTCAGGCTGGACTGCAGTGGCACAATCTCAACTCACTGCAACCTTCGCCTCCCAGGTTCAAGTGATTTTCCTGCTTCAGCCTTCCCTGTAGATGGGATTACAGGTGCCCACCATCATGCTCAGCTAATTTTTGTATTTTTAGTAGAGACAGGGTTTCACCATATTGGCCAGGCTGGTCTCGAACTCCTGACCTCAGGTGATCCACCTGCCTCAGCCTCCCTAAGTGCTGGGATTACAGGTGTGAGTCACTGCACCCAGCCTATTTTTATTTTTTTTGAGACAGCACCTTGCTCTGTCACCCAGGCTGGAGTGCAGTTCCATGATCACGGCTCACTGCAGCCTTGACCTTCCAGCCTCAAGCAATCCTTCCACATCAGCTTCCCAAGTAGTTGGGACTACAGGTGTGAGCCACCATGCCAGTTAATTTAAAAGATTTGTTGCAGAGACGAGGTCTCGCTATGTTGCCCAGGCTGGTCTCGAACTCCTGGGCTCAAGCGCTCCTCCTGCCTCAGCCTCCCAAAGTGCTGGGATTACAGGCATGAGACACCCCACCAGCCTATGGTGTTCTACTCCTTGTGTTTTTACCCAATATTCTATCTGGGAGATCTTTCCACGTCAGGGTATAGAGAGCTTTCTCCTCTTCCTCCTCTTCTTCCCCTCTCCCACCTCCTCTTCTTCCCCTCTCCCACCTCCTCTTCCTCTTTCTCCTCCTCCTCCTTTTTCAACAGCTTCATAGTATTTCATTGTGTGGATGTACCATGATTTATTTCACTGTCTTTTTGCATAATGTGTGAAACAACTGGATTGCTGCCAGCTTTCTGCTGTTACACGCAGCTGCGATGATTAAGCTTATATGTACATCATTTCTTACATGTTCAAGGTGGCACTGTTGAACAAATTCCCAGAAGTGGGACTGACAGGCCATAGGGTGAATGCATCCGTAACTTTGATAAGAATTACTAAACCACTTGCCACTGGGGGTTGTATCATTTTGCATTCCCACCAGCAACATACCAGACGGCCTGTTTGCCTACACAATAGCCTCATCCTTGGACCGTGTTGGCATAATTTTGGATTTTGGCCTATCTGATAGGTAAGAAATGGTATTCTGGTGTGGTGTATAATTCATTTCTCTCGCTCTTTTCTTTTTTTGAGACAGGTCTCACTCTGTTGCCCAGGCTGGAGTACAGTGGCCCAACCTCACCTCACTGCAACCTCTACCTTCTGGGCTCAAGCAAACCTCCTGCCTCAGCCTCCTGAGTAGCTGGGACTACAGGCATGTGCCACCATGTTGGCTCACTTTTAAAAAAAAAATATTTGTAGAGATGAGATTTTTACCCAGGCTGATCTCAAACTTCTGGGCTTAAGTGATCCTCCTGTTTTAACCTCCCAAAGTGCTGGTATTACAGGTGTGAGCCACCACCGAGGCCCATTTTTCTCTTAATGTGAATAAGGTTGAGCATTTTCATATGTTTAAAGCCCACTTATATTTCTTTTCTCTGGAATGCTCTGTTCAAATCCTTTGCCCATTTTTCCACCAGATTTTTGGTGTTTTTTCTCTTTTTTTGTAAGAACTTTTTACATATTAGGGAGAGCAGCCCCTTGGCTGTAATATGAGTTGCAAATATTTTCTCCCTGTTTATCTTTTGACTTACTTTGCATATGATGTTCTTTGTCATGTAGAAGTTGTTCATTATTGTTATTAATTAATTAATTAAATTAATTTTTTGAGACAGAGTTTTGCTCTCGTTGCCCAAGCTGGAGTGCAGTGGCATGATCTCAGCTCACTACAACCTCTGCCTCCCAGGTTCAAGCAATTCTCCTGCCTCAGCCTCCTGAGTAGCTGGGATTACAGGCACATGTCACCACACCTGGCTAATTTTTTTGTAATTTTAGTAGAGACGGGGTTTCGCCATGTTGGCCAGGCTGGTCTTGAACTCCTGACCTCAGGTTATCCATCTCCCTCAGCCTCCCAAAGTGCTGAGATTACAGGCATGAGCCACCGTGCCTGGCCCCATTATTATTATTATTATTATTATTATCATCATCATTATCATCATCATCATCAACTTAAATGCTCACTATTCCCCCTCCTTGGTTTTGGATTTTAAGTCATTGGAAGATGGTCCCCAATCCAAAGTTATAAAGGGATTCATTCATATTTCTTCTGGTTCTCTTATGATTTTAATGTTTACATCTAAATCTTGGGCCCATTTGGAATTTGTTTTTGTGTTCTGGCGAACAGATTCAGTTTTATTTGTTTCCAGGTGGTTTCCTGGTTTTACCAACACCATTTATTAAAAAGCCCATGCTTACCTCACTGATGTAAGGCCCTCTTTATCATATGCTAAATTCCACTATGTTTTGGTGTACATTTTGGGGCTTTGTTTCCTGTTCCATTGACCTGTCTACTCATATGTGGTAAGTAATTAGGAAACTTGTTTTTAGGCCAGGTGCAATGGCTCACGCCTGTAATCCCAGCACTTTGGGAGGCTGAGGCGGGTGGATCACCTGAGGTTAGGAGTTTGAGACCAGCCTGGCCAACATGGTGAAACCCTGTCTCTACTAAAAATGTGAAAATTAGCCAGGTGTGGTGGCGCATGCCTGTAATCCCAGCTACTCAGGCGGCTGAGGCAGGAGAATTGCTTGAACCCAGGAGGCGGAGGTTGCAGTGAGCCATTGCAGTCATTGCAGTCCAGCCTGGGTGACAGAGCGACTATGTCTCAAAAAAAAAAAAAGAAAGAAAAAAAAAAAGAAAACTTGTTTTTACATGAAAACCAACGCTGATTGGGCGTGGTGGCTCATGCCTGTAATCCCAGCACTTTGAGAGGCTGAGGCAGGAGAATCACTTGAGCCCAGGAGTTCGAGACCGGCCTTGGCAACCTGGTAAGACTCTATCTCTACAAAAAAATTAAAAATTAGCCTGGCGTGATGGGTGGTGGTGTGCACCTATGGTCCCAGCTACACGGGAGGCTGAGGTGGGAGGATTGCCTGAGCCTGGGAGGTTGAGGCTGCAGTGAACCATGCTGGTGCCACTGTTCTCCAGCCTAGGAGACAGAGGGAGACCCTTTCTCAAAAAAAAAAAAAAAACCCAAAACAAAAACCAACACTGTATTACGGAGCAGGATGGGAAAGTTGCATGTATTTTTCAAGATAAAACTCTTGCTCCCAGCTGGGCATGGTGGTTTACGCCTGTAATCCCAGCACTTTGGGAGGCCGAGGGGGGCGGATCACGAGGTCAGGAGTTGGAGACCAGCCTGGCCAACATGGTGAAACCCCATCTCTACTAAAAATACAAAAATTAGCCCGGCATGGTGGCATGGGTCTGTAATCCCAGCTACTCAGGAGGCTAAAGCCGGAGAATTGCTTGAACCTGGGAGGCGGAGATTGCAGTGAGCCGCGGTCGGGCAAAAAAAAAAAAAAAAGAAAAAAGAAAAGAAAAGAAAAAACGCTCTAGCTCCAAGAGATTCTGAGCTTGTCCCTAACTTTTTCTCCTCTCTCACTGTCCCTCCACTCTCTCCTCCACACAGTGGACCCACCTCCGGTATTAATCACTCTCTTGCCAACAAGAGAATTGCACTCCTGGTGCTCTTAAAGGTTATTAGCTGAGTTGTCCCCTCCTCCAGGAAGCCTTCCTGGACATCTCCTTGCCCCCAGGCAGAGTGAGTAATTTGCCCAGCAAGCCAGTCACTAACCCTGAGCTTGGAAAGCGAACCCTGAACTCACTTCTCTCAAAGCACCTATTAGCGTTATTGGGCGGTACTGCAGTCGTCTGTTTACTTGTGTCGGGCTGGATTCCTCCCGGTCATGAAGCAGTCAACGTGCTGCATACTCATTTATAGGGCAATAATCTGGGGAGTGCCACGTGCAACGTGTTTGAGTCTTGTAAAGTGTCAATCAATCCCTGGACATTTCCCGAGTCCCCTCTTGGGACTTGGCGCTAGATGTCTCTCCTCCGTTGCCCCCCATCCCTCAGTCTTGCTGCCCCCTCCCATGGGCTCCATGCTAACTCCCTCCCTCTCCCCCAGGCTGTGCCTCCTCACCCTGGGAAAGAGGACTTTGTTTTTTTATTTATTTTTATTTTTATTTTTATTTTTTTGAGACAGAGTCTTGCTCTGTCGCCCAGGCTGAAATGCAACGGCGCGATCTCAGCTTCCTGCAACCTCCGCCTCCCGGGTTCAAGCGATTCTCCTGCCTATCCTCCGAAGTAGCTGGGATTACAAGCATACACCACCATGCCTGGCTGATTTTTGTATAGTAGAGATGGGATTTTGCCATGTTGCTCAACTCCTGACCTCAGATGATCCACCCACCTCGGCCTCCCAAAGTTCTGGGATTACAGGCGTGAGCCACGGTGCCCGGCCAGGAGCATTTCTTTAGTCCCTTCTCTGCTGATCAGGAAGTAGCACCCCTTCCTCAAGTGTCTGTTGCTTGGTGCCAGTCCCTGCAAACCAAATAGACCCTGGGCTGTGATGGAGGTGCCGCTGTTATTTAACTGTATAGCTCAGGGTGTGGGAGGATGACGGGGCCATTGTCTGACCTTCTCCTTGCTCTGCACCGTCCGAGGGGAGCAGGCCCTGACAGCCTGGATGTTTGGGGGTAACGTCCCTCAAAAACATTCTTCCTACACCTGGATCTCCTCTTTCTGTTTGTTTCCCAGGACCCTCTCATTCAATCCGGCTCCCCGTCCTTCCGCAGAGGGTGACGAGTCTATGGCTCCAGCTCTCCTGGTACTTCAGGTGTTGGTCAGGCCCTCCCGGCATGGACTTCACCCTTCCTGATTGGGGAGGCTGGCTGGGATTCCATGAGCAGGGAGACAGTGGCTATTTCCAGTCCTAATTTCATCCCCTCTCCCACAATGGCTGTAGGTATTTCCCTAATGAGTGACCCAAACAGAAAACACGCCTTGCCAAAGCCAGCATCCCATTTTCCTAGAGTGTAGCCTTGCTGAAGGACTTTGACACAGATTCTTGTAAAAGAGTTATTCCCAGCCAGGTGTGGTGGCTTGTGTCCATAATCCCAGCACTCTGGGAGGCCGAGGAGAGAGAATCGCTTGAGTCCAGGAGTTTAATGCCAGCCTGGGCAACATAGCAAGCCCTTGTCCTTCCTACAAATAATTAAATAATTAGCCAGGTGTGGTGGCTTGCACCTGTGGTCCCAGCTACTCGGGAGGCGGAGGTGGGAGGATCACTTGAGCCCAGGAGTTTGAGGCTACAGTGAGCTATGATTACATCACTGCACTCCAGCCTGGGTGACAGTGCGAGACCCTCTCTCTCTTTAAAAAAAAAAAAAAAAAAAAACAGGCTAGGCACGGTGGCTCTTGCCTGTAATCCCAGCACTTTGGAAGGCCAAGGTGGGCAGATCACTTGAGGTCAGGAGTTCTAGACCAGCCTGACCAACATGGAGCAACCTCGTCTCTACTAAAAATACAAAATTAGCTGGGAGTGGTGGCGCATGCCTGTAATCCCAGCTGCTTGGGAGGCTGAGGCAGGAGAATCGCTTGAACCCGGGAGGCGAAGGTTGCGGTGAGCCAGGATAACGCCATTGCCCACTCCAGCCTGGGCAACAAGAGCGAAACTCCGTCTCAAAAAATAAAATAAAATAAAATAAAAAATAAAGAAGAGTTATTCTCTCCTTACAGGTGAGAAGGCAAGTGTATGGCTTACATCTTGGCCTGGCTACTTCATGTTATCTTATTTGCATCAAGAACTTCAGCCAGAGAGGGTGGATGACATGTCTGGCACGCAGTAACTGCTCAGTAAACAGAACTGCTATTGTCACCCGGCATCAACACCCCAGCCTCTGACCCCTTTGATTCCACACCGCCCCACCGGATGACATTGAATCCTTTTTGCAGCCCCAGGTCACACCAGTCCCTTCTCCCCAGGCCCCCCACCCCCACCCCATTAGAGCCAGATCGTAAAATCTCCAGGGGAGGGAGGCTGGTGACATCTTTAGTGGCGACATTTGGGTAAAAAATTCATGACCATCAGTTACTCTCGGAAGAGAGGGAAAAATGAGCCGTTTCCGCCGCTCCAGAACGTGGCTCTCCCTGGCTGCGAGTCCACAAATCTATTTTATGTGACGAGATCTATAGTCTAATAGAAGGAGCTTATCGCAGATTTAAGAAAAAGTGCACAATAAGACTGCACTCTTTCCGTACTCTCGGCCCCGCGAGGCGCCCTCCCCTAAGATGAGGGTGATGGCGCCTCCGGGAGCCACGGAGAGTTCATGGGTCAGCGGGGCCCCAAGGGGGTGATGGCTGGGGTGACCAGGGTAAGGACAAGGTGGCCCCCTTGCCTGGTCTTTGTTCTCCACCTTCCGGTGGGGGGTTGAGCCACTGCTCGTCACCACAGTGGAGAGGGCCCTGGGAAACCCACCACCCAGTTCTGTCAAAATGTCTCTGCTTGGCCTGGGAGTTTTGCAGCTCTGACCACCTGTCTGTTGGCCTCCTGTCTGTCTGCCTGTCTTTGTGCATGCCTGACTGTCTGCCTGTCCGTCTGTCTGCCTGTTTGTCTTTCTGCCTGCCCATCTGCCCGTCTCCCTGCCCACCTACCCATCTGTCTGCCTGTCTGCCTGCCAGTCTGCCTGTCTGTGGGTCTGCCTGTCCATCTGTCTGCCTGTCTGTCTGCCTGTCTGCCTGCCAGTCTGCCTGTCTGTCTGCCTGTCCATCTGTCTGCCGGTCTGCCTGCCAGTCTGCTTTCTGTCTGCCTGTCTGCCCATCTGCCTGTCTCCCTGCCCACCTGCCTATCTGCCTGTCTCTGTGTCTCCCTGACAATCTTCCTGTCTGTCTGCCAGTCTGCCTGCCTGTCTGTCTGCCTGCCTGTCTGCCTGCCCGCTTGTCCATCTATCTGCCTGCCTACCTGCCCGTCTGTCTGCCTACCCATCTGCCTGTCTGTCTGCATGCCTATTTGCTTGCCTTTTTGTCTGTCTGTCTGTCTGCCTATTGGCATGAAGGAGAAATGGAGCTTTCACTTCTACCACCATCTCTTATCCTGGGGAAGGATCTGAGGATCCAGGGCTGCGCTGAGGCAGGAGGAGGGGATGAAGGACAGGGCGTCTCCAGTCCTCTCTAAGACGCAAGAGCCTTGGATCCAGTCCCTGGAGACCTGGGGCAGCTCTGAAGAGGAAGGAGGTTGGTGCCCGCTGGGGTGATGGCCGTCCTGCAGGGAGCCCTGGCCCGATGCCTGCGGAGGTTGGAGCTGTGTCTGCAGGGGATGCCTTGGAGATGCCTGTGTAGGAGAAGGTGACAGAGGCTACAGACAGTGGGCAGGGCCGGGGTTCTGAGGCCCCAGATGGGAGCCTGCATCTGCTCCAGGGAACAGTCTCTGCCAGCACAGAGCCAGGCCCGGAGGCACACGGTGACTTCGGACTCTGCAGCAAGCCTCATGCCAGGGTGAGGACAGACTGTCCCACAGGTCCCATCGGTCAGCTGCTGAGGTCCATGTCCCCTAGGCCCAGGGCAGCCAGGGGGTGAGCCAGCTAGAGCCTCCTCAGACCCGTCATCTGCTGAACAAGTGACTGAGTGAATGTATGAATGGATGGCTTGGGGCGGGAAGGGGGCCTTGCCTCCCTAAGATGTCAGGGCATATGCAGAGTGGGTGCAGGTCTGCCTGGGTTCATTGGCACAAGAAGCCTGGGGCCCCCTGGGAATAAAGTCACCCTGGCCTCATGACACTCACCTTTCGACAATGGCTCAGTACTGGGAGGAGTGGGTGGGTGGGGAGTCATTTTGAATTTGTTTATTTGGTTAGTTGCACCTGCCTTGCTCAGAAAAGGATGTCAGGAGGCATACAGAGATGCATTTAAACAATAGGAGAGGCCAGGCGCAGTGGCTCATACCTGTACTCCCAGCACTTTGGGAGGCCGGGCGGGTGGATCATCTGAGGTGGTGAGTTCAAGACCAGCCTGGCCAACATGGCAAAACCTCGTCTCTACTAAAAACACAAAAATTAGCCGGGTGTGGTGGTGCGTGCCTGTAATCCCAGCTACTCAGGAGGCTGAGGCAGGAGAATCACTTGAACCCGGGAGGCAGAGTTGCAGTGAGCCGAGATTGTGCAGCACCAGCAGGAGGCCTGGGGTCTGGGGGTTGGTGGCAGCCGCAGCTCCATTGGGAACCAGCCAGTGCAGGCAAGGATGCACCTCTGCAGGGCTCAGGCAAGGTTGCCTGCTAAAGGCCAGTGCCACATTGGTACAAGGTGTGCCTTGAGGAAGGACGAGGAAAAGCAGCGGAAGATAGGGACTGGGCTGTTTGCCCATGAACAAGGTGGGCCGTCTGCTGCTCCGGGATCCCAAATGTTACCAGTTCGAGGTATGGTGGAATGGGACCCCTGGGAGTTGGACGCTCACAGATTGACTTCTACCAGCCTTTGCTCGGCCCCGGACTACCAACGTGCCTCTGTCATGGGGGTGCTGTCCAAAATGCTACCCTCCCCCTGCCCCTGTACCCACCTATGGGAGCACACAGAAGGCCTCTCTCCCTGGCCTCAGTCCTTGGAAAAAAACGTCCATATCCCCAGCACCTGCTTGGACCCATGAATGTAATGACTGATCGAGTTTCCCTCTTTGCTTTGCCTACTAGGACCTTAGAAATCCAATTGTCCCTCACTAGCCTTCCTCATTCCGGACCTTCACCTTGACCTCTCTCTCCAAGCCACACCAAACTCCAGCTCCCACACTCCTGCAACACCCTGAGCCTTGGCATGTGCCATTTCCTCTGCTGGAACCCCATTTCACCTGCACCCTTTTTTTTTTTTTTGAGACAGAGTCTTGCTCTGTCACCCAGGCTGGAGTGTAGTGGCACGATCTTTGCTCATTGCAACTTCCACCTCCTGGGTTCAAGCGATTCTCCTGCCTCAGCCTCCCTAGTAGATGGGACTACAGGCGCCCACCACCACATCTGGCTAATTTTTTGTATTTTAGTAGAGACAGGGCTTCATCATGTTTTCTAGGCTGGCCTTGAACTCCTGAGCTCAGGCAATCTGCCCACCTCAGCCTCCCAAAGTGCTAGGATTACAGGTGTGAGCCACCGCACCCAGCCCTCTTTTTTTTTTTTTTTGGAGATGGAGTCTTGTTCTGTTGCCCAGGCTGCAGTGCAGCAGTGCAGTGGTGCGATCTCGGCTCACTGCAACCTCTACCTCAAGCAATTCTGCCTCAGCCTCCCGAGCAGCGGGGATTACAGATGTGTGCCACCACGCCTGGCTAATTTACATATTTTTAGTAGAGATGGGGTTTCACCATGTTAGCCAGGCTGTTCTCGAACTCCTAACCTTAGGTGATCGACCCGCCTTGGCCTCCCAAAGGGATTATAGGCATGAGCCACCACTCCCGGCCATGCACCCACCCTCTTTAAAAAAAATTTTTTTTGGGATGGGGTCCCACTATGTTGCCCAGGCTGATCTCAAACACATGGCCTCAAGCAGTTCTCCTGCCTAAGCCTCCCAAAGCATTAGGATTACAGGCATGAGCCACCACACCCAGCCTGTACCCTCTTCTTCTTGCTAACTCCCCAGGTATCAGCTCAGAGGCCACTTCCTCCAGGAAGCCTTTCCTGACTCCCAGATTGAATCAGATCCCTCCATGTGCCCCAAAGCTCCCCTCCTGCTCTCATGGATGCCTGTGTGGCTCCAGGCTGGGACTGCCCGTGTCCTCACCAGAGTCCATCTCACGCTTCATGCAGGCAGCACCTCTGTCTACCTGGGCACTGCCATGTCTCTGGTGCCCAGTGCAAAGCCTGGCACATGTCAATGAGAATGCGCCCTTCACAGCTGTCCCTGGCTCTGCACTGGGCACCAGGGACACGGCAGCATTGAATGAATGAATGAATGAAGAATGAGTGATTTATTGTCACTTGTACAGTCATGGGAGATGGCTCCTAGGTCCAATCTGGTGTCCGAGGTGCTGGTAGGGACAACGGGGTCTTCTGCAGGCCTCAGTGTCCCAGTCATTGGTTTGGAATATGGTGTAACCAGAATCATCACTGCCAGGCTGACCTGGAGCCTTGGAGGGAGAGGGTAGCCGTTAGGTGCAAAAGAAGAGAATTCTTCTTTCTGGGACTCTGGGGAGCTGGAGGTGGAGCCCAGGAAATGGTGTTTTGGAGACGTTATTGTAATTTCCAATTTTTGTTTATTATTTTTATTTTATTTTATTTTTATTTATTTTTGAGATGGAGTCTCTCTCTGTCATCCAGGCTGGAGTGCAGTGGTGCAATCTCCGCTCACTGTAACCTCTACCTCCTGGGTTCAAGTGATTCTCTTGCCTCAGCTTCCCGAGTAGCTGGGACTACAGGAGTGTGCCACCATGCCAGGCTTTTTTTTTTTTTTTTTTTTTTTTAAGTAGAGGCGGGGTTTCACCATGTTGGCCAGGCTGGTCTCAAACTCCCGACCTCCAGTGATCCGCCCACCTCAGCCTCCCAAAGTGCTGGGATTACAGCCACAGCGCCTGGCCCTATTTTATTTTTTTGAGAGGGAGTCTCACTCTGTCGCCAGTGTTGGAGTGCAGTGGGATAATCTTGGCTCACTGCAACCTCCGCCTCCTGGGTTCAAGTGATTCTCCTGCCTCAGCCTCCTGAGTAGCTGAGATTACAGGCATCCACCACCATGCCTGGATAATTTTTGTATTTTAGTAGAGACAGGGTTTCACCATGTTGGTCAGGCTGGTCTTGAACTCCTGACCTCAAATGATCTGCCCGCCTCAGCCTCCCAAAGTGCTGGAATTACAGGCGTGAGCCACTGCACCTGGCACAGTGTTTGTTATTTATTTATTTCTATTTTAGAGATGGAGGTCTTACCCTGTTGCCCAGGCTGGAGTGCAGGCTTGAACTCCTGGGGTCAAGTGATCCTCCTGCCTCAGCCTCCCAAGTATCTGGGACTACGGGCGTGCACCACATGCCTCACTAATCTTTCTTTTTTGTAGAGATGGGGGTTTTGGCTGGGCACAGTGGCTCATGCCTGTAATCCCAGCACTTTGAGAGGCGGGGGTGGGAGGATCGCTTGAGGCCAGGAGTTCGAGACCAGTCTGGGCAACATAGCCATACTCTGTCTGTACAAAAAAATTTAAAAAGGAGTGAAATTAGCCAGGTGTGGTGGTGTGTGCCTGTAGTCATAGCTACTTGGGAGGCTGAGACAAGAGGATTGCTTGAGCTCAGGAGTTCGAGTCTGCAGTGAGTCAAGATCACCCCACTGCACTCCAGCTTGGGTGACAGAGAGAGACCTTGTCTCAAAAAAAAAAAAAAGGCCGGGCGCGGTGGCTCACGCCTGTAATCCCAACACTTTGGGAGGCCGAGGCGGGTGGATCATGAGGTCAGGAGATCGAGACCATCCTGGCTAACAAGGTGAAACCCCGTCTCTACTAAAAATACAAAAAATTAGCCGGGCGCGGTGGCGGGCGCCTGTAGTCCCAGCTACTCGGGAGGCTGAGGCAGGAGAATGGCATGAACCCGGGAAGCGGAGCTTGCAGTGAGCCGAGATTGCGCCACTGCAGTCCGCAGTCCGGCCTGGGCGACAGAGCGAGACTCCGCCTCAAAAAAAAAAGAGAGAGAGACAGGATCTTGCTATGTTTGAAGAGGCCAGGCTAGTCTTCAACTCCTGGCCCCAAACGATCCTCCTGCCTCAGCCTTCTGAAGTGTTGGGGTTACAGGCATGAACCACTGTGCCAGCAATTTTTGTTCCTTATATTTTCTTTTACACCCACAGGAGTTCGAGACTGAGTTTCTGGATGAAGGCAGAATCAGGCCCTGGTGGAAACCAGATACTTCGAAGCTAGGCTGGACGCGGTGGCTCACGCCTGTAATCCCAGCAGTTTGGGAGGCTGAGGTAGGTGGATCACCTGAGGTCAGGAGGTTGAGACCAGCCTGGCCAACATGGTAAAACCTCGTCTCTACTAAAAATACAAAAAATTAGCTGGGCATGGCGGCAGGCACTTATAATTCCAGCTACTCAGGAGGCTGAGGCAGGAGAATTGCTTGAATCTGGGAGGTGGGGGTTGCAGTGAGCCGAGATCGCACCACTGCACTCCAGCCTGGGTGACAGAGGGAGACTCCGTCTCAAAAAAAAAAAAAAAAAAAAAAGACTTCAAAACTTGAAGATCCAGAGAAAATCCAGGAAATCCCAGGTGGAGGGGCAGCTAGGCAGGGCCCAATTCAACTATAGCCGTTTTGTTCTCTCTTGTTTTACATCTGGAGGCTCTGACTATGATTTTGCTTGTAAAGAGAATTCTGCTGAAAAATAATTAAAAGCCACTGACCTCGTCCAGAACAGGCAGTTACTTGCTTTCCCCAACAGCCCTGGCCTTCCTGCCAGCCACTCGCTTGGGGTGTGAGCAGGACCAGTGAACGTTCACTGGGCAAACATTGACGGGGTAGCAACTAAGAGAAGTCAAGTTAGACTTGGGCGGGACGTGGGACCGACGTGGTGCCAGTGCTAATTTGCAGTCCAGTGACGTCCTATTCCCAGAGCCTCTGCAATCAGACCCCATGAAGGGCAGGACAGGAGCAACGTGCCACAGAAAACATCTCTGTGTGTGAACTCAACAGGGCTGTGACCACAGCTGTCCTTTCATAAACATTGCTACATGAAAGAGAGAAGGGCTGCCTGATGGAATGGATGGCGGGATGTTCTTTTATGTTTTCGAGACAAGGTCTCGCTCTGTTGCCCAGGCTGAAGTGCAGTGGCATCATCATAGGCTCACTGCAGCTTTGATCTCCTGGGCTCAAGCGATCCTCCCATCCCAGTCTTCTGAGTAGCTGGGACTACAGGTGTGCACCACCACGCCTGGCTAAGTTTTTGCATTTTTTTTTTGTAGAGACAGGATTTCACTATGTTGCTCCAGCTGGTCTCAGAATCCTGACCTCAAGTGATCCTCCTGCCTCGGCCTCCCAAAGTGCTGGGATTATAGGCATGAGCCACTGTGCCTGGCCAGAATTTGTTTTGTTTTGTTTTTTTTTGTTTTTGAGACCATCTCACTATGTCACCCAGGCTGGAGTGCAGTGGTATGATCTCAGCTCACTATAACCCCCGCCTCCCAGGTTCAAACAATTCTCCTGTCTCAGCCTCCCAAGTAGCTGGGACTACTTGGGCATGTGCCACCACACCCCATTGATTTTTGTATTTTTAGCAGAGACAGGGTTTTGCCATAATGGTCAGGCTGGTCTTGAACCCCTGACGTCAGGTGATCCACCCGCCTTGGCCTCCCAAAGTGCTGGGATTACAGGCGTGAGCCACCGTGCCCAGCCAAGGATGTTCTTTAAAAAGGAGTTTTGGCCGGGCATGGTGGCTCATGCCTGTAATCCTAGCACTTAGGGAGGCTGAGGCTGGTTGATCACTTGAGGTCAGGAGTTTGAGAACAGCTGGACAACATGGCAAAACCCTGTCTCTACTAAAAATACAAAAGTTAGCCAGGCGTGGTGGTGTGTGCCTGTAATTCCAACTACTCAGGAGTTTGGGGTGGAAGAATTGCTTGAACCCAGAAGGTGGAGGTTGCAGTGAGCCAAGATTGCACCATTGCATTCCAGCCTGGGCAACAGAGTGAGACTCCATCTCAAAAAAAAAAAAAAAACAAACAAAAACAAAAACAAAACACAAGATGGGGAGTTTAATGCTCAGTGCTGGCAGCAATTCTGACTGCTGGTAGTGCTAAGGAGAGTGTCACCACCTTTAGGGGACAAAGGGCAGATCATAATCAGGATATCAGTTTTTGGTGTACCCGAATTCATGCATTAAACGCATTTGAAAATGATCACTTTCCTTAAATAGGTGAAGCAGCTCGATTGCAGTCCTGCTTCTGCTTATAGCTTAGTAAAGCTTTTCTTTTCTTTTTTTTTCCCCCCTTGGAGGGTTCGAAGGCCAGCTTTAGCAGAGGCCACTTCCAAATTAGGCCAACTCCATGCCGGTGCTGCCTGAATTAGCGATGGCCCTGCCTTCCCGTTTCACTGATTGATCAGCACGGGCTCTTGCTGAGTGGTGCGGAGATTGTCCTGGAGGCTCAGGGCTTGCTGCTGTGTTCTCCCGGGGTCCAACCTCAGAAACCATCACCCCCTCGTGTGGATAGTCCCCGGGAGGCCCAGAGGTGACTCTGAAAATATCAGAGAGGATGTCCTCCAGGAACACTCTGGGGCCAGACATCCATGGGGCAGAGGTCAAGAGGGGGTAGGGAGGGCAGGGTCAGTGCAGGTTCCCAGGCTTAGGCAAGGAAACGAAGAAATAAAGCAAGAGGAAGAACAGACGTCGCAAGCTTTCCCTGTGCAGCCGGGTGGGCGGCAGCGACACCCAGGGAGGGAGGCTTGCTGCTTGGATGTGCTGCTGGCTGGCTTCCTGGGCTGGAGGAGGAAGAGGCTGCTCTCTCAGCCTTTGCAGGTAAATGATTTACAACTGGCTCTCAAAAGAAAAAAAGAAAGAAAGAAAAAAAAAAGCATGAAAGAGAAAGGAAAAGAGAAAGAAGGAAGGAAGGAAGGGGCCGGGCCCAGTGGCTCATGCCTGTAATCCCAGCCCTTTGGGAGGCCAAGGCAGGGCGGATCACGAGGTCAGGAGATCGAGACCATCCTGGCTAACATGGTGAAACCCTGTCTCTACTAAAAATACAAAAAATTAGCCGGGCGTGGTGGCGGGCGCCTGTAGTCCCAGCTACTTGGGAGGCTGAGGCAGGAGAATGGCGTGAACCCGGGAGGTGGAGCTTGCAGTGAGTGGAGAACATGCCACTGCACTCCAGCCTGGGCGACAGAGCAAGACTCCGTCTCAAAAAACACAAAAAAAATTAGCTTGGCGTGGTGGCGGGTGCCTGTAGTTCCAGCTACTGGGGAGGCTGAGGCAGGAGAATTGCTTGAACCCTGGAGGTGGAGGTTGCAGTGAGCCAAGATCACACCACTGCACTCCAGCCTGGGTGACAGAGCGAGACTCCATCTCAAAAAAAAAAAAAAAAGAAGAAGGAAGGAACAAAGAAGAGAAAGAAAGAAAGAAAAAGAGAGAGAGAGGAGCCAGGGGTGGTTCATGCCCTGTAATCCTAGCACTTTGGGAGGCCGAGGCAGGAGAATCACTTGAGACTAGGAGTTCAAGACCAGCCTGGGCAACATAGCACAAGATTCCATGTCTACAAAAAAATTTTAAAAATGAGCCAGGTGGGCCGGGCGCGGTGGCTCACGCCTGTAATCCCAGCACTTTGGGAGGCCGAGGCGGGCGGATCACGAGGTCAGGAGATCGAGACCATCCCGGCTAAAACGGTGAAACCCCGTCTCTACTAAAAATACAAAAAATTAGCCGGGCGTAGTGGCGGGCGCCTGTAGTCCCAGCTACTTGGGAGGCTGAGGCAGGAGAATGGCGTGAACCCGGGAGGCGGAGCTTGCAGTGAGCCGAGATCCCGCCACTGCACTCCAGCCTGGGCGACAGAGCGAGACTCCGTCTCAAAAAAAAAAAAAAAAAAAAAAAAAAAATGAGCCAGGTGTGGTGAGACCAAGGTGGGAGGATTGCTTGAGGCCAGGAGTTCAATGATGCCATTGCACTCCAGCCTGGGCAACAGAGCAAGACCCTGTCTCAAAAAAAAAAAAAAAGAAAAGAAGTAGTAGTGTGAAGGTATGTATGATATGCATGTGCCTTCTCTTTCTTTCTGTCTCTCTCTCTCTCTCTCTCTCCAGCACATGCTACTCTGTGCCCACCCACCCCAGCCCATGGTTGTATTAATGAAACTCAAAGAAGCACTCAGGGCTACACCGAGGTAGGGCAGAGCAGGGGCTGAACCTGGATCCAACTCCCAAGTGTAGGACTTGCTCTGTGAAGCCTTCTTGGGGGCACTTTCCAGAATGTCCCCCAGCACCTATGGCTCTCAGCCTGAGACCCTGAGAGGTAGATGCCAGTGGGTTTTGGGGTTCCTGGGGGCTGCCTGGACTGGCCCGGCCTGACCCAGCTCAACTTACCCCTAGGTGCTCTGGGGCATTCATTATGGGTGACACTGTCCTGGTGCCTGGAGGGCAGAGCTTTCTGGGTTACCCAAGCCAGGTGATGACAGACGGGGTCTGTCCCCAGGGATGTGTCCACAGGAGAGAATGGCTTTAGCTGCATGCTGGGAGCGGCTTCTGGACTGTTCTCAGAAGCGTGGGGCCCTGTGCAGGGCATCTTGGCACTGAGTCACCCTCTCTCCCAGCTGCAGTCCGCAGCGGCACTTTGCCCTACCACTTAAGTACATGCATGCACTCATGCATGCGTGTGTGTGTGTGTGTTTTAAATTCATTGCTTTTGGTCTTCCTTTTATTTTCTTTCTCTTTTTAGAGACAGGGCCTTGCTTTGTCACCCAGGCTGGAGTGCAGTGGCACAATCACGGTTCATTGCAGCCTCCACCTCTTGGGCTCAAGCAATTCTCCTGCCTCGGCCTCCTGAGTAGCTGGGACAACAGGCACACGTCCCCATGCTGGGCTAATTTTTACATTTTTAGTAGCGATGAGGTCTCACTATGTTGCCCAGGCTGGTCTCAAACTCCTGGGCTCAAGCGATCTGCACCCCCTTGACTTTCCAAAGTGCTGGGATTACAGGCACAAAACACCGCACCCAGCCTTCTTTTCTTTTATGAATATAGTGACAGATCTTGGTTGGTGTCTAGTCTCTTCTGGTTTGCTGTGTGACTCTGCACTAGTCACTTGGCCTCTCCGGGCCATAGTTTTATCATCTGCCCTAAATGCCCTTTGAAAAGTTTCTTTGTAAATGGGGTGTTTGGGGCGTGCTACAGGCTGCCGATGGACCAGCATCGTGGTGGTGGTGGGCTCTCAGCTCTTCCTTCACCTGGCTGAGTTCACTATTGTGTCTGAGCCCGGGACCATGGGAGGCTCTGATGCCAGTTTCCTGAGGCTGGGACCCAACCGAAGCCTCCACTTAGGGATCAATCAGGGAGGGCTTCCTGTAGGAGTTGATGCCAGAGTGGGCCCTGGTGAGGCTGGGGAAACACCTTTCCCGGCAGGACGATCAGCCATTGCAAAGACCAGAAGGCAGCTGTAGGACAGTGGGAGTCTCAGAGGGACAGAGGTAGGGCATAGAGTCAGGGACGTCTGAGCGTGGCCCAGTCACTCTGCCTCAGGGTTTAGTTTTGGGCTGGGAAGGAGCTGGAAGGGCTCATTGTGGTCAGAGTTGGGGCACCCCAGGGCATGGCAAGGGCATCTGCCAGACCTGGGTTCCAACCCTGCCTTGGCCATCCACCCCCATGTGACCTTGGGCTTTGAGCCCATCTTCCTCGTTGGTAAAACGTCTAATAGACATGTTGGGAGGAGTAAATTAAAGCAGCTCCTTGCTCCTGGTACAGTTGGGGTCTGCCCCTTGCCCCCTTGGTTTTGGGGTAGTGGCACCCTTGAGCCTTCTCACTCTCACACGGGGCCCTAAAAACCACTACCCCCAAACTGAGGGAGAAAACGCCTAGGCGAGGAACTATCCTGGAAGGATGTGAAGAGGAACTATCCTGGAAGGATGTAAGTGAGGGTGCACCCTCACTTAGGGAGCACCGCCTGGGCCAGGCCTTCTGCCTGGCACTCAGCATGCCACCCTCCCTTACTCCGTGGACTGGGATTCTCCTGGGTGGCCCCTCCCTCCCCACGGTTGATTCCTATTCGTCCACTTTGTCCTGCGTCCCAGAGGCATGGACAGGCCGTGCACTCCAGGTCTCCTGCTGAGGGACCGGAGAGGCCCCTGGGACCACGGGAGCTGCCGAGGGCTAAGGATGCCAGGGGTGGGGAGGGAGGGTGGTGGAAGGGTTCCCGGGTGCGTGTTTGAGCTTTGGGGCGAGGCTGGGGCCCGGGGAGTGAGGACCTGGGGAGTGGAGACCCGGTTGGTGGCAGCGCGGCCCCTCCGGTCTATCCCGATCCTCGTTAGCGCGGCGCCACCTAGCGGCGCCCGGGGGAAGCGGCGGCTCGACCTCGTCCAGAGCGCCTCGTGGGGTCCGGAGTTCCCCGTGCTTCTGCTGCGCCCTCGGGGAGCGAACGACGGGCAGGGGGGACAGGAAGGGGCCGCCCTGGCCTCGGCCAGAGGAGCAGGAGGCGAGGGCAAGGCTGTAACTCCTGACACCTAAGGGCCTGGATGCCCGGGGGAAGAGGCGGGAGGAACGAAGTCAGGGCTGACTCAGCCCTGACCTTGGACCTGACCTTGACCCCAGGCCCTGTAGTTTGCTTCCTTAACCCCAGTTTCCATGAACAGAAGCCTCCACTTAGTCCCATCAGGGAGGTCAAGGGGGAGGCAAGAGAGGAGGGATGTCCAGCCTGGGCAGGGAAGAAGGTCAGCCCTGGGAGTGCAGCAGGGGGGTGGCGGGGGCTGGGTAGGGTGGGCTCAGGGTGCACTGGGAGGGACAGGGGACAGGAGGCACAGGCTGTGGGTCGCAGGCCCAGGATGGGCTGCGGGGTGGGACCTGTGGCAGAGGATCCCAGAAGGCAGTGAGGCCAGGGCTGCAGGGTCTCCTGTCCACCCAATAGGACCCCACCCTGGTTCCTTACAAGTAGGAGGTCCCCAAGCCATTGCCCATATCCTGACCCCCTGTCCTGCAAGCCACAGCCTCTTCCTCCCTCCCCTGTCACTGAAGGACCAACCAGGAATACAGTGTTTAAGTCAAGCAGAATGGACACATCTTTAGGGAGCCCAACGGTGGGGTGCCAGGGTCTGAATGGCGCTGTGTGTAGGGGGGTTATATGCTCGGCTCCCAAGCCTGGGGCAGGTCATTCTGGCTCTGCCCAGATTCCACGCTGACTTTGGGCAGACCAGCATCTTCCCCAGCAAAAGGCCCTGTGGCATGGGGAAATTCCTGCGCATGAAGCTGGAGATGCACGGTCTATGGGTGAGTGGACCCCAGTACTACGGTGGAACCCCCAATACTGCAGGGGCACCTCAGTGCAAGGCAAGGCCGTGCACACCTGTCGTAGGACACTGAGAGACATTAGCGTAGTGATGATGCCTATGTGTGTATGTGTGTGGTCTATGTGAGTACAGCTCTGTGTGTTAGTGTATGTGTGTGCATCTGGTGTGTGACTACATGTCTGTGTGTGCGTGTTTGTGTGTGTCTCTGTGTGTTAGTGTGTGTATTCATTTGAATGTGTAAATACATGTCTGTGTGTAAGTGTGACTCTGTGTGAATGTCTGTGTGTGTCTTTGCGTTAGTGTGTATGTGAATGCATGTCTGTGTGTGCCTGTGAGTATGTATCTGTATGTCAGTGAGTGTATATGTGAATGCATGTCTGTGTGTGTACGACTGTAGTGTGTGTGTGTGAATGTGTGTCTGTGTGACTAGGGGGTTGGAGGGTGTGAGTGGAGCTCTGGGCAGAGTGGTCCCTGTGGCTGTACAATTTGGAAAATGCCCTCTATGCCCTGCCCACCTCCCTGGGGCAGGGGGTGCCGTCCTATTTCCCTGGTGAAGCCTGCAAATTCCTCCTGGTGTAGGGGGTCCCCTTCTCTCCTCTACCTCCCCTCCACGTCTTGCCCACAACCCACAGTCCTGCTCTTTGCAGATGCCCTCTTGGGCTGTGTCTGCTGAGGGGGGCTCGGGGCCACCCTACTTCGTGACTTCAGCCTGAGAATCTTTTTATTTATTTATTTTATTATTTTTTTTTCTGAGACTGAGTCTCACTCTGTTGCCCAGGTTGTAGTGCAGTGGCATGATCTCGGCTCACTGCAGCCTCTGCCTCCCGGGTTCAAGCAATTGTCCCGCCTCAGTCTCCCGAGTAGCTGGAATTACAGGCATGCGCCACCATGCCCAGCTAATTTTTGTATTTTTAGTAGAGACGGGGTTTTGCCATGTTGGCCAGGCTGATCTTGAACTCCTGACCTCAGGTGATCCATCTGCCTTGGCCTCCCAAAGTGCTGGGATTACAGGCATGAGCCACTGTGCCTGGCCCAGCCTGAGTCTTGTATAAGGAGATTCAGGTGGAAAACAACGAGGACATAAAGCTATGTGGTGGTGCTTTAAAAATCAAAATGTGGGCCTGGCGCGGTGGCTCATGTCTGTGATCCCAGCACTTTGGGAGGCCGAGGGGGGCGGATCACCTGAGGTCAGGAGTTTGAGACCAGCGTGAGTAACATACCAAAACCCTAGCTGTACAAAAAATTTAAAAAATCAGCCGGATGTGGTGGCACGTGCCTGTGGTCCCAGCTACTTAGGAGGCTGAGGCAGGAGAATGACTTGAGCCCTGGAAGTCAAGGCTATAGTGAGCTGTGGTTGCGCCACTGCATTCCAGCCTGGGCCACAGAGTGAGAACCCCATTTCTAAATAGATAAATAAATAATAAGAAAAAGCCAGGTGTGGCCGGGAGTGCTGGCTCACCCCTGTAATCCTGGCACTTTGGGAGGCTGAGATGGAAGGTCAGGTGTTTGAGATCAGCCTGCCCAACATGGTGAGACTCCATCTCTATTAAAATACAAACATTAGGTGGGTGTGGTGACGGGCACCTGTAATCCCAGCTATTCAGGAGGCTGAGGCAGGAGAATCACCTGAACCTAGGAGGCGGAGGTTGCAGTGAGCCAAGATTGCGCCACTACACTCCAGCCTGGGCCATACAGCGGGACTCTGTCTTAAACAAACAAATAATTAATTAATTAATTAATTAAATGAAAAAGCCAGGTGCATGAGGATTCTCGTGTTTTTTTTCTGCTGTGTCTGGGGCCTGGAGAAGTCCAGAACGTGCGGCTCCAGAACCGAACAAGGAGAAATAGAGACCTGGTTTCTCAGTGGGAATCTTGGATCCTTAAGGTTCCCTCGCTGTTCGTTTTTTTGTTGTTGTTTTGTTTTGTTTTGTTTTTTGTTTGTTTGTTTTTTGAGATGGAGTCTCACTCTGTTGCCCAGGCTAGAGTGCAGTGGTGTGATCTTGGCTCACTGCAGCCTCTGCTTCCTGGGTTCAAGCGATTCTCCTGTCTCAGCTTCCCGAGTAGCTGGGATTACAGGTGTGTGCCACCATGCCCGGCTAATTTTTGTATTTTTAGTTAGTGATGGGGTTTTGCCATGCTGGCCAGGCTGGTCTCAAATTCCTGGTCTCAGGTGATCCAGCCATCTCTGCCTCCCAAAGTGCTGGGATTACAGGCGTGAGCCACTGTGCCCAGTCACCTTTGGTTTTTTGACCATGCTTGGAGTCTGTTTTCTGGAGAAGAGGAAGCACATTGGCCCGATTTCTATCTTGAAATGACAGGGCTTGGGGACACTGAAGGATGCTGCATAGAAATTTGACCAATGTTTTTTGCCCTTTTGTCATGCCAGTCAGGGTGCAGATGGCCACAGTTGGGAGGGAGGGGAAGTCCCCTTCCTATGTGTGAGCCTACAGCATGCGCGGCTGTCTATGCCCTGAACTCCTTCAGCTTCTCGGCTTCTCAGCAGCCCCCTGGGTGTAGGGGCAGGGCTGAGCCTCTGGGAGGTTATAAACCCTCCTCGATCAAGGTCCCTCCATTTGTAAGTGATACAGGTGGGATTCGAATCCAGGCTAGACCGACCCCAAGGCTGTGCACCTGCCGAAAGGCACGAGCTCAGACCCACACCAAGGGGACGGTGGGGCCTGGGTGTGCCTCAGGGTGGGCACCGCTGGCGCCCGCTGCCTAGAAGCCTGGCTGTTGCTCCCCGGGGCTGTGAGAGCTGGCCTTCAAGGTCATGGTGGACAGTTATTCTGTGCTTGAATTTTGGGTTCAGCGTTTAGGCAGACGTCTGGCCACTCTGAGAACCGTCCCCAGGTGTCATCATTCCTGGGGCCACATGGAGCCCTGACCTGTGCCCCACTTGGGATTGCATTTGTCTCCATTGTCTGGCCTGGGAGGCGGGCACAGGGCTCTGGCAGGCTCTGACGACCTGCAGCTGTGCGGTAGGGCTTGGGTGGTGGGACTCCAGCTTCTCCTCCAGCTTTCTCTCTTTCTCAGCTTCCTCTCCTGCCAGGTGGTTTAGCAACAGGATCAGGTGAGCTTGAAACCAGCCTGGCGGCTGCGGGTGTCTCTGCCCTCTGTGCTCCAGCCAGTCATCGGTCCCACCTAGACACCTAGACCCAGTTCCTGCTTTTCTCTGTCCTTTATTTATTTATTTATTTGTTTGTTTATTTATTTATTTATTTATTTATTTTTGAGACTGAGTCTCGCTCTGTCGCCCAGGCTGGAGTGCAGTGGCGCGATCTCGGCTCAGTGCAACTCCGCCTCCCAGGTTCATGCCATTCTCCTGCCTCAGCCTCCGGAGTAGCTGGGACTACAGGCTCCCGCCAACACGCCCGGCTAATTTTTTGTATTTTTAGTAGAGACGGGGTTTCACTGTGTTAGCCAAGATGGTCTCGATCTCCTGACCTTGTGATCCCCCCGCCTATTTATTTATTTTTGAGACAGGGTCTCTCTCTGTTGCCAGGCTGGACTGCAGTGGTGTGATCACAGCTCACTGCAGCCTCCAATTCCTGGGCTCAAGGGATCCTCTCGCCTCAGCCTCTCAAGTAGCTGGGACCACAGGCACGCACCACCATGTTTAGCTAATTTTTTAATTTTAATTTTTATAGCGATGGGGTTCTACCTATGTTTCCCAGGCTGGTCTTGAACTCCTTGGGCTCAAGTGATCCTCCCACCTCGGCCTTCCAAAGTGCTGGGATTACAGGCATGAGCCACCATGCCCGGATGTCCAGCCTTCTTGCTCTTTAAAATATTTTTTTTTTTTGAGACAGAGTCTTTCTCTGTCACCCAGGCTGGAGTGCTGTGGCTTGAGCATAGCTCACTGCAGCCTCAAACTCCTGGGCTCAAGCGATCCTCCTGCCTCAGCCTCCAGAGTAGCTGGGCTATACTATAGATGCTCACCACCATGCTTAGCTAATTTAATTTTTTTTTTTTTGAGACAAGGGTCTTTCTGTGTTCTCCAGGCTGGTCTCAGACTCCTAGCCTCAAGTGATCCTCCCACCTCAGCCTCCCAAAGTGCTGCAAGAATGAGCCACCTTGCCCAATCCCAGTTCTTTACAAAGTGATTTCCTGCCCATCCTTGGCTTGAGTCCTTCATTGGTCAGCATTTAAAAATTGAGACTGATATTAGTGTCAAAAGACAGGTAGGGAAACTGAGGCATGGGGAGGAAAATGATGTACCTGAGGATGCACAGAAATTGCTGGGCGAGTTGGGCCAAAACGTGGAGCCCTGGATAGTGCCCTTTCGCTGGATTCCTGGATGAGGAGTCTGGGGACATCTCTTGTCTTTATCGAGTGACCTCCTCTGAATGGTTTTGTATTTTATTTTATTTTTTGAGACGGAGTCTCACTCTGTCGCCCAGGCTGGAGTGCAGTGACACTATCTTGGCTCTCTGCAACCTCCACCTCCCAGGTTCAAGTGATTCTCCTGCCTCAGCCTCTCGAGTAGCTGGGATTACAGGTGTGCACCACCACACCTGGCTAATTTTTGTATTTTTAGTAGAGGCGTGGTTTCACCATGTTGGCCAGGCTGATCTTGAGCTCCTGACCTCAAGTGATCTGTCTGCCTCGGCCTCCCAAAGTCCTGGGATTGCAGGTGTGAGCCACCGCGCCTGGCCTCTGAATGGTTTTAGATTTCACCATGTGTGAGCATAGGGATGATGGTGATATATAAATATACGTAACATATTTTAAAGACAACATAGAAGTTTGTTTCTCTTGCATATAATAGTCTGATGACAAACAATCCAGGGCTTCCACGGCAGCTCCACAATCTCAAGGAACCATTTTCCGTTTTCCTTGTATCTTGCTGGGTTTTCTTGTCTTGCTCAGTAGGTGACTTCTATCTTTGGGTCCAATATGGCTGCTTCAGCTCCCGCCATCGCTTCTGTAACCCACCCAGTGGCAAGGGGGAAAGAGGAAAAGTGTGTGCCTTTCCTTTTCCCCCACCCCCTAGTTTAAAAAAATCAGATGGACTGGATGCGGTGGCTGATGCCTGTAATGCCAGCACTTTGGGAGGCCAAGGCAGGTGGATCACCTGAGGTCAGGAGTTCGAGATCAGCCTGGCCAACATGGCGAAGCCCCATCTCTACTAAAAATGCAAAAAATTAGCTGGGCATGGTGGTGCACGCCTGTAATCCCAGCTACTCAGGAGGCCGAGGCAGGAGAATCGCTTGAACCCAGGAGGTGGAGGTTACAGTGAGCGGAGATCACACCATTGCACTCCAGCCTGGGCAACAAGAGCTAAACTCCATCTCAGGAAAAAAAAAAAAAAATTCAGATGATGCAGCCTGGGCAGCATGGTGAGACTCCATCTCTACTAAAAATACAAAAAAATTAGCCAGGCATGGAGGTACTTACCTGTAGTCCCAGCTGCTCAGCAGGCTGAGGCGGGAGGATTGCTTGAGCCAGGGAGGTCAAGGCTGCAGTGAGCTATGATCGTGCCACTGCACTCCAGCCTGAGTGACAGAGGAACACCTTGTCTCAAACCAAACCAAACAAAACAAACCCAAAAAACAACCATCAGATGAAGATATTTTAGAGAAGAGATTAAGGCTCAGAGAGGTTAAGTGCTTTGTGCAATGTCACACAGCATGTGAATGACAAGGCTGGGCCTCTTGGGTCTGCTGACCCTAGGACTTAGCTTGAGCTATGTGTGCTGTTTTCAGGAGAAGCTATGGCCGTATACAGGGCACAGGGATGGGGAGGGGGGCTGTACCCAGTGTTCCCCCCACCCCCGAGCAGACAGAGAAATCCATCTGGGGCCTCCACTCCTGGGAGCCGGGCCAGGAATTTTCCCCACAGCCTAGGAGAGGTCACATTAGTAATCTGCCTGTCCTTCCCTTCTCTTCCCAGGAGCTTTAAGATGCTGGGAAAATAGGAATGACTTAGTAATGAGTTACTTTAATTGGATTTTCCCCCAGTATTGGTATGCAGAGGTTATCGTTGAATGATTTACTGAGTAGCCCATGCCAGAGTTCAGCTGTGGTGCAGGCGTGTGTGTATGTGTGTGTGCATGTGCGTGCCTGGTGTGAGTGCACAGACACGCACTTCTGTACAGATATATGTCTGTGTGCATGCGTGTGTATCCTGCACTTTCAGAAGGGCCTCAAACAGCTCTTTATCCAGTGGGCACTTCTGCCTCCACCCCTCTGTCCCCGCCTCCCGCAGGAGGGAAGCCAGGAGGGGGACGGCTGGCAACGGGGCACAGCGAGGAGCTGTGTCTGGGATGGTGTGTGTTGTCACTGGCAGCCAGTCATATGAGTCACCGGCCAAATTAACTCAAGTTTCCTTTGGGGAAAAATGTAATCAGTTATTGCATTCTGGTTCATTTTAGCAAATTAACTCGTTCAGTTTTTTATTTTTATTTCTTTTTAATTTTGGGGGTGGCAGTGGTGGCTACAGCTGGGGAGGGGGTTGGTGGAGGCCTGAGTGAGTGGAGGCAGCTGTGTGTGCATGTGTGTGTGAGTGTGTGCGTGTGTTCACGTGTGTCTGCGCACGTGTGTGCACACATGTGTCCGTGTGTGCGTGTATGCATGTGTGTGTTTGTGTGTGCATGTGTGTCCACGTGTGTGTGCGTGCGTGTGTGTGTGCATGTGCGTGTGTCTGCACGTGTGAGTGTGTAAAGGCCCTAAGGGTACTCGAGGACCGGCTTCCAGAGAAGGTGGGTCAGGGCCGAGCCTAGGACAGGGGCTGCTGTCCTGGGGCCCGACATGACCTCATGTCCTGCTCAGACCTGCAGGTGGAAACACCCCTTTGAAGAAGGACTTTGCTGCCCACAAAGCATATTCCCTCGACACTCTTGTGCCCACTAACCAGGAGGGCATGGTAGCTGGGCTGTGCCCAAGTGAGGGGGGCTCCTGGGGCCTGAGTGGGCCTCGTGGGACATATTGCCTCCTCGCCACAAGGCGCCGGTCTGGAAGATTCCACCAGGCCTGTCTGTGTGTGAATGATCCCACTGTTGTGGTTCCCAAGGCACCGATGGGCTCAGTCCTCCAGCCTGGGGTTTTTATGTTTGCTCTTGCATTTCATTCTTACTTCTAGCCCTAAGGTAGGTACCGCAAACCCTGTTTTACCCCCTGAGCATGGGAATCTCACCCAAGTTCACACAGTGACCCCGGGCCCTGCTCCCTTCGCCTCTCAGTAGGGCCCTGTATCTTCCCCGCCTCAAATGGTTGGGGGTACAAAAGGCATTTTATTTTATTTTATTTTTGAGAAGGGGTTTGGCTCTCTTTGCCCAGGCCGGAGTTCAATGGCATGATCTCGGCTCACTGCAACCTCTGCCTCCTGGGTTCAAGCAATTCTCCTGCCTCAGCCTCCTGAGTAGCTGGGATTATAGGTGTGCACCACCACGCCCAGCTAAATGTTTTTGTATTTTTAGTAGAGATGGGGTTTCGTCATGTTGGCCAGGCTGGTCTCGAACTCCTGGCCTCAGGTGATCTGCCCACCTTGGCCTCCCAAAGTGTTGGGATTACAGGCATGAGCCATTGCTCCCGGCCAGCATTTGATCTTAAAGAGTTGGCTAGGTGCCAGGGCTCATGTCTGTAACCCCAATGCTATGGGAGGCCGAGGTGGGAGGATCAGTTGAGGCTGGGAGTTCAAGACCAGCCTGGGCAACATTGTGAGACCCCATCCCTAGAGAAAATTTAAAAAATTAGCCATATGTGGTGGCACATGCCTGTAGCGTAGTCTCAGCTACTCGGGAGGCTGAGGCGGGAGGATCGTTTGAGCCCAGGAATTTGAGGCTGCAGTGAGCTATGATAGCGCCACTGCATTCCAGCCTGGGCAGCAATCAAGACCCCTGCCTCTGTGAAAAATAAAAAGAGCTAGGTGTGGTGGCACACACCTGTAGTCCCAGTTACTCGGGAGGCTGAGGCAGGAGGATTGCTTGAGCCCAGGAGTTGGAAGCTGCAGTGAGCTATCATGGTCCACTGCACTCCAGCCTGGATGACAGGTTGAGACCCTGTCTCTTAAAAAATGATCATAATAAAATAAAATAAAGAGCCATACCAAGCCAATGAGCCTGAGGGTGGCCAGTGGTTCCGATCCTGGGGGCTTCCCTTGGGTGGTGGTGAGGGACTGTGGCCTTGTGGGCCTCCCCGCCGACCAGGCGATGTCTGCTTCTGGTTGGGGTCTTGGTGCACTTTTTCTCTCCTGGAAGGTCCCCTCCTCTCTCTGTATCAGGCCCCATCCAGGCCCTTAGCAGCCTAACTTCTGCCTTCCCTGAGAGCCTTCGAGACCTTCCCTAGCTCATGCGCCCTCCCCGCAACTTCTCCCACCTTTCCATGCCCCACTCCGCCGTGCCCTGGTCCTGCTGACCGTGGCTGCTAGATTGGGATCCACTGTGGGGAAGGAGAAGAGCCCCAGCCTGCATGTAGGGTGGTATGGGCCACCCCACTGGAGTCATGAGTCTGAGCAGGGGGTCTGTGGGATGGGGGCCGGGGCAGGTGGTGCTGTGTTCATTTTGAACACGACAGTGCCAGGAAGACCCCACCAGCGCCCTGTCCTTCCTTGGTTTGTCCCCAGATACCACACAGCCCCCAGACAGCTGGGCTGGGCCTTGATCCCAGAAGTGTCTTCTGAGTCTCCTGAGCCCTTCGGCCCAGCGCCCAGCGGCTTTCATTTCTGCTGGTGATTCACTGACCTCAGTGCTGCCACGGTATTGCCTTGGGACAGTCTCTCTCCAGCTGGGACCTGGGATTCCCACGCCTTAGGTGGGAACAATAGTAGGGAATAGTTTAAATAAATTAAAGTTCATTCATACTGTCCTACAGGGATATATACATATGTATGTGTATAGATATTTATGCATATGTAACCGTCCATCCACACACATGGACGCCAATGGTAATTGGAGTACCTCTGGGTCATGGAGTTACCAGTGATTTCTATTTTGTTTCTTTTTCTCTCTCTCTTTTCTTGGAGACAGGGTCCCACTCTGTCGCCCAAGCTGAAGTGCAGTGGTACAAACTCAGCTCACTGCAGCCTCAAACTCCTGGCCTCAAGCAATCCTCCCACCTTAGCCTCCCAAGTAGCTAGGACCACAGGCACTTACCACCACACCCGGCTAATTATTAAAATTGTTTTTGTGGAGAAGGGGTCTTGCTATGTTGCCCAGGCTGGTCTCAAACTCCTGAGCTCAAGTGATCCTCCCATCTCAGCCTCCCCAGTAGCTGGGACTACAGGCGTGCTCTGCCACGCCTGGTTCATTTTTCTATATTTTGTAGAGATGGCTGGAGACGGAGGTCTTGCTGTGTTGTCCAGGCTGGTCTCAAACTCACGGGCTCAAGCGAGCCTCCCATCTCAGCCTCCCCAGCAGCTTGGACTACAGGTGCACTCCGCCATGCCTGACTCATGTTTCTATATTTTGTAGAGATGGTTGGAGCGGGGAGGTCTTGCTGTGGTGCCCAGGCTGGTCTTGAACTCCTGGGCTCAAGCAATCCTCCTGTCTTGGTCTCCCAAAGTGCTAGGATGACAGGCATGAGTCACCGTCCCCGGCTGAGACCATTTCCTCTTGTGCTTCCACATCACGGGGCTGGCAGCTTTGGTGATGATGAGATGGTGCCTCGTAGAAGATTGTGATGCTGTTGACATTGGACACCCATACTTTGGAGCGGACTTCACCTGTGTCTGCTGTGGTGGCGTCCTCCATGAGGTGGGCAGTGTGGCCAACCCTTGAGGGTCCTAGTAGCTCAGGGGGCTGCAGTGCCTTACAACAGGAGAGGGAGAGCCTCAGGGGCCCACTGCAGCCAAGCTGGAGTTTCCAGGGCATCTGTGAGTCCTCCCTGGGTTCCTGGCATAACCTGGGAGGATCTGGGAGGGAACACAGGGACCTCCTCCTGCAGAACTGCGGGCTTTCAGGGGCACAAGCCCGGCCTGAGGATTGGATGGGGGAGGAAGATACATCTGCACACATGCGCACGCACACCATGGCAGGGTGGGGCTGAAACCGCCCAAGGGGTTCACCTTGCCCTCTCTAGATAGAGCCGATTCATCAAGACAGGTAATTGCAATAGAGAAAGAGTAATTCACGCAGAGCCGGCTGTGCCGGAGACCGGAGTTTTATTATTACTCAAATTAGTCTCCCTGAGCATTTGGGGAGCAGAGTTTTTAAGGACAACTTGGTGGGTGAGGGGAAGCCAGTGAGCCAGGAGTGCTGATTGGTCAGGGATAAAATCAAAGGGAGTGGAAGCTGTCTTCTTGTACATGTTTATACTCTGTTTTAATTACATGCAAATGAAGAGGTGGAGTATTCAGAAATTTATAGAAAGGGGGTGGTAACTTCCGGATGTTGTAGCAAAGGGAAACTGACATGGTGCTGGTGGGCGTGTCTTATGGAGAGGGGCTTTGCTGCTGCTTCCCTGTTTCAGCCAGTCCTCAATCTGGTCCTAAGTCAAGCCCCACCTCCTACCTCATATCTACATACATATTACAAAATCAATATAGGGCTGAGCACGGTGGCTCACGCCTGTAATCCCAGCAGTTTGGGAGACCGAGGTGAGCAGCTCACCTGAGGCCAGGAGTTCGAGACCAGCATGGTCAACACAGTGAAACCCTGTCTCTACTAAAAATACAAAAATTAGCTGGGGAGTGAGTCTGCTCACCCAATAGCCTCTGGGAAGCCCTTCTCAACTCGCTCTCTCATGACAAGCCCTACCCCTGTTATAAAGGGGGGATAACAGATTTTTTTTTAACCGTCTGGTTGTGACTGTTGTTTGGCATTTGATGGAGATTTCCTAAGAAACCAGGGAGGCCCTGGGTTGTGCAAACCTGGCAGTTTGCTGGGTCTGGGGCCTCTCTGGGCTGTCCCTCCAGGCGAGGCTGGGGCCAGGGGATGGGGCCAGGTGACTTCCTATGACCTCACCTAGCCCAGACATTATTTTCTCTCCCTCTAGATGGTTTTCCCAATCGCCGGGTGAATCTGAGTGAGACTGTCTATTCTTTCGACGACTACCTTTCAACTCAAGTTATGGTTTTATAAATAATATATATGGCAAGTCGGTGCTGGGGAAAGGACGTTCATTCCGCTCTGAAATATTTATGGCCTGGAGTGTCTGCTTACTTTTCCTTGGAGTCATTTTTTAGCACGGCCTGTTGGAGAGTACGACAGCCCAGGGCATCTTCTGAGGCCACTGCATCAAGAGCCCTTCCAGGCGGGCTGCAGGGTTTATTCATCCTGCGGATGTCAGGGGTGGAGGGAGATGGCAGCTCTGCCCGGGGATCACTCCCAAACCCAGAACTCCTAAATTATATCAGGGAGGGCTCTGAGCCGGTGACAAGAATCAGCGCCGCTGCCTTTGAAACAGATGTCACTTTCCAGCATGCAGTTTGAATAATAACATGCACTCCTCCGGCCTTCTCAGATAGGAACTATCCTGTGAGGTGGGCATTATAACCCTCATTTTGCAAATGGGGAAACTGAGGTTCAGAGAGGTTAAGA
This sequence comes from Homo sapiens, assembly GCF_000001405.40. Lineage (NCBI taxonomy): Eukaryota > Metazoa > Chordata > Mammalia > Primates > Hominidae > Homo > Homo sapiens. The sequence continues at coordinate 101,676,062 of NC_000007.14, read as the reverse complement.
AATGCCTCAAGGTCATGCCGTCACCAAGTAGGAGAGCCTGGATTGTCACCCAGCCGGGCAGACCCCTCATCTCAATCTTTTCTGCTACACTAAGCTGCTGCCCACCCTGGCCCCATCACTCAGTGGTAGCTAGGGGCCAGAAAATGGATTTAAATTATTTTTTTTATTTTTTTGAGATGGAGTTTTGCTCTTGTTGCCCAGGCTGGAGTGCAATGACATGATCTTGGCTCGCTGTAACTTCCGCCTCCCGGGTTCAAGTGATTCTCCTGCCTCAGCCTCCCAAGTATCTGGGATTATAGGCATGCACCACCATGCCCAGCAAATTTTTGTATTTGTAGTAGAGACGGGGTTTTGCCTTGTTGGCCAGGCTGGTCTCGAACTCCTGGCCTTGCGATCCACCCACATTGTCCTCCCAAAGTGCTGGGATTACAGGCGTGAGCCACCACGTCCGGCTGGATTTATTTTTATTTTATTAATATTTCATTTTATTTTATTTGAGACAGTGTCTCACTCTGTTGCTCAGGCTGGAGCACAGTGGTGTGATCGCAGCTCACTGCATCCTTGACCTGCTGGGCTCAAGTGATCCTCCTGCCTCAGCCTCCTAAATAGCTGGGACTACAGACGTGCACCACCACGCCCAGCTAATTTTTATTTTTATTTTTTGTAGAGATGCGGTTTTGCCATGCTGCCCAGACTGGTCTTAAATTCCTAGGCTCAAGTGATCCTCCTGCCTTGGCCTCCCAAAGTGCTGGGTTTACCAGTGTGAACTACTGCACCCAGCCAGAGAATGGATTCAGATCAGCTTCCATTGCAGTGTCTGCCTGTTTGCAATTGTTTGAACTTCAGAGGAGTGGAATCTGGGGGAGAACAGGCTACACTGAACATCTGGGCTGAAATCCCAATCCCAAGGCAATGGTTATATTCCTGGATGTGCAGAAGGGGGTCGGATGAGAGTCTGAAGCATGGTGGTGCTGGGAGGGCCCATAGAGTCATCTTGTCTGACTTTCTGTGATCCAGGTAGGAGATTAAGACTCTGATAAGGGAGGAACCTGCCCAAGAGTATGAAGGTAGCTGGAGCTCCTTGATCATAATGGTGGCTCTTGGAGTCCAGCCATCTGGTCAACCTCTCTGTCTCCATAAACCCCCTTTCTTCCAGAAGAAAACCAAGACTTGGGAGGGGAGGAGCTTGTTTAGAGTTCCTGGGTGGATGGATAGAGAGCTGTGCATGTCCTTGGTCTGGCTGGAAATCCACGAAAGAGTTCAATCATTTGGAGGCTGTGGCTTGAGGAAAAAAATTGTGGATCTTTCTGAACTAGCTGAAAAACAGAGTGGGCTATAGTCAATACTGTATATGTGTATATATATATATTATATATGTTTATAAAGATAAATTCATATTTATATTATATTTTATGACATATTTATAATATAATTATATAATACAAATAAATATATAATATAAATATAAATATGATATAAATATATTTGCAATAGGGTCTTTGTTGCCCAGGCTGGAGTGCAGTGGTGTGATCATAGCTCCCTGCAGCCTCGACCTCCTGGAGTCAAATGATCCTCCCACCTCAGCCTCCTGAGTAGCTGGGGCTATTGGTGTGCACTAACACGCCAATCTTTTTTATAGAGATGGGTTCTTGCCATGTTGCCCAGGCTGGTCTGGAACCCCTGGCCTCAAGAGATCCTCCTGCCTCAGCCTCCCAAAGCATTTGGATTACAGGCCTGTTATCAAATATGCAGATATTGAATCAGTGATTTGGATTGAATACTGAGGACGGGAATATCTTGCACTGTTTCTCCACCTGGAAGGATCATTTCCTATAGGAAAGATAGTTGGTGAGCACAGGGGCTGAGTCATCTCTGTGGCAGGTGACAGAACAATTGTGAAATAAATGGATGATGGTGCTTGTGGAAAAGCCCAGCTCAGTCCTAGCTGGAGGGAAGAGTCAGGCCACCTGTTCTCTGTTGTCCCACCCTGGACCTGCCCACCCTTGTCATGGATAGTAACCAGAGAGGGCCCCAATAAACCATGCCTCTTAGTTTTCTTTTTTTTTGAGACGGAGTCTGGCTCTGTCGCCCAGGCTGGAGTGCAGTGGCGCGATCTCGGCTCACTGCAAGCTCCACCTCTCGGGTTCACGCCATTCTCCTGCCTCAGCCTCCCGAGTAGCTGAGACTACAGGCCCCCGCCACCACACCCGGCTAATTTTTTGTATTTTTAGTAGAGACGGGGTTTCACCGTGTTAGCCAGGATGGTCTCGATCTCCTGACCTTGTGATCCACCCGCCTCTGCCTCCCAAAGTGCTGGGATTACAGGCGTGAGCCACCGCGCCCAGTCTGCCTCTTGGTTGTCATGCCCTTATATAATCCCCTCCCCTTGAATACATAGGGGCTGGCCCTGGGTATACCTCCAGTGGGCAGGACTGTGTGCCCTGCTAAGTCAGAAGTAGCCTTGCAGCTTCCACCTGGCTCTCTGGTAACACCTGTTCTAGGGGAAGCCAGCCACTGTGTAACAAGTCTGACTCCTCTGAGGTGGCCATGTTGGAAGGAAGCCCAAGGAGCCTCATGGAGAAGTCTGTCAGGGAGAGAGAGTGATCTGGCCAGGCCCTGGGTCTTCTAGCTGAGCCACCAGACATGTGAGTAAGGAGACCATCCTGGACTTCTAGTCAGATGACACTAGCCACTGATGCCATCTGACTGTAACTCCACAAGTGACCCCAGGCCAGAACCAACCACCCAGCTGAAACCAGTAAGCTCTATGAAACCATGAGGACGAGAATCATAAAATTTGTAAAGCCACAGTGCTTTGAGTGGCTTGTTAGGAAACAACAGATAACTAGCCTAGCACCTCACACTGCTGATGCCTCCTGGGTCTAGACCAGGACTTCAGGGTGATGTGGAGGTTTCAGTGCCAGCCTTCTCACAAACAGGACAGAATCTAGGCAGCTTTTCAGAGCCGAGACAGTCTGTGTTTCCTCTGAAACGTCCTCTCCATACCAGCTAGTAAGCTGCTGAGAGCACGTCCAGGCGTAACAGAAAGCCAGGCCTGGGCCAGGCACAGTGGCTCATGGCTATAATCCCAGCACTTTGGGAGGCCAAGGTGGGTGGATCACTTGAGGCCAGGAGTTCAAGACCAGCCTGGCCAACATGGTGAAACCCCATCTTTACGAAAAATACAAAAATTAGTCAGGTGTGGTGGCGCACACCTGTAGTCCCAGCTATTTGGGAGGCTGAGGCACGAGAATTGCTTGAACCCAGGAGGTGAGGTTGCAGTAAGCTGAGATCACGCCACTGCACTCCAGCCTGGGCAACAGAGTGAGACTCTGTAAGAAAGAAAGAAAGAGAGAGAGAGAAAGAAAGAAAAGAAAGAGAGAGAGAAAGGAAAGAAGGAAGGAAGGAAGAAGGGAAGGAAGGAAGAAGGGAAAGAAGGAAGGAAGGAAGAGAGGGAAGGAAGGAAGGAAGGAAGAAAAGAAAGGAAGAAAAATGGGGCCTGTGGAAGGAGGTCCTCACTGCCTCTTCTTCTGGACTCAGAACTTACCCCTGGCTTTGATTTCTGACTATCTACCAAAGAGTGAGGTTAGGAGGCCCCAGAGTATACTCAGGAAACCCACAATGGGTGAGAGCAGGGCTGCCTCTAGGCCCAGCACTGGGCAAACAGTTACTGGTTGAGACACAATGAACACAGAAATTGAGAGTAACGTCCAGGCACCCAGATGGAAATTCGACATTGCCTTGACATCTAAGCTTGTGATCCTCAAACACACGGGGGAATAGACCAGTTTGAGTTTTGTGAGCTTCTGAGCTGTGTCACATTTGATTTGAGCAGCATCCTGATTTTGTGCGGGTAGGCCACGTTTTGTGCATGATGGACAGCTAGTGTGAGAAGCAGAGTTTGAGCCTGCGCTGTGTGCGCACCTCCCTCTGGGAGGGGCCAGTCTGAGATCATATATGCCATTGGTGAGTGCAGTGTGGCTGGATCTTAATTCCCATGTTCGCTCCCCCTGACATCCCAGAGGCATTTGTGTAGTGCGCAGGCTGCACAACTGTCTATGGTAGCCATGAGTGGCTGCAATAAGACTTAAGCAGCCTAAATCTTTCCTTCCTTCCAAAGCTAGGCCTGTAGGGGCTCAAGGGTTGCCTCATAAAAGAAATCTGGTGTCCTGTCTTTTAAGGCAAACAGCTGGAAGATTCTAGGACCTTGCATGTCTATTTGTAAAACCAGCTGGTGACTTAGACTCTGGAAATCAGTGGCTTGAATTTCACTTAAAGGCACAAGACTGCAAGTAGCAAATTCATTTAGGCTAGGATTTTTAAAATATCTGAGGAGGAGTCAGAAAGCTCAGTGGACCCCAAGCACTAGCACTTCCAGAGGCCTGGAGCCAGCTGGCTGTGGCTGACTGGGAGGTGGCCCCCCTAGTCTGTTGCACCTGGGGCTGTTTGGGGGAAGTGCCAGATCTAGGTTGGGTCACTCTCAGCGGCTCCAGAGTTGTCCTTGGATATCTGGTTGCTCCAGGGTTAATTAAGTCTTGGCACACAACTCCAGCCAGTTCACCTCCCAGGAGGGCATCCCCACAGCCCGGGCAGGAGCCTCCAGTTGGAGGGAGCACTTCCCCTGGGGACCCCCTTATTGCCAAGCCTGCTGTGACCCAGCTTGCCTACAGCAGACCAGGGGTGGGTTTGCGGGTGGCAGGGAGCATCTGGCCCCGGCTCCTTTAAAGATTTTGATAACCTTGGTGAGATAATCGCTTTTAAAACTGGTTTTAATTTTTTTTTTTAATTTTTTTTTTTAGGCAGAGCTTCACTCGTTGCCCAGGCTGGAGTGCAATGACGCAATCTCAGCTCACTGCAACCTCCGCCTCTCAGGTTCAAGCAATTCTCATGCCTCAGCCTCCGAGTAGCTGGGATTACAGGCATGAGCCACCACGCTTGGCTAATTTTGTATTTTTAGTAGAGATGGGGTTTCACCATGTTGCCCAGGCTGGTATGGAACTCCTGACCTCAGGTGATCCACCCGCCTCGGCCTCCCAAAGTGCTGGGGTTACAGGCATGAGCCACTGCGCTCAGCCGTGATCAGGTTCTTTAAAGCAGGAGGCAGAAGAGGAGGTCAGCATTAGAAGATCTGAAGATGCTACCTTGCTGGCTGATACGGTCTGGCTTTGGGTCCCCATCCAAATCTCTCTTTCTCTTTTTCTTTTTTTTTTTTGACACGGAGTCTTGCTCTGTTGCCCAGGCTGGAGTGCAGTGGCGTGATCTCGGCTCACTGCAACCTCCGCCTCCCAGGTTCAAGTGATTCTCCTGCCTCAGCCTCCCGAGTAGCTGGGGCTACTGGCACATTCCACCATGCTTGGCTAATTTTTGTATTTTTAGTAGAGATGGGGTTTCACCATGTTGGCCAGGCTGATATTGAACTCCTGACCTCAGGTGATCTGCCTTCCTTGGCCTCCCAAAATGCTGGGATTACAGCTGTGAGCCACTGCGCCTGGCCCCAAATCTCATTTTTAATTGTAATCCCATAATCCCCTCCTGTTGTGGGAGGGACCTGGTGGGAGGTAATTGAATCATGGGGGCAGTTTCCCCCATGCTGTTCTCGTGATAGTGAGTGAGTCTCACGAGATCTGATGGTTTTATAAGCATCTGGCATTTCCTCTGCTGACACTCATTCTGTCTCCTGCCGCCCTGTGAAGAGTTGCCTTCCACCATGATTGTGAGCTTTCTGAGGCCTCCCCCGCCATGCGGAACTGTGAGTCAATTAAACCTCTTTTCTTTATAGATTACCCAGTCCCGGGTATTTCTTCATAGCAGCACGAGAAGGGACTAATACACTGGCTTGGAAGATGGAAGGGGACCACAGGCCAAGGAATGTGGGTAGTCTTATAAGATGGAAAATTAAGGCCGGGCATGGCATGGTGGCTCACTCCTGTAATCTCAGCACTTTGGGAGGCTGAGGCGGGTGGATCACCTGAGGTCAGGAGTTCGAGACCAGCCTGGCCAACATAGTGAAACTCTGTTTCTACTAAAAATACAAAAAAATTAGCCGGGCATGGTGGCGCACACCTGTAATCCCAGCTACTTGGAAGACTGAGGCAGGAGAATTGCTTGAACCCAGGAAGTGGAGTTACAGTGAGCTGAGATTGCCCCACTGCACTCCAGCCTGGGCAACAGAGCAAGATGCTGTCTCAAAAAAAAAATAAAGAAATACAAAATAAAAAAATAAAAGAAAAAGGAAAATTAAGAAAACAGATTATCTCCTCAAGCTTCCAGAAATCCACATAGTCCTGCCGACACCTTGAGTTCAGCTCTGTGAAACCCATCTCATACTTCTGACTGCCAGAATGATAAGATAATACATTTGTGTTGTTTTCAGCTGCTAAGTTTGTGATAACTTATTGCAGCACCAATAAGGAAAACAACAACAACAACAACAACAGGATTCAGAGAATCTTAGTAACTTGTTCAAGATAGCACAGCATTGAGATGCAATCCTAGGTGGGTCTGAGTCCAAAGCCTTGGCCTTTCCTCTGCTCCACACTGCCTCCTGCTGGCACTCAAGGTGCTCCCTCCACCTATGGAAAACACGCACATCCTGAGGGGTTTGGCTGTCTCAAAGGAGAAAAGATGCCTCTTGAAATTTGAAGAGATGCAGGTTCAAATCCCTACCACACCACTTGAAGAAGATACTTAATTTATCTGAGCCTCACTTTTCTCATGAATAAAAAGTGTGTGTGGTCTGGGCATGGTGGCTTACACCTGTGATCTCAGCAGTTTGGGAAGCTGAGGCAGGAGGATTGCTTGAGGCTAGGAATTTGAGACCCCATCTCTACAAAAAAGTTTTAAAAATAAGCCGGGCATGGTGGTGCATGCCTATAGTCCCAGGCACTCAGGAGGCTGAGGTGGAAGGATCACTTAAACCCAGGAGATTGAGGCTGCAGTGAGCTGTGATCACATCATTGCACTCCAGCCTGGGTGACAGAATGAGACTCCATCTCTTAAACACACACACACATACACACACACACACACACACACACACACACACGAGGGCCCTGCTGTCCAATCCATGGCAGTTCCCATTCTCATGAATTTGTAGCTGTTGTCCATTACTACTTAGCCTCATCCCAGCTGCTCTCCAGTCTTGAGCAGAATGCTTCTTTTTAACTCTCACTGAGTCTTTCTTGTGGATTCAGACACCTCCCAAGGCCAGAATGGTTCCAAAGGACTTTGGGTAGTTTGTCTTGTATTTGTCATGGTTTTACTCTGTCCATTTTGATATCAGCTGGCACCTTTCCCTTTCTTCCCTCCACACATGGGAGCTAAAGAGAGACACGACACTCAGGTCACACAGCGGGGAGAGCTTGGTGTCCCTCCCTGATACCTCAGAAAGCTTGTTAGCAAACACGAAGGGGCAGCCAGCACAGATTCACTAGTGGAATGTTACAGGGTTCTAGCCTGGATCTGGGTGTTGTCACTGATGAGGTGCCTCACAGAGATGAAGCCAGCAGATCAGATCTGCAGAATGTGCCAATTTCCTCGTGGGTTTCCAGGAACTGTGGTCAGGATGACAGTGCAGGGCACTTTCCTCACGGAGGCTGGGGGACCTGGTTTGAAGCTGCATTATCTCCTGCAGGGAACACACAACACCTCTGGGTGACCGATTTCCTTCACCTGGAATCTCAGGGTGCCCTTCCAATATATAGTACTTGTTGCAAGGAGGCTGCAGGTGTTTCCTTGCTAGGAAGCAGCTGACTGAGGTCTTCAGTGTTGGAAGGCCATTCAGCAGGTGAGCAGGACCTGGGTGGGGCTCAGGTTGGGTGCACTGGTGGAAGCACTGGGACAAGGGGGCCCCCTGCCTAGCAAGCTCCTCACTCAGGTGGGTGTCCGTGCACCCTTCCTGCTGCCCCTGTCAGGACAACCAGACTGAGAAGCTGGGGCAGCAGCCGTTCCTCTCTGCTTAGCCTCTGTTTGGAGGAACTTCTTCCTTGGAGGAACTTCCCCACCAAGAGTCCAGAGAAAGGGCTCCGTGTGACCTATTGTTCCCAGCTGGGCCCTGCACCCTTTCACTCTTTCACCCTTTCACTCTCTCTCTCTCTCTCAATCATTTGTGATAGGGTCTCACTCTGTCACCCAGGCTGGAGTGCAGTGGCACCATCATAGCTCACTGCAGCCTCGACCTCCCAGGCTCAAGTGATCCGCCCACCTCAGCCTCTTGAGTAGTTGGTACTACAGGCACGTGCCACTAGGCCCAGCTAATTAAAAAAGTTTTTTTGTAGAGACAGGGTCCTGCTACATTGCCCAGGCTGGTCTCAAACTTCTGCCTCAGCCTCCCAGAGTTTTGGGATTACAGCCGTGAGCTACTGCACCTGGTCTTCCTGCACCCTTTTGTCAAAAGCCACCTTCCCATTGAGGCCTTCCCTGGCCACCCTGACTCAACTTTCACCCTCTAACCCACCGCAGGCATTTCCTGTCCATATTCCCTGTTATTTTCCTCCTTAGCACTTAGCGCTATCTAACCTATTGTATGTTATTTTACTTATCTTGTTGATTGTGTATCTTTCTCCCTAGAATAGAAGCTCCAAGAGGATCAGGGCTTTGTCCATCTTGTTCCCTAAGGTGTCCCCAGCAACAAACACATTGCCTGGCACAAGGGATGCTCAAGACATCATGTTTATTGAATGAATGAATGAATGAGTGAATGCAAGCAGTGCTCTGTAAACACGATCCTACTTCTGGCCTGGCACGGTGGCTCATGCCTGTAATCCCAGCACTATGGGAGACCAAGGCAGGCGGATCACCTGAGGTCAGGAGTTCGAGACCAGCCTGGCCAACATGGTGAAACCCCGTCTCTACTAAAAATACAAAAATTAGCTGGACATGCTGGCACGTGCCTGTAATCCCAGCTACTCAGGAGGCTGAGGCAGGAGAATTGCTTGAATGTGGAAGGTGGACGTTGCAGTGGGCCAAGAGCGTGCCAATGCACTTCAGACTGGATGACAAGAGTGAAACTCCATCTCAAAACAAAAACAAAAACATGATCCTACTTCTGAGCAGTCAGAAGAGCTGGTCAGTTCAGGGATTGGTTTTCTCGCAGAGCCACCAGTGACAGAGGAATCTTGTTGGAGGCTGACTGAGGCAGCTGTGAGCTGAGGATTAGATGAGAACCAGATGTGTTCAGAACTCCATCTCCAACACCTCCCAGCTATGCAACTGGGACAGGTGACAGATTTTCCAGTTCCTGGAAATTTGGGATGACACAGCTGACCTCAGAAACATCAAGGGCTCTGAAGGGGTCCTCGGCCCCTGGAGACTTTCTGTTAGGGGGAGCTGAGGTTTTTTTTTTTTGGTGGGGGGACAGGGTCTTACTCTGTTGCCCAGACTAGAGTGCTGTGGTGCAATCATGGCTTACTACAGCCTCGTACTCCTGGGCTCAATGATCCTCCCTGCTCATCCTCCTGAGTAGCTGGGACTACAGACATGCACCATGCGCCCAGCTACTTTTTAAACTTTTTGTAGAAACAGGGTCTCGCTACATTGCCCAGGCTGGCCTCCAACTCCCAGGCTCAAGCAATCCTCCTGCTTCAGCCTCCCAAAGTGCTGGGGTTACAGGCAGGATCTGCAGCACCCGGTCGAGCTGAGGTTCTTGAGAGTGGAGAGGATACGTCTCCGTTCTCCAGTTCTGAAAGGACAGACCAGCCAGGAGCATGGGACAGGCGTGGGTAATAGGTCATGGTGCACAGGGTCTGGGGTCCCTGTGGGAAGGGAGAAGAGAGGAAGCAGGCCCTAGAAATCCCAAAAAGAAAAATGGCTCTAGAAGGCCAGGTCCCCCGGGATGCAGACTCTGGATGGAGGTTTTATGGTCATATGGCCTTGGGGTCAACACCTGCCGGGAGGAGGATGGCAGCAGGGGCCACAGAGGGAGGAGCAGGGCAGTTGTGACAAGAGCTCGGTCCACCCTCAGACCCTCCAAAGCTGGAGCCAGGCCAGCCAAGCTCTGCCCCCATCTGCACAGTTGCCCAAGAGGGGCCTGGCCTTGAGTGAGGTGCTGTCTTCCACAGAGAGCAATACCTGGTCACCTTCCCAGTGGGCAGGGGATGGGGGTTGATCCTTCAGACCTTACGGGGCCTTTGGGTCAACAGCACAGAGTGATTAAGATGGAGCATGCTGGGCGCGGTGGCGCACGCCTGTAATCCCAGCACTTTGGGAAGCCAAGGCGGGTGGATCACCTGAGGTTGGGAGTTCGAGACCAGCCTGACCAACATGGAGAAACCCCGTCTCTACTAAAAATGCAAAATTAGCTGGGCGTGGTGGTGCATGCCTGTAATCCCAGCTACTCAGGAGGCTGAGGCAAGAGAAGTGCATGAACCCAGGAGGCGGAGGTTGTGGTGAGCCGAGATCGTGCCACTGCGCTCCAGCCTGGGCAACAAGAGCAAAACTCCATCTCAAAAAAAAAAAAAAAAAAAAAAAAAAAAGACAGGGCTAACCTCAGCGCGTCCCCCTCCTGGCTCCACTGTGGTCCTCCAGCCTTTGAAATCTGTGACCAATAGTCACAGTCCTCTGTCCTTTCTCATTGTTGGCCCCCTGCCTCCCCTGTGGGCATCTACAGCATTCACATCCTCAGCTAGAATGGGAATGGCAGAGGAAGAGACAGGGGCCGGGCTAAGTGTGAGTGAGGCTAGCAGAGGAGGAAGAAAAGTATCAACGCTGAGAGCAGGAAGGTGAGAAAGGGCCTGAAGGTCAACGGGCAGAGGGTATGGTCAGAAGAGCAGAGGGTCTGCACTCTAGGCCTCCTGGCTCTGCTGTGTGGCCTTGGGAAATTCACCTCCCTCTCTGATCTTTTTCTTCTTTAGCTGAACAATGGGGGCTCGGGGCTCGGGGGAGCAGCAAATGATACGTGGATGAGGAAGATCCTTGTTGCCCATGAACATGGCCTCAGGGGGCCTCTGCGGGACTCTGGAGCCTTCGTGGCCTGCGTGTACAGGAGCTGGCTGTCTCTGTCTCCCAGGCTGTGTTGCTGGGGGTTGTACTTGGAGGCCTGCCTGGGGTTGGGGGAAGAGACTGACTCCTTCCTTGGCCTCCTTTCCTAGGAGGTGTCCAGGGGGTGCTAATATGGCCCCCAGGGTGGTCCCCATTGCTCCACTATTGAAGCCCACGGAGAAGAAGGTTTTTGGCTGAGGTTGAGGAAATAGACAGCCGGTGGTTGTACAAAGCAGATCCCAGGAAAAAAAAACCCGGGTCCCCCCCGAAGCCTGCACAGCCAATCCAGGGCTGGGGAAAACAGCAATTATGAGCCGAGATATTAAAGGCTGCAGGATTTTAATTAACAATGGAATTACCTGGTGGTGGGACCTGCGAGGGAAGGGATAATGAAGGATTGCTGGAGGGTGGTTCGGGGCTTGCATTCCAGCCTCTCTCAGTCCTTGCAAGGCCTGGGAAGGCGTGAAGGGGCTGGCTTTGCACTTGCTAATGAGGAATCTGCAGAGAGCTCAGGGGAGGGCCAGGCAGAGGGGAGGGGCCGCGAGTGCCCTGGGGGCCACCCTCCTCCCTTGGGGAGCAACCTCGGTGATATACTCAGATGTGTTTGCAGGCAGGGTGGTGAGGGGAGCCCAACAGAACTCAGGGACCCCCGGCTACAAGGGTCAGTAGGAAGGAGGCCATGCATGCTACTGGGGCCTCGTGGGTATGCAGTGGAATTCTGAGTCCCATCTCAGATGCAAATTAATGAGTAGCCTGGAGATTCTCATCACATTCAAGTTTCAAAACCAAAGAATTTGAGGCTATTGGTTTTCAAACTCCCCCCACCTTTGATATTGAGTCTGACGGTGTGACTTGCTTTAGCCAATGATTGTGAGTGGAGGTAACACAAACTGAGGCTTTATTTAATTAATTAATTTATTTAGACAAGAGTGTCACTCTGTCGCCCAGGCTGGAGTGCAGTCTCGTGATCATGGCTCACAGCAGCCTCAACTTCCTGGGCTCAAGTGATCCTCCCACCTCAGCCTCTTGAGTAACTGGGACAACAGGCATGCACCACCATGCCCGGATCATTTTTTCTTTTTCGTTTGTAGAGATGGGGTCTTGCTATGTGGCCCAGGCTCGGTCTTGAGCTTGCGGCCTCAAGTGATCTTCCCACCTCAGTCTCCCAAAGTGTTGGGATTACAGGTATGAGCCACTGTGCCTGGCCAGCCTCTAAATTCTGCCTCTGGCTCCTCTCACCTGTGTGACCTTTGGCAAGCCACTTGCCTCTCTGAACCCATCTCCAGAGGGGTGCTTGAAGATGAAATGAGATGGAACATGGGGTGTATTAGTCTGTTCTCATGCTGCTAATAAAGTTATACCCGAGACTGGGTGACTTGTAAAGGAAAGAGGTTTAATTAACTCACAGTTCAGCATGGCTGGGGAGGCCCCAGGAAACTTACAATCATGGTGGAAGGGTAAGCAAACATGTCCTTCTTCACATGGCAGCAGCAAGGAGAAGTGCCGAGCAAAAGGGGGAAAAGCCTTTATAAAACCATCAGCCTTCATGAGAACTCACTCACTATCATGAGAACATGAAGGTAACTGCCCACATGATTCGATTACCTCCCACTGGGTCCCTCCTGTGACACATGGGGATTATGGGAACTACAATTCAAAATGAGATTTGGGTGGGGACACAACCAAACCACATCATGGCCCAAACCCAATGGGTAATTCTCAGTCTGTGTCATACTTGCAATCTCAGCTGCATTGGGCGCCATTAACTTCTGCCCCCCTGGAAGCACATCTTCCTCCTGCCTCTTTCCCGGCACCCTTCTCCCCCAACACCTATGACTGGCTGTTCTTCAGCAGCTCCTGTGTGGTCAAACTGTTCCCTGAGCTTCTCCTGTAGGGTCTGAGTGGACAGACTTTCTCCTAGGGCCTGGCGTTGTCTAGGTGGACAGATCATTCTCTTAGTTTCTCAACTTTGGACAGATCTTTCCTTTGAGGTCTGGATCAGGTATCTGAGTGTCTCTTGAGCTCAGTTCTGATGTCTCTGACATCAAGTGGTTCTCCAGGTTGCACTCACAACTGATGCTTAATAAAAGAATATTAAATGACAATCAAGAGAAGTGAAGTGGGTCTAATTGCTCCTGGGACATTCACTGCTACATCAACTTCAGTTCCTTGGGAATAACTGAAAATCATGCTTAGAACCAGAGTGTCACTGAAGTTGTAGTTTCAGTGCTATTGCAAGAATGCAGGTGGTATTAACACTTCTATTGTTTGCTAAGCACTTTCATGTACATTATTGTTTGCTAAGCACTTTCGTGTACCTTATCGTTTGCTAAGCACTTTTGTGTACATTATTGTTTGCTAAGCACTTTCGTGTACATTATTGTTTGCTAAGCACTTTTGTGTACCTTAGTGTTTGCTACGCACTTTCGTGTACATTATTGTTTGCTAGCACTTTCGTGTACATTATTGTTTGCTAAGCACTTTCATGTACACTATTGTTTGCTAAGCACTTTCGTGTACATTATTGTTTGCTAAGCACTTTCTTGTACATTATTGTTTGCTGAGCACTTTGACACGATTCCATTTGCTCATCTGACCTGGATTCTTTTTTCTATTTGACAGATGAAATTCGGAGGCACAAAGGCATAGACCATTCTGCCCAAGGCCCTTTGCCCTGCTACTCCCCAGCTCCCTGGAAATATACTTAAAGCACTGGACAATTACTGAAGAGATATTTCTGGCAGAGGATGAAAGATTACATACAAAGTCTCAGACTTACAATGGTGCAACTTAGGATTTTTTGACTTCATGATATGCATTCAGTAGAAACCATACTTCGAATTTTGAATTTTGATCTTTTCCGGGGCAAGCGATATGCAGTATGATACTCTCTTGCAGTGAGCTGCAACTCCCAGTCAGCCAGGCAACCATGAGAGTCAACAATGATACTGTACAGTGTACTGTGTTGCCAGATGATTTTGCCCAACCGTAGGCTAATGTCAGTGTTCTGAGTGTAACCGAATTGCGGGTTCAGTCACTTGCTGCTTGTAGAGTCCGATGAACAAGAGCAAAGTCTGATATAAAGAAAGTGACTTTTTGCCAGGCTTGCTGGCTCACGCCTATAATCCCAGCACTTCAGGAAGCTGAGGTGGGCAGATCACCTGAGGTCAGGAGTTCAGGACCAGCCTGACCAACATGGAGAAACACTGTCTCTACTAAAAATGCAAAACTGGGTGGGCGTGGTGGCACATGCCTGTAATCCCAGCTATTCACGAGGCTGAGGCAAGAGAATTGCTTGAATCCAGGAGGCGGAGATTGCTGTGAGCCGAGATGGCGCCATTGCCTGGGCAACAAGAGTGAAACTCTGTCTCAAAAAAAAAAAGAAAAGAAAAAGAAAAAAAAGAAAGTGACTTTTTGTTTGTTTGTTTTCGGAGACAGAGTCTCGCTCTGCCACCCAGGCTGGAGTGCAGTGGTGCAATCTTGGCTCACTGCAACCTCCACCTCCTGGGTTCAAGCCATTCTCCTGCCTCAGCCTTCCAAGTAGCTGGGATTACAGGTGCGCACCACCACGCCTGGCTAATTTTTGTATTTTTAGTAGAGACAGAGTTTAACCATGTTGTCCAGGCTGGTCTTGAACTCCTGAACTCAGATGAACCACCTGCCTCGGCCTCCCAAAGTGCTGGGATTACAGGCGTGAGCCACCACGCCTGGCCAAGAAAGTGACTTTTTATTCCAAAGCTAGCTTAGGGGGAGAAGTACAGGCTTCCTGCCTTAAGGGTATCCCTTCACTTTTAGAGCAGAAGGCAGGTGCTTTTAGAAGGGGGCTTGGCATGAGTGACATGCAGGGAAGGAAGCAAGCAGGTTGGGGGGCTCTTCATGATAGCTTTGGTGCTAGCATGACCAGGCCCTTGAGCTGGTGACTGCTGGCACCTTTGTGGATAGAACTACATTGGAGAAGTGGCCAAAAACTCTCCAGGTAGGGGAGAGTTTCGTAGCGGGCACACTTTGGGCTGCAGATGGACTGTTGTCTGCCAAGGCAACTTCGTGGTGGGAGAGAGTTCCGCTCTGGAGCTTCTAAGCACATGGTTAGATGAACTTGCCTGTAGGGCAGCAGTCTACAACCTTTTTGGCACTAGGGACTGGTTTCATGGAAGACAATTTTTCCATAGCCCACGGATGCAGGGGATGGTTTTGGGATGAAACTGCTCCACTACAGACCATCAGGCATTAGTTAGATTCTCATAAGGAACATACAACGTAGATCCCTCGGATGCACAGTTCACAATAGGGCTCGCGCTCCTATGAGAATCTAATGGCATCGCTGATCTGACAGGAGGTGGAGCTTAGGCAGTAATGCTCACTCACCTGCCACTCACAGCTCGGTTCCTAACAGGTTCCTAACATGGCCTGGGGGCTGGGGATGCCTAAAATAGAGAGTATCTGGTGCAGGGGAGGTAAAAGGCTATAATTGCATTTCTAAATAGCTAAATAGGAAGCAGCGTAAAGGAGGAAAGAGAAAAGAAGGGAGAGAGAAAAATAAACTATCTCTTAGAAAAATGGCGATACTTGGTTACATGAGCGTGTTTGAGGTAGGCTTGGCTAAGCTACGATGTTTGGTAAATTAGGTGTATTAAATGCATTTCCTTCTTCTTGTCTCTCTTTTTTTTCTTTTTTTTGAGACAGCTTCACCCTTGTTGCCCAGGCTGGAGTACAATGGCGTGATCTCGGCTCACTGCAACCTCCGCCTCCCAGGTTCAAGTGATTCTCCTGCCTCAGCCTCCTGAGTAGCTGGAATTACAGGCACCCTCCACCATGCCCGGCTAATTTTTGTATTTTTAGTAGAGACAGGGTTTCACCATGTTGGTCAGGCTGGTCTCGAATTCCTGACCTCCGGTGATCCGCCCGCCTCAGCCTCCCAAAGTGCTGGGATTACAGGCGTGAGCCACCGCGCCCAGCCAGAATGTGTTGTTTTTATATTATAATCTATATGAGTGCGGGGTGTGTGTGTGTGGTGGGTGTACATACCTACACACATATTTCTCCTAGGAGCTGTAAACCAAAAATAAAATTCTAAGCACCCCCACCAGCCAAGTGAATAGTTCCCTTCTCTTGGCCAAGGGCATTCTAAAGTAAATCTGAAACACTAGTTCAGGCTGTGATGGGAATGGCTTTGGTCAGACATGCGTCATTATACCCACCTCCCTTTGGAATTCAGGTACAGCTGACCAGCATTCACATTAAAACAGAGACCTTAAGACTGACAAAACAGACTCTCTTTAGCAATAAGATACCAGCATGACAGATAGCAGGCCCTGAAAGAAATCAAAGTATTTTACCCACAAATATATTTCTTTGATGTATTTTGAAATGGCCCTACAAAACTGTCTTTCATGGGGAAAATCTACATTCTGGTTTGTTTGTTTTTTCTTGAGACGGACTTTCACTCTTGTCGCCCAGGCTGGAGTGCAGTGGCGTGATCTTGACTCACTGCAACCTCTGCCTCCCAGACTCAAGTGATTCTCATGCCTCAGCCTCCTGAGTAGTTGGGATGACAGGCACACACCACCACGCCTGGCTAATTTTTGTATTTTTAGTAGAGGCGGGGTTTCACCATATTGGCCAGGCTGGCCTCAAACTCCTGACCTCAAGTGATCCGCCCATCTCAGCCTCCCAAAGTGCTGGGATTACAGGTGTGAGCCACTGCAGCTGGCTGCAAACTGAGGTTTTAAATGTCCTTGCATGATTTAGCTTTGTCCCTCTGTGCCTGTCACTGCTGTGAGAAAAACATGCCCTAGGTAGCCTCTCCTGCTTCAGCCTGCTCCCTGTGAAAATATGCTTAGAGGAGACCCACAATATAGAACAATTAGAAGACTTAGCAGAGCGGTAGCCAGCCTCAGATCTTCGAGTGAGAAATCGTTTTTGGTGTTGTAAACCACGGAGATTTTGAAGTTTTCTGTTATGCAACATTATTACAATAATATCTAACTAATAAACCAAAGGAAGACAAGAAAAGAGAGGGACGAAGAAGGAGAAAACATGAGTCAAATAGGAAAATATAATAAGATGATAGCAATAAACCCTAATTGCTCACCAATCACTTCAATGTAAATGGACTAGCTGGGCGTGGTGGCTCACGCCTGTTATCCCAGCACTTTGGGAGAATGAGGCAGACAGATTGCCTGAGCTCAGGAGCTCAAGACCAGCCTGGGCAACATGGTGAAACTCTGTCTCTACTAAAATACAAAAAATTAGCGGGGGCATGGTGGCACATACCTGTAGTCCTAGCTACTTGGGAGGCTGAGGCACGAGAATCGCTTGAACCCGGGAGGTGGAGGTTGCAGAGAGCTTAGATTGTGCCACTGGACACCAGCCTGGGCGACAGAGTGAGATTCTGTATCTAAAAAATAAATAAATAAATAAATAGGCCAGGCGTGGTGGCTCACGCCTGTAATCCCAGCACTTTGGGAGGCTGAGGCTGGCGGATCACGAGGTCAGGAGATCGAGGCCATCCTGGCTAACACCGTGAAACCCTGTCTCTACTAAAAAATACAAAAATTTCACCGGGTGTGGTGGTGGGTGCCTGTAGTCCCAGCTACTCAGGAGGCTGAGGCAGGAGAACCGTGTAAACCCGGGAGGCGGAGCTTGCAGTGAGCCAAGATTGAGCCACTGCATTCCAGCCTGGGCGATAGAGCAAGACTCCATCTCTAAATAAATAAATAAATAAATAAATAAACAAACTAAACTAAACTCTCCAGTTAAAAGACGAAGATTGTCAAACAAAATTAAAATAAAATTCAAGTATATGGTATTTATAAGACACACAAAAACATAAGACACACAAAAATAAGAACACAGAAGGATTAGAAATCTAAGGATGAAAAATATGCTCTAGGCAAATAAAGAAAAAAGGTGAGGTAGCTATATTAATGTTAGAAAAAATAGACGTTAAGCTCTAATGCACTACTAGAGATAAAGAGGGTCAATGAAAAATAAAAAAGTAAATTCATCAGAAAGAGAGAACATTTTTATCTTTTATACATTAATAACATAGCCTCAAGATATTTAAAGCAAGAATTGACAAAGAAAACTTGGGAGTCTGGCTGGGCATGCGGTGGCTCATGCCTGTAATCCCAGCATTTTGGGAGGCCGAGGCGGGCAGATCACATCAGTCCAGGAGTTCAAGACCAGCCTGGTCAACATGGTGAAACCCTGTCTCTATTAAAAATAAAAAAAAAAAATAGCCGGGCGTGGTGGCATGCACCTGTAATTTCAGCTACTTGGGAGGCTGAGGCAGGAGAATCACTTGAACCTGGGAGATGGAGGTTGCAGTGAGCTGAGATCGTGCCACTGTGCTCCAGCCTGGGCGACAGAGCAAGACTTCATCTCAAACAGAAAAAAAAAAATGATGATGATGATGATGATGATGATAATAAAGAAGTGGTATTCCCACCTCCTGAGAATAAAGACCTTCTTTCTCAACAGATAAATTAGGATGGCACTGAAGTTGGCTTGGTTTATTAGTGGAAAAAAAATGGGTTCTGTTGAATTTGTTTTTTTTCCAGATTGTATTCATTTCAGGAGATATCATGAGCATCCTCGCTGTACCTCATCTGCTGAGGCAAATTCCCCACACATAAGGGCTTGTTCCATCTCCAGCTGCTGCTTCCACAGCTGAGATAGTGGCGTCTGTTCTTTAGCCTCGGGCACTGTCTTGCTCTCCCCTCCCTCCCATTGCTCTTCATCTCCTTTTCGTAGAGTCTCAGGGCTGGAGATCCTCATCTCATGCCTGAATCCTACCAGCACCATCCCAGCGGGGTGGATGTGCAGCCTCTGCTTACACACCCCCTTGGATGGAGAACTCACTCCTTCAAGAGGGCTTCCTTATTTGAACCCAAATGGAACTCCCTGCAGCACCCTCCCCTTGCTGATGGCTCAGCAATCTGGGGTCCCAGACCACAGTTGGTCTGCGTCCTCTTCCTCGGATCTTCTAGCAGCTGAGCCTCCCAACCTCCACCCTCAAGCCCTTCCCTCCAGGAAAATTCCCTTAATTTCTCTGTCCATCTCTCACTCCAGTTCACTGCCAACCTCTCTGGAACCAACTCCACTCCTTCCCGAGCATGTACTGATGTGGGATTTGATGAGGTCTTGGGGAATGTGTTTGTCAGAACTGGAGTGGGCTGAGATGAGAGGTGGGAGGGATCAGTGTGGGGTGGGGTAGGAAGATGATCCCGGGGTCTAGAGGGAACTTGGATCAATGAACCAAATACAGAGCCCAGCCTCCTTGGCTGTGGGATGCTGGCCTGGTCAGGCAGCAGAAACGTCTCTGAGGATCCTTGGAGGCTCATTCATTGATCCCCATAACTCCTCATTCAGTGAAGACATTAGCCCCATTTGTGGGGTTCCTCTCACTCCTCCACCCTCACAGCCTCTGAGCCTCGAGGGTCACCTATCTCACAGTGAGGCAAATGACTTCCTCTCCACCCCACTCAGATGCTTCCCTTGACTGTCACACCTTGGCTTGCTCATCAACCATAACGTGACCCCAGAATTTTTGTTTGTTTGTTTGTTTTGAGATAGGGTCTCACTTCGTTGCCCATGCTGGATTGCAGTGGCACCATCAAAGCTCACTGCAACCTCAACCACCCAGGCTCAAGTGATCCTCCCACCTCAGCCTCTAAGTAGCTGGGACTACAGGCACTCCACCACACCTGGCTAATTAAAAAAAATTTGGGGGGGCAGGGCATGGTGGCCAACACCTATAATCCCAGCACTTTGGGAGGCCAAGGCAGGTAGATCACCTGAGGTCAGAAGTTCGAGACCAGCCTGGCTAATATGATGAAACTGTGTCTCTACTAAAAATACAAAAAATCAGCCAAGGATGGTGGCGGGCACCTGTAGGGAGGCTGAGGCAGGAGAATCGCTTGAACCCGGGAGGCGGAGGTTACAGTGAGCTGAGATCACCTCAGTGCACTCCAGCCTGGGTGACGGCAGAACAAGACTCCATCTCAAAAAAACAAAACAAAACAGAATGGGAGGCAGGTTGGCCCTAAGCAGTTCCCAGCTTGACTTTTCTCTTTAGCTTAGCGATGTGGGGGCCCCAGGATTTATTTTCCTTTCACACTATTGAACAAGCCTGGGGACCATATTATTTTTTAGACTTCCAAAATTTTCACGAATGTATTGTCTATCCATCCCTCCCAGAAGGAAAAGTAAATAAATAAACCAAGAAAGAGGGAGGGCCAGGCGCCGTGGCTTACGCCTGTAATCCCAGTACTTTGGGAGGCTGAGGCGGGCAGATCATGAGGTCAGGAGTTTGAGACATGCCTGGCCAATATGGTGAAACCCTGTCTCTACTAAAAAATAAAAAATTAGCCGGGCGTGGTGGCTCACACCTGTAGTCCCAGCTACTCGGGAGGCTGAGGCAGAAGAAATGCGTGAAACCAGGAGGCAGAGGCTGCAGTGAGCCGAGATCGAGCCATAGCACTCCAGCCTGGGCGACACAGTGAGACTCCATCTCAAAAAAAAAAAAAAAAAAACCAAGAAAGAAAAAAAGAGGGAGAAATGGGATGCAGGCAATAGCAGCTGCAGTCCAGGGGGTGTCCAGATGCCAGGATCCAGATTAGCAAAAGAGGATGGGTGAGTAGTGAACACCAGTGACCAGAAACCCAGGGAAAACAAGGTCCCCATAGATGTGATGTCATTTCTGAAACATCAGAAGAACTCAAGATGCAGAAAATGCAGGCAAAAGAACAACATTTAGAAACTGCCAGAGAAAGAAAAACTGGACCCTAAAGCAAAAAGCATTCACAGGCCAGGCACAGTGGCACTCGCCTGTAATCCCAGCACTTTGGGAGGCCAAGGTGGGAGGATCGTTTGAGCCCAGGAGTTTGCGACCAGCCTGGGCAACATAACAAGACCCCATCTCTACAAAAGCATTTTTCGATTTTTAAATTCATTTTATTATTTTTATTTTTATTTATTTATTTTTTTCGAGACAGAGTCTCACTCACTCTGACGCTCAGGCTGGAGTGCAGTGGCCTGATCTCGGTTCATTGCAGCCTCTGCCTCCCAGCCCTGCCTCCCATTCTACTCAAAGTCACCCCTCTGCTCACTGAGATAAAGGCATATCTTTTTTTTTTTTTTTTTGAGATGGAGTCTTGTGCTGTTGCCCAGGCTGGAGTGCAGTGGTACAATCCTGGCTCTCTGCAACCTCCGCCTCCCGGGTTGGAGCAATTCTCCCGCCTCAGCCTTCCGAGAAGCTGGGATTACAGGTGCGTGTCATCATGATTGCCTCCTTTGGAGAGGCCAATCAGAAACTCAAAAGAATGCAACCATTTGTCTCTTATCTACCTATGACCCGGAAGCCCCCTCCTTGCTTGAGTCTTCCCACCTTTGCTTTGAGTTGTCCCATTTTTCCGGACCAAACCAATGTTCATCTTGCATATGTTGATCGATGTCTCATGTCTCCCTAGAATGTGTAAAACCAAACTGTGCCCCGACCTCCTTGGGCACATGTCATCAGGACCTTCTGAGGCTGTGTCACGGGTGCGTGTCCTCAATCTTGGCAAAATAAACTTTCTAAATTAAGGCAGACCCGTCTCAGATTTTCCGCATTCACAATAGTTGGATTGGGTATAGAATTTTAGGTTAAAAATATTTTCCCTTGGCCGGGCTCTGTGGTTCACACCTGTAATCCCTGCACTTTGGGAGACTGAGGCGAGTGGATCACGAGGTCAGGAGATCGAGACCATCCTGGCTAACACGGTGAAACCCCATCTCTACTAAAAATACAAAAAAAAAAAAAAAAAAAAAATTAGCCGGGCGTGGTGGCGGGTGCCTGTAGTCCCAGCTACTCGGGAG
Source organism: Homo sapiens (assembly GCF_000001405.40). Taxonomy (NCBI): domain Eukaryota; kingdom Metazoa; phylum Chordata; class Mammalia; order Primates; family Hominidae; genus Homo; species Homo sapiens. Next base: position 101,654,225 of record NC_000007.14, on the reverse strand, counting down.
ACAGGCGGGAGAATGGTGTGAACCCGGGAGGTGGAGCTTGCAGTGAGCCGAGATCGCACCACTGCACTCCAGCCTGGGCGACAGAGCGAGACTCCATCTCAAAAAAAACAAAAAACAAAAAACAAAACTTATCCTTGAGAACCGAGAAGACACAGCTCTGTTGCTTTCTTTTCTTTTCTTTTTTGATACAGAGTCTCTCTCTGTCGCCCAGGCTGGAGTGCAGTGGCATGATCTCTGCTCACTGCAACCTCCTCCTCCCAGGTTCAAGCGATTCTCGTGCCTCAGCCTCCCGAGTAGCTGGGATTACAGGGATGCGTCACCACACCCGGCTAACTTTTGTATTTTTAGTAGAGATGGGGTTTCACCATGTTGGCCAGGCTGCTCTTGAACTCCTGACCTGAAATGATCCACCCACTTTGGCCTCCCAAAGTGCTGGGATTGCAGGCGTGAGCCATCGTGTCCAGCTGATCAGCAGTTCTTTTGTAGTGACTTGCTTTTACCTCTGCCCACTGGAAATATTTAGGACCATCTGTTTATCACTGGTACACCTACTGAAGTTTCTCAGTGATGTTTCTTCATGCCTTTTCTTTAGTTTTATTTAAAATTTTATTTTATTGGCCAGGTGTGATGGCTCATGCCTGTAATCCCAGCACTTTGGGAGGCCAAGGCAGGCGGATCACCTGAGGTCAGGAGTTTGAGACCATCCTGGCCAACATAGTGAAATCCTGTCTCTACTAAAAATACAAAGATTAGCCAGGCATGGTGGTGGGCACCTGTAATCCCAGCTACTCGGGAGGCTGAGGCAGGAGAATCACTTGAACTCGGGAGGTGGAGGCTGCAGTGAGCCAAGATCGCACCATTGCACTCCAGCCTGGGCAACAGAGCGAGACTCTGCCACAAAATAAATAAATAAATAAAAATAAAAACAAAATAAATTTTTATTTTATTTTAAATAGAAATGGGGTCTCACTATGTTGCCCAGGCTGGTCTTGATTTCCTGGCCTCAAGCAATCTTCCCACCTTGGTCTCCCAAAGTGCTAAGGTTACAAGCATGAGCCACCGCACCTCGCCATCTTTAGTTTTATTATCATATTGCATGGCCGTCAATCTGAAGGCTCCTAGCCTTCTGTTCTGGGAACTTCTCTTCTTGTGTGTCTTTGATCACTTATTTCCTTCTATATTCTCTGTTCTGTCCTTCTGGAACGCCCAGGGATAGCGGTTGGATTTTCCCCTCTACGTCTGATCTTTTATCTCCCATCTCTCTTTTTCTCCTTTCTGGGAGATTCCTCAGCTTTAATCACCAACTCTTTTGTTACCTTTTAAAAATTCTAGCAAAGATATTTTGAATTCCCCAGAGCTCTTTTTTTGTTTACTTAGTGAATCCCCTGGGGATGTTAACTAGTTTTTGTTCAAGTTATCTTCTGTCTCCTGAATTAACTTTGTTTCGTCAAGGGCACTTTTTAATTGACACTTTACATACACGAAGGTAAATTTATTGACATTTAACATATATGAAGTTAAAAGCCAGAAAGAGTTGGCTTTTCTTTTCTCTCTCTCTTCTATTTTGTTTTGTTTTGTTTGAGACATGTTCTTGCTCTGTCACCCAAGCTGGAGTGCAGTGGTGCGATCATGGCTCAGTGCAGCCTTGGACTCCAACAGAGACTTGCTATGTTGCCCAGGCTGGTCTCGAACCCCTGGCTTCAAGTGATCCTCCCACTCAGTCTCCCGAGTAGCTTGGACTACAGGTGCATGCTACCATGCCCAGCTAATTTTTAAAATTTATTGTAGAGATGGGGTCTGGCTATGCTGCCAGGGTTGGTCGCCAACTCCTGGGCTCAAACAATCCTCCCACCTTGGCCTCCCAAAGAACTGGGATTAGAGGGAGGAGCCACTGCACCCAGCCTACAGTTGGCTTTTCAAACCCTGCAAACCCCGACATTTCCAGCCTCTTCCTTTTTCCCTTCTAGTTTACTAGCCAAAATCTTTCCTGAGCTTGTCTTTTTTTTTTTTTTGAGACGGAGTCTTGCTCTGTTGCCCAGGCTGGAGTGCAGTGGCGTGATCTCAGCTCACTGCAGCCTCCACCTCCCAGGTTCAAGTGATTCTCCTGTCTCAGCCTCCTGAGTAGCTGGGATTACAGATGTGCGCCACCACACCCAGCTAATTTTTGTATTTTTAGTAAAGACAGGGTTTTACCATGTTAGCCAGTCTGGTCTCAAACTCCCGACCTCAAGGGATCCACCTGCCTCGGCCTCCCAAAGTGCTGGGATCACAGGCGTGAGCCACCCTGCCTGGCCAGAAAGTAGATTATTTACGAGGAGCTGGGATGGGGAAGGAAGTGAGGAGTGACTGCCAATGAGTACAGGGTTGCTTTCTGGGGAGATGAAACTGTTCTAAAATTGATTTTGGTGGTGGCTTTACAACTCTGAATATACAAAAGTTCGATAGTTTATTGAATTGTACACTTCAAATCAAGCTTGTCCAACTCGAGGCTCATGGGCCACACGTGGCCCAGAACGGCCCTGAATGCAATCCAACGCAAACTCGTAAACTTTCTGAAGACATTATGAGACTTTTTTTGCGACAGTTTTTTTGTTTGTTTGTGTTTAGCTTATCAGCTATCATTAGTGTTAGTGTATTTTAGGTGTGGCCCAAGACAATTCTTCTTCCAGTGTGGCCCGGGGAAGCCAAAAGATTGGACATCCCTGCTTTAAATGGATGAATTGTATGGCTTGGGAATTCTATCCCAATAATGCTGTTACAAAAAAAAAAAAAATCCCCCTAGACTCCTGGATGTATGGGCTGTGCTTCCAGATAGTCCCAGAACGGCTCCAGCAGCTCCCACCACCTCAACTCTAAGTGGCAGCATCGAGGAGGAGCTCTGAGTCAGGAATCAGCAACTTGCTGTGTGTGCTGGGGTGAATCCATGCCCTCTCTGAGCCTCTGGTTTCTCCAGGAGCACCGAAGAGTGAGGCAGGAGGTGGCAGTGGACTGAGGAATCAGGGTGGTCCTCATGGCAGTAATTCTGTTTGAGGTCTGCAGTCTGGACCTTGGCGTGATGGGGGTGGCACTCCAGCCTCCTTGCTCTGTGGCATGGAGGCCACCCCACCATGTTCTGCCTTTGACCTTCCCCAGAGCTCAAGAGTGTTGGTCCTGAGACGGCAGAAAATGAAAGCAAACTACTGATGAAAAGCCCTGGCTTGCTGGCGGTGAGTGGCACCCTCAGCTGTGACTCGTGGCCAGAGCGATTTTGCAGTCTTTTTTTAGATTAACGACCTGCAGAGAGCCTCAGTCTCCTCCCCTCCTAATCCCCTGCTTTGCACAAATATGAAATTAATCTTCTAAATACCTAAACTGGTTCCAAAAAGAACTGAGCAGAGACAAAGGGTGGGGGAGGGCTGGAGAGGAACTCCCCCCAACCCTGCCCGAGACCTGCCACCAATCCTCTGAAGTCTTGTTCATGTCTGACTCACTGTCCAGGAGGAGCAAGTGGCTGAACTGCCACCTGGAGCTTCATGACATCCCCTGCACCAAACCCTGCAAGCATCCATCTGGCTCTGCTTGAATACCTCCAGTGACGGGGAGCTCACTACCTCAAAAGACATCTCGTTCTATCTGAAACAGCTCTGCCTAAGGCATAATCCTCCCTCCAAGTTAGCTGGCTCTGCCTGCTTTTGCACTGCCTGCCCTCTGGGAATTTTAGGACCATCGCCATATGCCACAAGCCTGTTACTGGTTAGTCCAACTGACAGCAAGGGCCCTGTGTATGGGGCCCTTACAGTGTTGGTCACAGAGGGGGATGATGGATGCTGGGAGAAGTTTAACCTTATGGACACCCCCACACCTTCCACCTCAACCAGCACACCACGCCTTTCCCTCATCCTGCCCAGGTTTGAATGGTATCTTATGCAAGTTAGAAAAAGACGCCCCTTCCTCCAGGTAGATATGGCTTCATGCCAGGGTCAGCTTCAGCCCCTCCTGGCTCCCTAGCCAGGTGCTCTTGAGCAGTGAACAACATACACAACCATACCAGGCATCCCTGAACCTGCCCCCATCCCCGGCGCCTGGTCTCAGCAAGCAGCTCCATCTCTTCCTGCTGTGGTGGTTTTGTACTGAGTCAAGTTGGCCAAGCTGGAGCCTTGTTTCCTAGAATCCCCTTCCCGCTGTGGGTCTGAGTTAGAGTTGGACTAAAGCGAACTTTGTGCTCTGAGCATCATCATGGCTAGAGGCAGGGCAGAGAGACGGACAGAGAGGTGCCCGCAGGTTCCAGTTTATCCACACTCTTCTGCATGTCCTATTCCCTGATTGGTGGCTGGCTCTTCTCCCAGGCTGCTGGCCCTGTTAAGAAGTCACAGTGACCCGTGCCTTCCCTGGACGCTTGGCTGTGATCTTACAGAGATGGTGTGAAGAGACCTCCATAAGCGTCTACACTGGCCCTGCCTTCATATTGCAGCAGCCACATCCGCCGGGCTCCGGGATTCCCCACAAGCTCCAGCTCTTCTGCCTGCCTCCCTGCTGCGGGAGGGCTGGCCGCTGACTTTTCCCTGGTCCCCAGTACATCTCCCCCTCTTTTTTTTTTTTTTTTGAGATGGAGTCTTGCTCTGTCGCCTAGGCTGGAGTGCAGTGGTGCCATCTCAGCACACTGCAGCCTCCGCCTCCCGAGTTCAAGTGATTTTCCTGCCTCAGCCTCCTGAGTAGCTGGGATTACAGGCATGCACCACCATGCCTGGCTAATTTTTGTATTTTTAGTGGAGACAGGGTTTCACCATGTTGGCCAGGCTGGTCTTGAACTCCTGACCTCAAGTGATCTGCCCGCCTCAGGCTCCCAAAATACTGGGATTACAGGTATGAGCCACTGAGCCTGGCCAATGCTCATTCTTATTCTATAATAAATACCCCCCCTGGTTCTGCTTCCTTGAAGGAGCAGGACTGGCACCACCCATTGGCCACAGCACAGGAAGTGGGGGTGAGCTTTCTCCTTGATCGCAGGTGGTCCCATATCCTCCTGGCTCTTCCCCACTGGTGTCCCTCCAATCCAGGGGTGTCCAATCTTTTGGCTTCCCTGGGCCACATCGGAAGAAGAACTGTCTTGGGCCATACATATGAAATACACTGACACTAATGATAGCTGATGAGCTAAAAAAAAAAAAAAAAATGCTTCCGGGCATGATGGCTCACGCCTGTAATCCCAGCATTTTGGGAGGCCAAGCGGGGGCAGATCACAAGGTTGAGAGATCGAGACCATCCTGGTCAACATGGTGAAACCCCGTCTCTACTAAAAATACAAAAAAATTAGCCAGGTGTGGTGGCACACTTCTGTAGTCCCAGCTACTTGGGAGGGTAAGGCAGGAGGATCACTTGAGCCCAGGAGTTCGAGGCTGCAATGAGCTATGATTGCATCACTACATTCCAGCCTGGGTGATAGACTGAGACCCTGTCTCTTAAAAAAAAAAAAAAAAAAAAAATATATATATATATATATTAAAGGAATGAGGTCTGTTGAGGGGGTGCATGTGTCTTGGCAAGAGGCACTGGCCTGGAACTCACCTAATTTGTCCCCATCCTCTTCTCCAGCATCAACATTTCCAACAATCACCATCCTTTTTGGGATTTGGAGTTTACGAGATGTTTTCAAATCCACAGTTGTTTCTGGCCTCTCAGTGCTGCTTAGCGGGTGGGGTACACCCGTGCCCACCTCAAAGAGTGGAATCAAGGCTCTGTGAAAGGTACCCTGGGCCCCAAGACACCCAGACTGCCTGCCACCTTGGGGGAGTGGAGTGATGGCAGTGACCGGGGAGCCCCAGCATGGGACCTGGGCTTTGGGTACCAGCAGCTCAGCCAGCCCTTCCCGGGTCTGAACTTAGCTCTCCTACCCACTCTCTTTGCATGTTGGGCACGCGTCCCTGTTCTTTTCTGGACCTCAGTCTCTTCATCCACAACATGGAATAAAGAAAACACAGGCCGGGCGTGGTGGCTCATGCCTGTAATCCTAGCACTTTGGGAGGCCGAGGTGGGTGGATCACTTGAGATCAGGAGTTCGAGACCAGCCGGACCAACGTGGTGAAACCCCCTCTCTACTAAAAATACAAAAATTAGCTGGGTGTGGTGGTGCGTGCCTATAATTCCAGGAGGCTGAGGCAGGAGAATTGCTTAAACCCTGTAGGCAGAGGTTGCAGTTAACCGAGATCACTCCATAGTACTCCAGCCTGGGTGACAAGAGTGAAACTCCGTCTCGAAACAAACAAACACACAGCCTGGGGTTCCACTGGATCCACATGGGCAATGGCTGTGGGGTCACTTTGAATCTACGCATCACCTTGCTCCAGGAAAGGGGGCTTAGGCCACGGACTCACAGATGCAAGACCCTCTGTGCCTCAGTTTCTCTGGCTGGAACACTCATGCCTCTCTTTTTTTCCCGGGCAGGTGCAGGAGGCCCCTGTCTGAGTGAAGGGATTTTCATAGGTGACCTGCCCTCTCATGTAGGCCAATGGGGTACACTTTACACAGAACAAGACTAGAACGAGGTAGATGCTAGCTGTGGGGTGGGTGGGATGGTGTGTGTCCCAGACCCCAGAGGCCTCCTAGGGGTGTGGTCTGGCCTGTGGTGGCTGATTCTGCCAAAGCCATGCCTGGCACAGGCCAGAGCTAGAGGAGGATCTCGAGGAGGATCTCGTGTACATAGTGGTTACCAGCACAGACTCTACAGCTGGACAGCCCAGCCTCTATCCAGGCCTTTTGTCCTCCCAGGCTGTGTGAACTTGGCCAGTTACTTCCTGTGCCTCCATTTTCTCCTCTGTGCAATGGGATAATAGCAGCACCTGCCCCCTTGGAGAGTTGCATGAGGATTACGTGAGTTACTGTGCACTGCGATCTCAGATCAACATTAGCTGTTGCTATTCCTTTCTTTTCTTTTCTTTTCTTTTTGGAGACAGGTTCTTAACTCTGTCGTCCAAGCTGGAGTGCAGTGGCGTGATCATAGCTCACTGCAGCCTTGACCTCCCGGGCTCAAGCGGTCCTCCTGCCTCAGCTTCGGAGTCGCTGAGACTACTCATGGTGCACACCACCACGCCTGGCTAATTTTTCTTTTCTTTTCTTTTTTTTTTTTTGAGATCGAGTCTCGCTCTGTCACCCAGGCTGGAGTGCAATGAGGTGAGCTCAGCTCACTGCAACCTCTGCCTCCCAGGTTCAAGCAATTCTCCTGCCTCAGCCTCCTGAGTAGCTGGGATTACAGGTGCATGCCACTAAGCCCAGCTAATTTTGTGTATTTTTAGTAGAGATGTGTATTTTAGTAGAGATGGCCAACCATGTTGGCCAGGCTGGTCTTGAACTCTTGGCCTCAAATGATTCACCCACCTTGGCCTCCCAAAGTGCTGAGATTATAGGAATGAGCCACCGCGCCTGGCCTCGGCTAGTTTTTTAAAAAATTATTGGTAGAGATGGGGTCTCCCTGTATTTCCCGGGCTGATCTCAAACTCTTGGGCTCAAGTGATCCTCCCACTTCAGTCTCCCAAAGTGCTGGGATTACAAGTGTGAGCCACCATGCCTGGTCAAGCTGTTGCTATTCCTGCAAGCTGCTGACCTGAGGGGTTGTAGGAAGCCCTGCGGTACACTCTGGGGAAGGACTTTGTGTCCTGTGCCCCTGACAGCCATGCGCTGTGCTCTCCAGTGACATGGGCCACCCCTGGGCCTTGAGTCACCTTTGTGGGTAGACATGAAGTCTCCCTGGGACCCTGGCCGCTGAGACCTCAGAACCCCACTCTGATTCAGCCGGGTGGTAGAAGCAGACTCTGGACTGCCTGATGCTTGACTCGGGGCTGTGGTGCCGGCTTTTATCAGCATCAGTGGGTTTTCTTGAGCGTTTCACAATCTTCGCATCTTTAATTTATCGCACAACAAATTGGAGAGGATTTAGCATGTATTTAATTAATTTGACGAAAATAGTTCAACAACTGTAAACAAGGCTGAGGAAACGCAGTTGCTGGGAAGCAGCGCCTGGCTCCTCCGGGCCTTCGCCAGGGTCGCGGCCTGAGGTTGAGTTTGGGGGAGCTGATTGGACTCTGCAGGACGGGGAGACGCGGTACAGCCTCAGTGCCAGGGCCTGGCGTGGTGGGGGGTAGGGGAGAGCTGGGTGGGAGGTGGGGGGTCTGGTCAGGGGTGGGTCACAGGCCCACTGCAAGCCTTGGCTTGTTCATGCTCAAGAAGGGATGGGAAGCCCGGCCCTGCTTCCAGCCCAGGGCCCTCCTGCTGGGTGAGTGAAGTGCATTTTGCCTCTGGAAATCCCTGGACATATTCAAGGTGCTTGTGTCCCTTCCTGTTCTGTCCCTCAAGTCCTACTTATCCTTCCAGGTGAAGCTCAGACACCACCTCTTCCAAAAAATGTTTTTGTTTGTTTGTTTGTTTGTTTGTTTGAGACGCCCAGGCTGGAGTGCAGTGGGTCGATCTCAGCTCACTGCAGCCTCCAGCTCCCGGGTTCAAGAGATTCTCCTGCCTCAGCCTCCCAAGCAGCTGGCATCATGGGTAGACACCACCACATCTGGCTACTTGTTTGTATTTTTAATAGAGACAGGGATCTCAACATGTTGCCCAGGCTGGTCTCGAACGCCTGACCTCAAGTGGTCCACCCGCCTTGGTGTTCCAAAGTGCTGGGATTACAGGTGTAAGCCACCGTGCCCGGCCTGACATTTGTAGAATTAATGAAAGGGGAATTACAGGGCCAGCACCCCCCATTTGTCCCTTCATGGAGGTGACATCCTGCAGAGGATGTCGGGGTGTTTCTGAGTTTGACGGAGTGGCCCCCTCCATCCAGACCGGGCCAGTAATTCCCTCATTCCTGCTAGGCTGGAATTCTCCAGCCCTCTGGGGCCCCAGCTGCTGTTTCTGCTGACTTCTCCCTCCTGGGGTTGGGGCGTGGGGGAGACCTCCAACCCCTCTGCACCCCCACGCTCTGACCCACGCTGGCTCCTGAGCCCACCCAGAATGACTTTCTCAACTGTGGGATCCTGTGCCCGGGCAGGGCTTGCCCTCACTGTTTACTCTTGGCAAATGGACCTTCCTGTTTCTAAGAAAACGAGCTTTAATAGGTTATGATATCATGTCTTTACATAGCGCCTTTCATCCAAGTGCTCACGGCACCCAGCTTGTTAAACGGAATCCTTAGAAGGTGCCGGGACTTCAAACAGTCCCCAGGTTCACTCGGGCGCCTTGAAGGCTCCCCACAGCGCGGGCACCCCGAGGTCACCTGGGGCCATGTGGGAGCGTGAGCGGAGCCTGGGAGGTTTCCCGGAGAACTCGCCACGTGCCCAGCTCTGCTAGCGGCTCTGAGGTGGAGCAGAGAGAAGGAGAAGACCCTCTTCCTGTTTTCCTTTCTCCTCTGCACCCCCTCCCTCTAAGTCCCCATGTTAGATACATCCCGGTCTTAGATACGCCTCTCCTCCCCTGTGGAGAAAGAAACCCCTTGTCACTTTCACCTACACCACACACAGCACAAGTGAGGGCTTAGGGAATCTTTAGCTCCCCCTCCAATCTCTGTAGGGGCTTCCCCCCACCACCTGCGCCCAGCCACCTGAAATAGACAACATAAATAAATTAGGGCATTTGTTATACAAATGTAACTTTGATGCAGATCTCAAAGAAGTTCCACCTTCCAATAGATAGTTACTGATTTTATTTATTTTATTATTTTATTTTTATTTTTTGAGACAGTCTTGCTGTCACCCAGGCTGGAGTGCAGTGGCGCAATCTTGGCTCACTGCATTCTCCTGCCTCAGCCTCCCAAGTAGCTGCGATTACAGACATGCGCTACCACAACGGGGAATTTTTGCATTTTTAGTAAAGATGGGGTTTCCCCCTGTTGGCCAGGCTGGTCTCGAACTCCTGGCCTCAAGTGACCCACCCACCTCGGCCTCCCAAAGTGCTGGCCACCGTGCCTGCCCTCTTGACTTTATTTTTTAGAGACAGGGTCTTCCTCGGTCACCCAGGCTGGAGTGCAGTGGTGCCATCATAGCTCATTGTAGCCTTGAACTCTTGGGCTCGAGGATCCTTCCACCCCAGACTCCTGAGTAGCTGGGACTACAGGCCTGTGCCATCACACCCAGCTAATTATTACATTTTTTTGTAGAGATGGGGTCTTGCTATGTTGCTCAGGCTGGTCTTGAACTCCTGGGCCCAAGCGATCTTCCCCCCTCGGCCCCCCAAAACTCTGGGATTACAGGCATGAGCCACCACACTTGACTTGTTTCTAATCTTATATGACAGAAATTTTTGACTCTCCCTGTCTCCCCTACCCTCCACTGGCCCCTTCTGGTGCTTTGCTGGGGAACAAAGATTGGCACTCCAGACCACCTCAGGATCCTCCCAGAGAGGGCGGCAGGGACCACCCTCAGGAGGGCAAGAACTAAGCACATCTCACCAAAATGACCACTGCTTTCATCATTTCTTTCTCAGAAGTAACATGGCCAATTTCAAATCAAGATGAACCTGGGCTGGGTGCGGTGGCTCACACCTGTAATCCCAGCACTTTGGGAGGCCCAGGTGGGTGGATCACTTGAGGTCAGGAGTTCAAGACAAGTCTGGCCAACATGGTGAAACCCCGTCTCTACTAAAAATACAAAAATTAGGCGGGCATGGTGGCGCACACCTGTAATCCCAGTTACTCAGGAGGCTGAGACAAGAGAACTGCTTGAACCTGGGAGGCAGAGGTTGCAGTGAGCCGAGATCATACCACTGCACTCCACTCTGGGTGACAGAGTGAGACTCGGTCTCAAAAAAAAGACTCTGTAAAAAAAGATGAATCTGTTTCCCTCATTTATACGGCGTTGGTCTTGTCCCCTCCGTAGATTTTCCTGGGAAGCCTGACTTACATCACCATAAAACCCTCTCTAGCAATAAAGGGCTCTTTTCTAACCTGCGTGGATGGACTCAGCTTGGATTAGATTGATTTTTATTCTAAGTCTGGGTCTAATGACAGGTGGAAGACATTTCAGTTTATCTTAACACATTTAGAATCAAATTTTGTTACTTAGCCGTTTTACTTATTACAATGTGAATATCTTTTAATATCATATGTGTTTGAAATAATGATTTTTAACTACAGTATAATATTTTTCTTTTCTTTTCTTTTCTTTTTTTTTGAGACGGGGTCTTGCTCTGTCACCCAGGCTGGAGTGCAGTGGCATGACCTCAGTTCACTGCAACCTCCACCTCCCGGGTTCAAGCGATCCTCCTGTCTTAGCCTCCTGAATAGCTGGGATTACAGGTGCACACCACCATGCCCAGCTAATTTTTGCATTTTAAGCAGAGATGGAGTTTCATCATGTTGGCCAGGCTGGTCTCCAATTCCTGACCTCAGGTGATCCGCCCACCTCAGCCTCCCAAAGTGCAGGGATTACAGACGTGAGCCACCATGCCTGGCCTGCAGTATAGTATTTCATTGTGTGGATTTGACATAATTCAACTTATCCCTGTTATAGAACATTTAGCATCTAGTTGCCATTAATGTTGCTTGCTATTAGTGAAGTGGTGTGAGACACACCAAAACAGCAAAGAAAAATTTGGCTACATTAAGATGGAGAACTTGGGCTACACTACATTCATAAAAAAATATTTTTCTGCCAGGTGCAGTGGTTCACACCTATAATCCCAATACTTTGGGAGGCAGAGGCAAGAAGATTGCTTGAAGCCAAGAGTTTGAGACCAGCCTGGGAAACATAGCGAGACCCCCCCATCTCTACAAAAATAAAAAAATAAAAATTATCCAGGCATGGAGTGTGTACCTGTAGTTTCAGTTACTCAGGAGGCTGAGGTAGGAGGATTGCTTGAGCCCAGGAGTTTGAGGCTGCAGTGAGCTATGATTGCAACACTACACTCCAGCCTGAGCAACAGAGTGACACCCTGTCTCTTTGTCCCAAAAAAAAAAAAAAAAGAAAGAAAGAAAGAAAGAAAGGAAAAGCAAGAACAAAACCCAAAACAAAACAAAGCAAAAATAAAAAACCACCCAACTCTGACAGCAGATATTGGATAGGATGAAATGAGCCGGGTCTCATGGATGACTGGTAGGAGTGACAATTGGTGCAGCCTCTTTGAAAAACAATTTGATACTATCTTGTAAAGTTGAATATGTGCGTTTCTACTTCTAGCTATATTCTCCAGAGAAACTCTTGCCCACACACATCAAGATTATTTATTTATTTATTTTGAGATGGAATCTCACTCTGTCACCCAGGCTGGAGTGCAGTGGCACAATCTTGGCTCACTGCAGCCTCCGCCTCCCAGGTTCAAGCAATTCTCTGCCTCAGCCTCCCGAGCAGCTGGGACTACAGGCACCCGCCACCATGCCCGGCTAATTTTTGTATTTAGTAGAGACAGGGTTTCACCATGTTGGCTGAGCTGGTCTTGAATTCCTGGCCTCAGTTGATCTGCCCTTCTCAGCCTCCCAAAGTGCTGGGATTACAGGCGTATACCATCGCACCTGGCTGAGAAATTTAAAAGAAGGTTAAGACAGTGCTATTTATGGTAGCAAAAGATTGAAACAACTCAAATACTCATCAATAAGAAAAGTGGATACATTAATGGGCCTATAGGTACACAATTAAGAATAAGCCACATGTGGCGTCATATAGCAACATAAGTGAATTTTGATTCAATGGATTAGCCGTTGACACCATAATGCTGAGTAACAGATCACCCCCATCTCTGGTGGCTCAAAGCTACATTCGTTAATGCTAATGGCTCTGCAGCTTGGCTGGGGCTTGGTTGATCTAGGTTGGGGCTATGTTGAGCTTGGTGGGAAGTCCTGACTCAAGCTGAGAGTCTGGGGATTGGCCAGGGCTGCTCTGCTCTGAGTATATTCTTCCTGGGTCCCAGGCTGAGGGTGCAGCTTCTCTCTTGGTCATGGCATGGGGTGAAGGCAGAAGGAGAGAGTCAAGGCTTTAGATTTGGGACTGGCCCATCATTTCTCCTCTCATGCCATTGATCAAAGCAAGTCACATGTGCCCTGATAATCTCCTATTCACCCCATTGGTGAAGGAGGAATCCCTCATCTAAATAGTGTGAGATGGCCAAATGCCTGCCCACTTACCCCTGTGTTACAAGCGTCTTCAGCATTCAATGCAGTCACACGCTATACAGGTCTGTAGCCCAGAAGCAACAGGTTAGACCCTCTAGCCTAGATGTGTAGGAGGCTAGTCCATCTAGGTTTGTGCAAATACACTGTAGGATGTTCACACAACAATAAAATCACCTAAGAACATATTTCTCAGAAAATCTATCTCTGTCATTAAGTGATGCCTGATTGTGTCATGTCCAGTGAAAAGGCAACTTCTAGAGACTTTTGCTAACTTTAAACTTTATTTAAAGTTTAAAAATAAGCAAGGCCAAGTGCAGTGACTCACACATGTAATCCCAGCACTTTGGGAGGCTGAGGCAAGAGGAACACTTGAGCCCAGGAGATTGAGGCTGCAGTGAGCTGTGACTGCACCACTGTACTCCAGCCTGGGCAACAGAACGAGACCCTGTCTTAAAAAAAAAAAAAAAGAAGTCTAGCACATACAATGATATATAGTACATAATATTTGATAATGATAACAAATGACTATGCTACTGGTTTATGTATGTATGTATTTTATTATTATTTTTTTTTGAGACAGAGTCTCGCTCTCTCGCCCAGGCTGGAGTGCAGTGGCTTGATCTCGGCTCACTCCAACCTCTGACTCCCAGGTTCAAGTGATTCTCCTACCTCAGCCTCCCGAGTAGCTGAGATTTATATGCCACCAAGCCTGGCTAATCTTTGTATTTTTTGCTAGGTTTCTCCATGTTGGCCAGGCTGGTCTCGAACTCCTGACCTCAAGTGATCTGCCCGCCTTGGCCTTTCAAAGTGTGGGGATTACAGGCGTGAGCCGCTGCACCCGGCCTATGTATTTATTATACTACACTTTTTATCATTATTTTATAGTGTACTCCTTCTACTTATTAAAAAAAGAAGTTAACTATAAAACGGCCTCAGGCAGTTCCCTCAGGAAGTATCCAGAAGGCATTGTTGTCATAGGCGATGACAGCCCCAGGAGTTTTAGAAGACTTTTCAGTGGGATAAGATGTGGAGGTGGAAGACAGTGATATTGATGATGCTGATCCCATGTAGGCCCAGGCTAATGTGTGTGTTTGTGTCTTCGTTTTTAACAAAAAAGTTTAAGAAGTAAAAACAAAAATTAAAAATAGCAAAAAGCTTATAGAATAGGAATATAAAGAAAAAAATTTATTTTATTTTTATTTATTTATTTATTTTGAGATGGAGACTTGCTCTGTCACCCAGGCTGGAGTGCAGTGGCGAGATCTCAGATCACTGCAACCTCCACCTCCTGGGTTCAAGCGATTCTCCTCCCTCAGCCTCCCAAGTAGCTGGGACTACAGTTACCCGCCACCATGCCTGGGCTAATTTTTTGTATTTTTAGTAGAGACGGGTTTTCACCATGTTGGCTGGGATGGTCTCGAACTCCCGACCTCAAGTGTTCCGCCCACCTTGGCCTCCCAAAGTGCTGGGATTACGGGCATGAGCCACCGCGCCCGGCCTAAGAAAATATTTTTGTACAGCTGTATGATATGTTTGTGTTTTAAAGTAAATGTTATTACAAAAGAGTAAAAAAGTTAAAAAGAATTGGAAGGCTTATAAAGTAAAAAAGTTACAGTAAGCTGAGGTTAGTTATTACTAAAGAAAGAAAAATACACATTTTTTGAGAAGTGATCTCACTCTGTGGCCCAGGCTAAAGTGCAATGGTGCCGTCTTTGCTCACTGCAGCCTCAAACCCCTGGGCTCCAGTGATCTTCCCCCACCTCAGCCTCCTGAGTAGCTGGGATGACAGACACATGCCACCATGCCCAGCTAATTATTTTATTTATTTATTTATTTATTTACTTATTTATTTATTTATTTTTAGTAGAGACAGAGTTTAGCTGTGTTGCCCAGGCTGGTCTTGAACCCCTGGCCTCAAGCGATCCTCCTACCTCGGCCTCCCAAAGTGCTGGGATTACAGCTGTGAACCACCAAGCCTGGCCAAGAAATTTTTTTGTAATAAAAATCATGTAGTGACGGGGAGCAGTGGCTCACACCTGTAATCCCAGCACTTTGGGAGGCTGAGGCGGGCAGATCACCTGAGGTCAGGAGTTCAAGACCAGCCTGACCACCATGGTGAAACCCTGTCTCTATTAAAAATACAAAATTAGCCGGGCGTGGTGGCGCATGTCTGTAATCCTAGCTACTTGGGAGGCTGAGGCAGGAGAATCGCTTGAACCCAGAAAGTGGAGATTGCAGGGAGCAGAGATGACACCATTGCATGCCAGCCTGGGCAACAAGAGTAAAACTCTGTCTTAAAAAAAAATCGCCCAGGCGTGGTGGCTCACGCCTGAAATCCCAGCACTTTGGGAGGTTGAGGCGGGCAGAACACCTGAGGTCAGGAGTTGGAGACCAGCCTGGCCAACATGTTGAAACCCCATCTCTACTAAAAATACAGAAATTAGCTGGGCGTGGTGGTGTGCACCTGTAGTCCCAGCTACTTGGGAGGCTGAGACAAGAGAATCGCTTGAACCCTGGAGGCAGAGGTTGCAGTGAGCTGAGATCATGCCACTGCACTCCAGCCTGGGCGACAGAGCACTATTCCATCTCAAAAAAAAAAAAAAAAAAGTTTAAAAACAAGCAAAATTCAAGTATGTATTGTTTAAGTGTACATGTAGATGTCATAAAATCAGGGTGAGAATAATAGGCATAAGTTCAGGATGGTCGTTCCTCTGTGTGAAGGAGGGCAGGTGGGTAGGAATATGTATTAGTCCGTTTTCACACTGCTGATACAGGCATGCCCGAGACTGGGTAATTTACAAAAGAAATAGGTTTAATGGACTCACAGCTCCACGTGGCTGAGGAGGCCTCACAATCATGGCGGAAGGTGAAAGGCACGTCTCACATGGCAGCAGCCAAGAGAAATAGCCTGTGCAGGGAAACTCCTCTTTATAAAACCATCAGATCTCATGAGATTTATTCACTATCATGAGAACAGCAGCATGAAAAAGACCCACCCCCATGATTCAATGACCTCCCACCAGGTCCCTCCCATGACACGTGGGAATTGTGAGAGCTACAATTCAAGATGAGATTTGGCGGGGGACACAGCCAAACTATATCAGAAGGCACAAGTGACATAAGTTATTGGTGACATTCTAGTCCCTGAGTTGGGTGGTGTTCATGGATGTTCATTGTATCAGCCAATCAATCAATTAATCAACCAGATGGAGATAAAAAGGGCCAGCTATGGGTCAATGATCGGGTGTTCCATGAACCAAAATTCATGATGAATCTAACTCTCTAAACTTGAGGTCCGAGAAGCTCTGCTGACTGAAGAACATCAGCCAGGCTCAGACAATGTGGGTCTGGGTCCTTGCTGTCTCCCGAGCTCCTGGAATTTCTCCTTCCATGTATCTGTTTCTCTCCCAGAGCAGGCTTGCAACTGTACTCAGAACTCCCATGATGACACTGGCCCAGAGGAGGAGAGAAAAGAAAGAATCCTTTTCCCACTTCACATAGAACATTCTGGAAATGCAGCCCCAGAATTTGTCAGCTGGGTGGACAGATCTGTGCCTCCAGGACTTGTGTCTTATTTGCTTGAGGGAAGGAGTTGAGAAATTGTACCTTGCAGAACATGTACAGCCGTTCAAGTTGTACACTGCCCAACTGCAGAGGCCACAGTTTAATTGGAGTCTAAGGTTCTAAGTTGTTGCAGTCTATGTGAGTGGCTTCCCTGGAGTTGTGCAAGGAACAAACATGGATGGCATTCCTGTCTCAGAGCCCAGCCCCAGAAGTGTGGGATTAAAGGCGGAAAAATGAGGGTTGCTGTGGGATATCTTTCGGGAGGACTCCCTACTGTCCACCATCCTCCCTGCTGTGGGTGCCCCGGTCTGTAGAGGCTGGTGGAATGTCCAGCTCAGCGATCTCCCCTGGAGGGTGATTGAGGTCAGGTTTAGGGGATGAGTAACTAGCAGGAAAAGGCATCCCTAGTTGGCAGGGGGTGGGGGAGAAGTTGTATGGCAGGATGGGGGGCGAGTGTTAACAAATGGTTCACCTCACCCTCCCTGCTTCTGGCAGACCCCCGGAGTGCAAGCTGCTGGGTGCTGGGCGATGTGGCTAATAACTGAGCCAGGACAACAGGATGTAACTTGTCATAATTATAGTCTGTCCTGTTGCTGCTGGCTCAGCTCTTGGAGGAGGGTGTGCACAGGTTCCAAGCAGCAGAAAGCCCACATTAGCACAGCAAATTGGGCCCATTTGGCAACCTCCAGGCCCCTGGGAGGGTTCCGAGCCTGGGCACTGCCTGCCTGAGCCACTGTCCACTACAGGGATGCCTAGATCCTCTGGGAGGTCCCACCTGAACTTCCAGGTTATTCACCTCCCAGGCATCCCTTAGGGAATGGGGTGGGTGGAGTCGCGGCTGGCATTGCAGTGGTGCACCTTGAGCAGGCCCCTCGCTGCTCCAGGCCTCAGTTTCCTCAGCCGTCCAGCAGGACGAGGTCGGCCTGGCTCTTAGGGGAAAGATAGGGAAACCAGGCATCCAGCAGGGCCCAGCTCATCCTCTCTCTCCTCCTCCACGCAGGCTCCGGGGATTCTGCCCACCTCATCATTCTCTTCTGCTCCAAACCCCTGCAGAAATGCCACGGGGGCTGGAGAATGCACGTACCTGAGCTCCTACACTCCCCTCACCCCTGTCCCACTTGCAGAGGGCAGGGACTGACAGGGCAGAAGGATGAAAGGGCTAGAGCTGGCAGAAGGTTGGTGAAGCAGCTGGCTTAGGAGGCTCAGCCCTCCTGAGCCTCAGTTTCTTTCTTTCTCCTTCTTTCCTTCCTTCCTTCCTTCCTTCCCTTCCTTCCCTCCCTTCCCTTCCCCTTCCTTCCTTCCCTTCCCTTCCCTTCCCCTTCCTTCCTTCCTTCCTTCCTTCCTTCCTTCCTTCCTTCCTTCCTTCCTTCCTTCCTTCCTTCCTTTCTTTCTTTCTTTCTTTCTTTCTTTCTTTCTTTCTTTCTTTCTCTCTTTCTTTCACAGAGTCTCACTCTGTTGCCTAGGCTGGAGTGCAGTGGCACGATCTGGGCTCACTGCAACCTCTGTCTCCCGGGTTCAAACGATTCTCCTGCCTCAGGCTCCCGAGTAGCTGGGATTATAGGCGTGCAGCACCACACCTGGCTAGTTTTTGTATTTTTACTAGAAACAGGGTTTTGCCATGTTGTCTAGGCTGATCTCAAACTCCTGACCTCAGGTGATCCACCCACCTCGGCCTCCCAAAATGCTGGGATTATAGGCATGAGCCTCCACGCCCAGCCTGTGAGCCTCAGTTTCTACAGCTGTCAATGGAGAGTGAGGCAAGAGGGAGCAGTGTAAGCCCCTCCCTCCCCCAGGGCTTGGGTCAGGGGCTTAAGGAAGGGCATGTGGGGACACGCAGACCCAGAGAGGTGATGCCCCAGTCCAGGCTGAGTCAGAGGGAGCTGGCATTGAAGGAAGGCCCAGCCTCCTCTCAAGGTCACTCTCAGCAGCAAAAGGGGGCCCGACCTCTCTTCCTTTCTTGGCCTCCTTTCCAAATGCAGGCCTTCCTGGCTGTAGCCAGAGAGTCACCACCTGCCATGCTGTGCCACCCCCCACTGAGTTTCCTGGACTTCCTGGGCTCACATAGTTGGCTGTGGGACAGAGTCCCTCAGGCCTGGATCTGAATTCTGGCTCCCCTACTGTATTAGCCAGGGTTCCCTAGAGGGACAGAACTAATAAGATGGATGTATATATGAAAGGGAGTTTATTAAGGAGAATTGTCTCACACAATCCCATAACAGGCCGTCTGCAAGCTGAGGAGCAAGGAAGCCAGTTGGAGTCCCAAAACCTCAAAAGTCAGGAAGCCGGCTGGGTGCGGTGGCTCACACCTGTAATCCCAGCACTTTGGGAGGCTGAGGCGGGAGGATCGTTTGAGCCCAGGAGTTTGAGGTTAGCCTGAGCAACATAGCGAGACCTCGTCTCTACAAAAGATACACAAATTAGCCAGGCATGGTGGTGTGCACCTGTAGTCCCAGCTACTCGGGAGGTTAAAGTGGGAGGATTGCTTGAGGCTGGGAGGCTGTAGTGAGCCCTGATTGTGCCACTTCACTCCAGCCTAGGCAACAGAGTGAGACCCTGTCTCAAAAAAAAGAAAAAAAAAAAAGAGCAAACAAGATCCAGCCACATGTTCCCAGACCTGGCTCAGAGACCTCATCTACTCACTTTTAGGGTGACTTCCAGTCCCACTGGGCAGAAAAACCCTACCCCTTTCTCCTCCTGTCAGCCATTGATTCTACAGCTTTTTTTTTCTTTTCTTTTCTTTTTTTTTTTTTTTTTTTTTTGAGACAGGGTCTTCCTCCATCTCCCAGGCTGGAGTGCAGTGGTGTGATTTCGGCTCACTGCAACCTCCGCCTCCTGGGTTCAAATGATTCTCCTGCCTCAGCCTCCTGAGTAGCTGGGATTACAGGTGTGTGCCACCACACCCGGCTAATTTTTTTTTTTTTTGTAAGCAGAGATGGGGTTTCACAATGTTAGCCAGGCTGGTCTCGAACTCCTGACCTCAGTGATCCTCCCACCTTGCCTCCCAAAGTGCTTGGATTACAAGCGTGAGCCACCGTGCCTGGCCATCCACAGCTATTTTTACAGCAGGATGCTGTGACCACAGGCCCCTTGAATGGGATGCCTCTCTTGAGCTTCTGTGGGCGAGAGAGCACATTCACCAGCCCGCTGAGCTGCAGCTATAAAACAGGCAAGAGGCATTCCAGGAGGCATTCTTAGTTTAAAGGTTTCTTTGTCTTTTCTAAGTGATCTCCAGTTGGAAGAAGGCTCCAGATGGGACGGGAGCTGGGGAGGAGGGGACACCAGGGGCTTTCGGAAAAGACAGCCCACCGTCTCTAACTGTCAACATCTCAGGCATCCCACCTGGCAATGAGAGAGTTGATGGACATACGAGGCTATTTCCTCTGGCTTAAGGGAGAAAGAGGCGAACTGGCCCTGAGTCAGGGTCTGTCTGAAATGCTATGTGTGGCTGCTCTGGCCTGAGCCGGCCTCTAGTTCTCGGTCGGCTCCAGCCTGTCAGGAGCCTTGATGGCTGCAGGAGCTCAGGGGCTGTGTGCACCCCCAATCTGGAGCCATTTTCTCAATATGTGACAGAGATGGGTAAAGGAGATACAGATGGGGGAGTGGGCAAATGGCATTCTGTGGCTTTGGGTGTTTCCTGTGGACCCAGCCTACTGTGTGTCCTTGGGCCACAGGGTCTAAGGGAAGCCATGGTGCAGGGCTGTGACATTTGGGATGGGGCGAGGGGTCATCCAATGAGTCATGCTGCCCTGGCCAGGCCAGAAAGGGCAGGCCGTGAGGGCGTCTCTCTTCCACTAAGGACACTGGAGCCTTGGCACAGGAAGCACGTTCTGGAAGCCCAACAGAGGCATCTCTTGGCTCAGTGTCTTGTCACAGGCAGCATGTCCTCTGCCAATAACCAGACAGGATTGGTAGCCGCAGTCTACAAGCGCCAGGCATGTAACAAACTTGCCAAGTGAAAACTGATTCCATGTGACAGGTGGAGAAGCTGAGGATTCTGGGAAATTCAGTGATGTGGGTGAGGTCACAGAGCAAGTGGTCCAGCAGGACTTGAAGTCACTTTCATCTGATTTCAAATTCATGCTCTCATCTTCCCCAGAGCCCTGAGGAGTAGACTATGGCTGTGTAGCCTGTCCCCCTACAGAGCACATTTAAATCTCACTGTGATGGTTATTATGATATTTTGTAAAGAATCAGCCCAAAGCACAGCGCATGGTGGCTCATGCCTGTAATCCCAGCAGTTTGGGAGGCCGAAGCGGACAGATCACTTGTGGTCAGGACTTCAAGGCCAGCCTGGCCAACATGGTGAAACCAGTCTCTACTAAAAATACAAAAATTAGCTGGGCGTGGTGTTGGGTGCCTGTAATCCCAGCTACTCGGGAGGCTGAGGCAGAAGAATCACTTAAACCCAGGAGGTGGAGGTTGCAGTGAGCTGAGATCACACCACTATACTCCAGCCTGGGCAACAGAGTGAGACTCTATCTCAAAGAAAAACAAAAAACAAAAAAAAACCCCAAAGCATAGCAGTGTGCTCAGGGGTTCTTATGGATCAGAAATTCAGAAAAGGGATGGTGAGGGTGGCTTGTCATAATGTCTAGGGCCTCAGCTCGGGGGACTCTAAGGATGGGGATGACTCCATGGCTGGTGCCAGAATCACTTGAAGACTGGTCATTCACACGTTTGTTGTCTGGGAGGCTCGGATGATGACTCAAAGGCAGGGACTGCTGACTGGAGTACAGACACGGGGCCTCTTCGTGTGACTTGGTCTTCCCTACAACATGGCCGCCTCATGGTAGTCAGACTCGTCATAGAGTGACTCAGGGCTCCAGCACAAAGTCCCAGCAAATAAGGTAGAAGCTCCATGGCTTTTTGTGACTTAACCTCAGAAGTCACATAGTGACACTTCTACCCTACTTTCTTGGTCAAAGCAGTCACAAAAGCCTGCCTGTTGGCAAGGAATGATGTTATAGATCCCGCCTCTCCATGGAAAAAGTGTCAAAGAATTTGCAGGCATTTTTTACGGCAGCCTGGGATTGCTCAGGGAAGGTCAGAAAGTGGCCTAGGCTCTCAAATTCAGTAGGTAGGTGTGATGGCTAATATTAAGTATCAACTTGATTGGATTGAAGGATGCAAAGTATTGTTTCTGGGTATGTCTGTGAGGGTGTTGGTAGAGGAAATTAACATTTGAGTCGGTGGACTGAGAGAAGCAGACCCACCCTTAATCTGTGTGGGCAGCGTCTAATCAGCCAGTGAGGCCAGAATAAAGCAGAAAGAAGAAAGTGGAATAAGAAGACTCACTGAGTCTTCCAGCCTTCATCTTCTGTGCTGGAAGCTTCCTGCCCTCGAACATCAGACTCCAAGTTCTTCAGCTTTTGAACTCTTGAACTTAAACCAGTGGTTTGCCAGGAGCTCTTGGGCCTTCGGCCACAGACTGAAGGCAGCACTGTTGGCTTCCTTTTGTTTTTGTTGTTTTTTGTTTTTTGTGTTTTCTTTTGAGACACAGTCTCACTCTGTTACCCAGGCTAGAGTGCAGTGGTGCTATCTCAGCTCACTGCAACTTCCACCTCCCAGGTTCAAGCGATTCTCCTGCCTCGGCCTCCCGAGTAGCTGGGATTACAGACGCACACCACCACGCCTGGCTAATTTTTGTACTTTTAGTAGAGACAGCGTTTTGCCGTGTTGTCCAGGCTGGTCTTGACCTCCTGAACTCAGGTGATCCACCCACTTTGGCCTCCTAAAGTTCTGAGATTACAGGCGGGAGCCACCACGGCCGTCCGAGAGGTGTTCTAAAGCAGGCTGGAGACTGATTGTGATGAGTAGGGAAACATACAATGTGGCCAAAGGCTTGGAGGAAGGAGATTTCGGGAAGAATTTGCAGAACAGCCAAGGTCAGGGTGATGGCTGGCCAGGGAAGGGGTCAAGGGCTGTGGGGCTGGGGGACAGGGACAGCCTGCTGACCCTGAGGAGTTATAGGTGAGAGGTTAGGGGTGAGGGTTGAAAGGGGAAGGCATCTCCCCGGCTTGTTCCAGTGTTGTCTGGGGAACAGCTGTCCCCCTGCCAGGCAGCTGGGCTCGTTCCAAGCTCCCTTCCTGGCTTGGCCACTCCCAGGACCTCAGTTACCTCTGGAAACCGAGAGTGCTAAGTATTCTCTGACTCAACCCCAGGCAGACCTGGAATTCCAGTTCCAGAGGACACTTACTCTCCAGGGTCCCCTGGCTGGGAGCAGAGACCTCTCAGAGTGTCTCTGACCCCAAGAACTGGCCCTGGCCCTGTGGTCAGTTGAGTCAAACAGTGTGACCCAGCCACGACAACTGACTCATTGCAGTGTCACCTGGGTGAGGGGGCTGCAGCTTGGAGAGGCTGCAAGTTCTGTCAAGGACTCCATCTACACAGGGGGAAAGGGGGACAGGGGAAGGCTCTGCCCTCCAAACCCCAGGCCGATGACCCCAAAGCCCACCTCCTTCCAATGGCACTAAGCTTCCCGATGGCAGCCTCAAGGGGTCCTGGCTGCTGGCACCATTTCTCAGATGGGGAAAACTGAGGGTCCCACTGTGGGTGCAGAACTCACGGCTCCCCCTTCTCAAGGCCACTGCACCCTCACACTTCCCGCCCCCCAGGAACAAACATCTCCCAACCATCTCACCCCGGGGTTTTCACGTCTCTACCAGATTTCTCACCGGTTCTTCCTGCCTCCGGTCCTATGAAGGAGGAGGCCAGGGGAGGAAATCCACTCAGACTAATTTGTAAGCCCGGTGTGATTCACCAGCGCCGCTTCCCCTCCTCCGGGCAGGCGGGGGGGCTCTCCGCTTGCTCAGGCCTGTCCCCGGCCTTTGGGAGCCCCTGCCACGGTCCTGGGCGTGCTCCCCGGAGGCAAGAGCCCTTGCTTGCAGAGGCCTCAGGGCAGCAGGAAGCCAGAGGCAGGAAGCAGGAGTTATAGGTCTGCTACCCACTCTGTAAGCCCAGAGCCAGGAGGCCCCAGGGCCAGGCTCACAGACCGGGCATGGAAAGCCTGCACCCTAGCCACTGTCGCGGTCACACAGGCCCCCTTCTGTAGCAGGTCCAGGCGGCTGGGACTGGAATCCAGGCTCCCGTCCCCAGAGCTGGGTTCTCCTTTCCGCCTGGCTTGTTGAACACCTGTGGAACGTGTGGTTTTTCTCCCCGGAGAGGAACGCCAGGACACCAGGAGAGCAGCCCTGTCGGGGAAACTGAGGCACACGGTTTCCTGCTGCAGAAAGCGGGCTGCACAGCATCATGGCTGGACCTGGCCCCAGCTCTGGGAGGAGCACTCAGTCACAGGAGTTTAGGGACATCAGAAATAGCTGTAGTCAGGGATGACTGGGAGGGAGCAGGAGGAGGGGAGAGTTTGGATGAGCAGAACCTTTTGGAAGCTTCCTTCTGGAAACACTAGAAAGAGGGGCTCTTGTCCTGGCCCTCCCTCTCTCTCTCTCTTTTTTTTTTTTTTTTTTTTTGTTTTAGAAATGAGACCTTGATCTGTTGTCCAGGCTGGAGTGCAGTGGTGCAATCACAGCTCATTGAAGCCTCAACCTCCTGGGCTCATGTGATCCTCCCACCTCAGCCTCCTAAGTAGCTGGGCCTGCAGGCATGTGCCACTGATACAGGAGGGGGGACAGGGAAGTGCTGAGAGGAGAAAGGCAGGGTCCCTGGCAAGGGCTCCACCCTTGGGCCTGTGCCCACGGACCTAGGTGAGGACAGGCACTCCTGTTTATATGCCCAAATGTCACATTTTCCAAGACCACCCTGGCCCACCACGCCCCCCGCCCCCCCGCCCATCCTGTGCCTATGAAAACCCTGAGACCCCAGTGGGTACACACACAGGTGGCTGGACATCAAGAGGAGCAGAGGATCGGAAGAGCACACCGACAGCACTGGCAGATGCTGGCAGGCCATCGACTGGCTGAATAACACAAATGCCCAGGGGAATTTGGCTGGGGATGGTCAGAGGAGAGTCTGGCTGCTGAGCACCTTGACTTCAGGGGAAAAATCACCTTCCCACTCCATCCCCCTTCTGGCTCCCCATCATCTGCTGAGAGCTACTTCCACCACTCAATAAAACCTCGCACTCATTCTCCAAGCCCACATGTGATTCAATTTTCACAGTACACCAAGGCAAGAACCCCAGGATACAAAAAGCCCTTTGTCCTTGCAATAAGGCAGAGGGTCTAACTGAGCTGATGAACACAAGCCACCTACAGATGGCAAAAGTAAAAGAGCATCCTGTAACACACGCCCACTGGGGCTTCAGGAGCTGTAAGCATCCACCCCTAGACACTGCCGTGGGGTCGGAGCCCCATAGCCTGCCTGTCTGCATGGTCCGCCTAGAGGTTTGAGCAGCTGGGCATGGAAGAAGCGAGCCACACCCCCATCGCATGCCCTATGAACGGGATAAGGGAACTTTTTCACTTCACCACTATGCCTGACTAATTTTTTAATTAAAAAAAATTTTTTTGTAGAAACAGAGTTTCACCATGTTGCTTAGGCTGGTCTCAAACTCCTGGCCTCAAGTGATCCTCCCTCCTCGGCCTCCCAAAGTGCTGGGATTACAGGTATGAGCCACTGTGCCTGGCCTCTGGCCCCACTTCTTATCTGCCTTGGGTGAGTGACTTAACCCATGCGTGCCTCAGTTTCCTCATCTGGAAAATGGGATATGGATTGAATGTGAGGACACGTGTTTTAAGACATGGCCTGACCTTCTGTGTTGTATATTAGCTGCTCTTCTTATTATTATTATGATATTCCCTTCCCCAAAGGCAGGGGATCAGCTGTACCCGGGGCTGAAGGCCTGAGGCCAGCTCCAGGGACAGTTAAGCTCTCCAGCCCCTGGGGACCCGTGGGCTCACTGCCTGAACCCAGCACTGCCGGCCCTGGCAGCTGTTCAGATATGGCGGGCCCCAGATGGACAGTGGCAGCCTCTGAGGCCGAGCTGGGGCTGCTGGGGCTGCACTAGACACAGGAGGGGCTTTCCAGGGCAGGTGTGGGCTCTGTTTGGCAGATCTACTAGAGAATTCTTGGGCTGGGCCAGGCCTGGTGGGGATGGATGTGTGTGTGTGAGGCCAGGGTGGAATGGAGGTCTCATTTTTCAGTTCTTCCTCATCAGAGTCACCTCCAGTTTTCTGTTTTCTTTTTTTTAAGAGACAATATCTCACTCTGTCGCCCAGGCTGGAGTGCAGTGGCACAATCATAGATCACTGCAGCCTCAAACTCCTGGACTCAAGCAATCCTCCTGCCTCAGCCTCCTGAGTAGGTGGGACTACAAGAGCACACCACCATGCTCGGCTAATTTTTTTGATATTTTGTAGAGATAGGGGTCTCACTATGTTGCCCAGGCTGGTCTTGAACTCCTGGCCTGAAGCGATCCTTCCCTCTTGGCCTCCGAAAGCTCTGGGATTACAGGCGTGAGCCACTGCGCCCACCCCATTTTTCTTTTATTTGTCCTGTTGCTTTCTCTGTTCATTGAGCATTTCAGTGCCCTGAGGGGGTCCCCTGGCCTGGGGGTGCTTAATGGACACCCTGATAATAGGCATATTGGTAGAAGGGGCCCCCGAGGGCCAGGTTGGTGCAGAAACTCTCTCCATAAGCAGACCGGGGGTTTCATACACTCCCCCCTATTCCTATGAGATGGCTGAGCCTCCTAGAGGGTGATGTCCCACCCAGAGTCCCACAGCTCCAGAGGTCCGGCCACACTGCAGTCTGAGTGGGTCCCAGCCAGCATGGGTGGCCCCACCCTGGGCAACACTCCCTGACGGCTCAAGGCCAAGTCTTCCCATTGGGGTAGGCAGCCTCAACTTACTCTGTGTCCTTGGCCAAATGCCCCTTCCTGGGTCTTGGTCCCTTGGCTCTAGAGAAAACAGTTGGCCCAGGGCTCTCGGAGATCCTGGAGGCTTAGGCAGTCCCTGCGTCCGTGGTATTTGCCCACGGATTCCCCCCAACCCTATCCACTCTGAATGGCCCAAGGCAGGTGCCTGGCAGGGAGGTCTCCGTCCTGTCATGGATCACCTTCCACACTGGGCCCGGTGCATGCCAGGGGCCCTGGGAGGACCACTATTTAAGGGCCATCTCTGAGCTATCCCCAGGCCAACTGCAGCTTCAGGGAGCTCTCCAGACCATGGTAGGCTGGGGTTGTTCTGCTCTGCCACGGCTACCTTCCTCTCACCTCCACCTCCTCCCTGGGGAGCTCAGGCCTGTGGCTGTTGTGTCTTTGGCTTCAGCACTGCGGTCCCCTCCCTCCCACCCCTGCCCCTGCCCCTGCCCCTGCCCCTGACCTCACTCCGCAATTCCTTTTCTTTTTTAGACAGAATCTCACTCTGTTGCCCAGGTTGGAGTGCGGTGGCTCGATCTCGGCTCACTGCAACCTCCACCTCCTGGCTTCGAGTGAGGTTCCTGTCTCAGCCTCCCGAGTAACTGGGATTACAGGCGCCCGCCACCACACATGGCTATTTTTTTTTTTTTGTATTTTTGGTAGAGACGGGGTTTCACCATGTTGTCCAGGTTGGTCTCGAACTCCTGACCTCAAGTGATTCACCCGCTTCGGCCTCCCAGAGTGCTGGGATTACAGGCGTGAGCCACAGCGCCCGGCCTCATTTCTCAACTTTGACCTTGTTCTGTGACCTTGACTCTGTGTGTGATTCTGACCTTCACCTCCTGCCTGAATTCATCCTGCCTCTCACTGACCTTCCTGACCTTAATCTGATGTTGTCCCTGGTCTGACCTGCTCTTTGCTCTTGATCCCATGCTTGGACCTGCCCCACTCGGGACTCCTCTCCACGTGGGTCCTGATTTGAGCCTCTGCTTTCCTGGACTTTGTGGGGACTGCTGGGGAATGAGGAAGAGGAGGGTGGAGAGAGACGAGGTGGGCAGGGCCTGGGGGCTTCACAGGGGCAGTGGCTCTGAGGGCAGGGGCCCCCTGGGAGGGCCGGGGGTCAGTATTTGGGGCAGCGTGGCACCTCTGGAGCTCCGAGGTCCCCCTGTTCACCTTTGCCTGTGCACCTCATGTGACGCAGGGCTTGCTCTGGGTTCCTGCCCCTGGGGACTCCCTGCGGGGTATCAATCTGGCTGTCCCTCTGTGCCTGTGTCTCACCTGCCTCATTAGTTAGTCCCTCTCGGCACAGAGCTCTGACTTGGCTGTCAGCCTCGGCTTGTCACCTCCTGACTGCCCGAGGGCCTAGGGGCTTCTCTGTCTTGTCTTCTCAGCGCTTGTCCCTCCTCCGAGTCAGCCTCTATGGACTGCCTGTCACCAGCGGGACTGTGATCTTCTTGGGGACCAAGACGGGGCCTGATTCAGCCCTGGGTCCCCAGGACGGACCTGCCTGGAGGTCCGTAGGTGTCTAATACATGTCCTGATGCTTTGAGGTTGACCTGCTCTAGGTTTTATAAATGGGGAAACAGGCTCAGAGAAGACAAGTGAATTTCTTAACATCACGGAGGCTGGGAGCAGCCAAGCCAGGCTTTGAACCCAGATCCGGGTGACCCCCCCTTCTTCCCTGAGATGTTCCTTTCAGGGGAATTTTATTTTTCAGGGGCCCATTCTCAAAAGGAATTTTCAAGACAGCTGGGCTGCAAAGACCCTAGGGTTTAGGACTCTTGTGCTGTAAAGAAAATGATCTCTCCCTCCCTCGTGGAGCTCTGGGACAGTGTAGGGTGGGGGTGTAACCAGGGGGATCATGAGAGGCTGGGGGCGTGGGGGGCAGGGACTGAGGACGCCGAGGCCACAGCCAGGTGTGCCAGAGAAAGGGCAGAACCTCCCACAGACGGAAGTGATCATTTTTTATTAATCGGAGGAAATGTATATGTAATTATGTGGGATGAACTCTGTGGGGAAGTTCTTTTCTTTATGATGTCTGAAAGGATTTATAAATATTACAGAGGTTTTACAGCATCATAACGTCCCGGCCGCCCTGGCAGCCCCCTTTCAAAGGATTAGGAGAGACAGAGCACCCAGTAAAAGCTAATTATAAGTCAGCCGGCGCTTCTGCCCCTGCCCTCGACGACGCGGGCTCCTGGGCGGGGGTGGGGACAGCAGTGAGCTGGGGGCAGGGGAGACCACACAGGCGTTGGGGGAGGGGAGCAGGGGATGAGGGGACTCCTCTGCTCTGGTGGGGGCAGGTAGACAAGGGCTTGGCAGGAGAGGGTGGTACAAGTTGTGACGGAGACAGGAGCTGGTGGTGGGAACCCATTTCTGTGCCATCCCGTCCACCTCCCCGTCTGGAATCCAGCAATTCTTTTCCCCCATCGAGAGCCCATTCTGGGGCTCACAGCGCCCCTGGGGGCTGTAAGGATGGCTGCCCAGGAACAGGACTCTTGAGGGTCTTGGGGACCTAGGGCTTTCAGCAAATGCCCAATGGTGGACTTCCAGACACCCTGACATCACAGAGGCAGGAAGGCTGGCCAGAAACCATCTGACTACTCAACGTGGGTGGCCTCCTGCTTTGCCTGCTGCGTGGGTTGGCCCTGAGTTCTGGGCAGCTATTTCCAAGCACTGGCTGATCCCCACTTTGAGCCAGGTTCAGGGTGGGGATAGGAGAGATCAGAGATGGGGCAAAGTGGGTTTTACCCCTGAGATGTCCACTTAGTCGAGGACACAGACGCACAGATATGTCAGGACAGTGTGATACATGCTGTAGGGGTGACAGTCCACAGTGGAGCCATGTGGGGAGGGGAGAGTGGCCTGGGGTCAGGGAAGGCTTCTCGGAGGAGGTGACAGGGAGCTGAGCCTGCAGGATGGGTAGGAGTCTCTAGATAGATTCTCCAGGGAAGGCATTCCAAGCAGGGAATTCCAACAGAGCAACGCATTCCAGGCAGGGGCAAACGCTGGGAGGGAAGGCAGCTCTGGGACAGAGTAGAGGGCCTGGGTGAGAGGGAGTAGCAGCTCTGGGACAGGGCAAGAGGCAGATCCTGTGGTGGGGCTAAGAGCGCAGTTGTTCTCCTGAGAACACGAAGAAGGTTTTTAGCAGCTGGCGATAAGGTCAGATTCCAGCTGTAGTGGAGGATGCCGGGGTAGAGATGGGGAGGCTGAAGGAAGAGATGCCCGCCTCTGTTCTGCAGCACGGGCACCGGCTGCCCACCTTCCGGAGCCCGGGGGACAGGGCCAGGAAGCAGCTGTCCAGCTCTGTGGGGGTGCACGCCGTGCAGGCTTCTTGCCATGGGCTGGGAAAACGTCCTGATTACCTGCAAGGCTTCAGGGGTAGCCTTGTCTGTCTGCTGTAGGCACCGGGAAGGGCAAAGCGGTGTCATTCTGGACCGTGATGCCCTGGGAGGTGAGACAGGGGGTGGGGGCTGACCCTCGAGGCAGGGGCCGCTGCAAGGCCTTGTCTGCTACCTCGCAGGCACCGAGAAGAGCTCGGAAAAGAGCAGAAGGCACCGCCAGCTCCAACGTCTTCTCCATGTTTGATCAGTCCCAGATCCAGGAGTTTAAAGAGGTTGGTCTGCTGCCCCATGGGGCTGTTATGAGGATTCTTGGAATGCATGCCAGTTGCTCAAGGAGCTGGGCAGAGGCTCAGTCCTCAGTCTCGAGGGGCTGAAGATGTCATTATTACTATTATTATTATTATTATTTGTTTGTTTGACAGAGTCTGGCTCTGTCGCCCAGGCTGGAGCGCAATGGCATGATCTCGGCTCACTGCAACCTCTGCCTCACGGGTTCAAGCAATTCTCCTGCCTCAGCCTCCCAAGTAGGTGGGATTGCAGGCACGCACCACCATGCCCAGCTAATTTTTTGAATTTTTAGTAGAGATGGGGTTTTGCCATGTTGGCCAGGCTGGTCTGGAACTCCTGACCTCAGGTGATCCACCCGCCTCGGCCTCCCAAAGTGCTGGGATTACAGACGTGAGCCACAGTGCCCAGCGCCCATTACTACATTTTTAAATGATTAGGTTTTTTTTTTTTTTTTTTTTTTTGAGACAGGGTCTTGCTCTGTTACCCAGGCTGGAGTACAGTGTTGCAGTCAATGCTCCCTGCAGCCTCAAATTCCTGGGCTCAAGCCATCCTCCCACCTCAGCCTCCTGAGTAGCTGAAACTACAGGCATTCATCACCATGCCTGGCTAATTTTTTAATGTTTTGTAGAGACAGGGTCTCATTATTTCGCCCAGGCTTGTCTCAAACTCCTGACCTCAAGCAATCCTCCTGCCTCTGCCTCCCAAATTGCTGGGACTGCAGGCATGAGCCACCAAGCCTGGCCAATGACATTATTTTTTGAGGCCACCATGGCCATGGCCCAGAGCCTGGGTGAGTGACCTGTTGCCCTCAGGCAGCCTCTTTGTCTCTCTGTACCTGACCCTGTGCTTGCTGTGTGACCTCGGGCCAGACTTTTCTCTCTCTGAGCCTCAGTTTCCCTGTCTGCAAACTGGAGTTGCTGTGAGCCTGAAATGAGGGGTTGGGGATGGAGCCCATCCCAGCTGGGCTGCCAGAGGGACCTGCCCCGAGGCTCCTTGGGCAGCAGTCGGCAGGAGGACGGTCCCTGGGGGAGGTGGCCGGGCTTGGAAGGGCAGGTGACTACTTAGCACCTGTGTCTCTGCCAGGCTTTCACCATCATGGACCAGAACCGTGATGGCTTCATCGACAAAGAGGACTTGAGGGACACCTTTGCCGCGCTGGGTGGGTGAGCCAGCAGCCGGGGGAGATTAGGGCCAGGCCAGCCAGACAGAGTGGGCGGTTGGGGCCAGCAGGGCAGGGCTCGCGGTGAGCGTGAGAGGCTCCTGTGCTGGGGAGCACAGGGTAAAGGCAGCCACTGTCTGGAAAGTCAGGGGGGGACCTTCCTGGGGGGTTGGAGAAGGATTCGGCCAGGGAAGGGGAAAACACTTCAGGGACAGGAGTAGCAGCATGGGCCTGGGCCTGGGCCTGGGCCTGGTGTAGGGGACCCTGGGTGTGGGGAGGGGCCAGGAAAGCAGGGGAGAAGCTGAGTCAGAGGGAAAGACCCAACTCCCAGGTTGAGGTTTCTGATCCCTCTAAGGCCCCAGGGAAGAGCCTGAAGTCGCCTATGCAGGGTTTAGGTGGCAGAACGGACGTAACCAGGCCCTGATCCCCTGGGAATCTGAGTGTCCCCTGGAACCACAGGGAATCCCAGCATCCAGGCATCCACTGATCCCCTCCTGGGGCACAGGAACCCTGAGCCTGCAGCCCCCGTGCACCTCAGCTGCAGCTTCTTGGGCCTCAGTTTCTTCACCGTAAAATGGGGATGAGAGTGACTTGCTCCCTTCTCATGAGGCTGGGGGCAGCCGGAAGCTGACTGTGGCCCAAATGCCCCCTAAAGAGTCCCCCAAAAAGGCGTCAGGGCCTTAGGGCTGAGTGGGGGGCACGTGGAGCAGCTGAGTGGGGAGGCTTTGTGGGATCCTCCGAGGCCCAAGCTCTGATCTCTCTTATCCTCCCTGCCCCCACCTCTCACCTCCCACAGGCCGCATCAATGTCAAGAACGAGGAACTGGAGGCCATGGTGAAGGAGGCCCCCGGACCCATCAACTTCACGGTGTTCCTGACCATGTTTGGGGAGAAGCTGAAGGGTGAGCCAGGCTCCTGGAGTCCTGGAGGGGCAGCAGGGAATGGCAGGGGGACGGATGTAGGAAGGCAGGGGCCTGACACACATACACACCACAGGTGGGAGCATGATGTGGCCCCAGACACCAGCCCCCAGGTGCACGCACCTTCAGGGGCCCTGCCTCGGTTTCCCTCTCTTCACCGCAGACTGGGGTAACTATAAAGACCCCTGCCTTGGCCAGGCATGGTGGCTCACGCCTGTAATCCCAGCACTTAGGGAGACTGAGGCGGGCGGTTTGCTTGAGTCCAGGAGTTTGAGACCAGCCTGGGTGATATAATGAAACTTCATCTCTACTAATACAAAAATTAGCCAGACATGGTGACACATGCCTGTAGTCCCAGCTACTTTGGAGGCTGAGGTGGGAGGATCACTTGAGCCTGGGAGGTGAAGGTTGCAGTGAGCCGAGATCGCACCACTGCACTCCAGCCTGGGTGACAGAGCAAGGCCCTGTCTCAACAACAACAACAACCATAAAAACTAAACACTGCCTTTAACCCCTTTGCCCACCCATCCCACTGCCCCCAGCCATGCTGCCTCCCTACCTTCCTACCTGTGAGCTCCTTTTACCCGCTCTGCACATGGGGCTGGGGGTATAGGCAGAGGGTGCCGGAGGGAGGGTGTTTCCAAAAGATGCTGTGGTCGACCCCTGTGCAGGGCAAGTTACTCCCCTTGTCTTTTTCTGTGGTCACTGGAGCCCCCAGAGGAAGGATCGGGGAGCCTCATTCACAAATGAAGAGACTCAGATCCAGAGGAGTCACGACCCCTGCCCCAGATGCTCCAGCAAAAAGTGGCCGGGATGCAACCTCAACCCCAAACCCTGGCTCTAACCACTGTACCCGCCCGAGACACAGCATTAGGCATGGGGTGGAGGGTTGGAGCCATCTGTGTCTCCTTTCTGTCCTGGCCTCGGGGGAGCTCTCCCATAGTGACATCCTGGAGCTTGAGGGTTCCGTGGTCAGAAGGAAGGGCCAAGGCCGGGCACGGTGGCTCATGCCTGTAATCCCAGCACTCTGGGAGGCGGAGGTGGGTGGATCACCTGAGGTCAGGAGGTCAAGACCACCCTGACTAACATGGCGAAACACTGTCTCTATTAAAAATACAAAAATTAGCTGGGCATGGTGGTGGGTGCCCGTAATCCCAGCTGCTCGGGAGGCTGAGGCAGGAGAATCGCTTGAACCTGGGAGGCAGAGGTTGCCGTGAGCCGAGATGGTGCCATTGCACTCCAGCCTGGGTGACAGAGACAGACTCCACTACAAAAAAAAAAAGAAAAAAAAAAAAAAAAGGAAGGGTCAGCCCAGGCAGTGGTCCCTGGGAAGTGAGCACTGTCAGCTCTGCACCCTCAGGCTGCCCCTGCCAGGCCCCCTCCCTTGAACCCCCTGCCTTGGCTAGGCCTAGGGTCAGACCCTGGCTTCCCATTGACTCCTAGGTTGACCTTGCACAGATTTATCTGCTTTCTGGCCTCAGTTTTTTGGTCTGTAAAATGGGCTTATAATAGTTTTCTGAGCCCGCTGTAACAAATTCTGTGAAACCAGGTGGCTCAAAACAACAGACATGTATTCTCTCACAGTCCTGAAGCCCAGAAGTGCGAAATCTGGCAGAGGATTTGGGGAGAATCCGTTGTCTCTCCCAGCCTCTGGTGGCTCTACCTCTCCCATCTCAGCCTCGCCGTCAATGGCCCCGCCCTCTTCTATTTAACCTCCCTCCACCTGCCTCTTTGTTTATTTTGTTTTGTTTTTGAGATGGAGTCTCACTCTGTTGCCCAGGCTGGAGTATAATGGCGCCATCTCAGCTTAGGACAACCTCCGCCTCCAAGGTTCAAGCGATTCTCACGCTTCAGCCTCCCAAGAAGCTGGGATTACAGGCACCCGCCACCATGCCCCGCTAAATTTTTTTGTATTTTTAGTAGAGATACCGTTTCACTACATTGGCCAGGCTGGTCTCGAACTCCTGACCTCAAGTGATCCGCCCATATCCGCCTCCCAAACTGCTGGGATTATAGGCATGAGCCCTCGCGCCTGGACTCTACCTGCCGTTGGATTCAGGTCCTACTGGGATAATCTAAGATGATCTCTGCATCTCAAGATGCTTAACTTACATCTGCAAAGTCCTTTTTTCCAAATAAGGTGACATTTGCAGGCTCTGGTGGACATATCTTTTTTTTTTTTTTTTTTGAGACGGAGTCTTGCTCTGTCACCCAGGCTGGAGTGCAGTGGTGTGATCTTGGCTTACTGCAAGCTATGCCTCCCGGGTTCACGCCATTCTCCTGCCTTAGGTTCCCAAGTAACTGGGGCTACAGGTGCCTGCCACCACGCTCGTCTAATTTTTTTGTATTTTTAGTGGAGATGGGGTTTCACTGTGTTAGCCAGGATGGTCTCGATCTCCTGACCTCGTGATCCGCCTTCCTCGGCCTCCCAAAGTGCTGGGATTACAGGCGTAAGCCACCGTGCCCGGCCTCTGGTGGACGTCTCTTTTTAGGGGCCACCATTCAGTCCACCACAGGGTGATCCGACCTGACATCACAGGTTTGATGGGGTGAAAAATCAGTACTGTCATGGGTCGTGACCTGCTGTGGGGTAGAGCAGCCTCCACGCACCGTGTCCTGGCAGATCCAGAGCCAGAAGGAAGGCAGCCATCAGCCTGGGTGCGAGAGATGAGGAAACCCAGGGCTGGGGAGGGCAGGCTCATCTGGAGCAGGCTTTGAACTTGGGGCTGTGTAGCCGAATCAGGAGCATCACTGGGCCCACCTCCAGGCAGCTTGTCGGGGCCTATTCCCAGGACCATGTGCGCCTCCTGGAAGAGCTCAGAAGCCCAGGAGGCCGGGAGAGAAGAATGCTCTGTGGAAAAGACATGTGTGACTCCAGCCAGCAACTTCAAAGGAAGCAGACAGGCCTGATTCTTTTATCCACAGGCACATAACTGAAGGAGGCGTGTTAAAGGCCAGTGGGAGGGCCTGGGGAAGTGGCCTGTGGTTCTGCCAGGGTGGACGGCCCAGGGCCGGGCCCAGGAGGTGAGGCTGTGAGCACCTCCCGCCCCTGGTGTTGGGCATGGGCGAGGGGCCCTGCTGCCAGAGCAGGAGTTTAGAGAGACCTCCAAGAGTGCTCAGGGGAAGGGGAGGGGACTCTGTCAGCTCACAGTGGGCCCCAAACCTGTTTCGCAGATGGGAAGATTGAGACTAAAAGCTCGTGTCGGTCCATGGTTGAGCTGAAGCTGTGATCCAGGGCCTGGTGTGGGCTGCAGGGCTGCAGCTTTTTCTCATTTTTGCAGGGGCGCCGGGACTGGGGCTCCGGCTGAGCCTGTCATGCAGACGTGGCCAGACTGCGTGAGAGGCTGGTGGGAGGGGACAGGAGCCGGGAGGGCAGGGTGCTGGGGCCGGCGCCGCCTCACCCCGCTAATTGGGAAGAGGAGACTGTGTCATGAGATTCCCAACGATGATGGGAGGAAGTGGCCACTCTATAGCAGATTTTATGAGGTTTGCAGTCTCAAGAACAGAGGCTCTTTCTGGGGAGGAGAGAAGGGAGGACTGCCAGCCACGGTAACAGGGAGTGGCAGGGCTGCGCTGGGTGCCTAAATCCATGTGCATTGTCCGCAGGGGGATAGGCTGGAGCCGGCCACAAACCTGCCTCAGCAGTGAGGCCTCTTCAAAGACGTTGGGAATTTTCAACTAATCAGTGAAACCTGGGAGGCTGTGGCCTCGGAGGCAAATCCCACATGGGTGCCCCACGTGATGCTCTGGTCACTCAACCCTCACCCGCCTAGAGGCACCTGCTACCCCCTGCCTGCTTGGCCAGGCTGTGAGGGCCTGGAGCCCTGCCCTCGCTGCACCCTGGGCTGAGCCTCTCTGCTGGGCACACCAGCTCCCTGCCACCCTGCCCAGAGGCAGTCCATGGCGCTGCCCTCTAGGAGTTCCCAGGCCAGCAAGGCCAGTGTGTGCCAGGTTTTTTCACTCTGTGCCAGTTTCAGAGATGCCCAGAGACTCAGACACTGCCCAGTCCTGGCTAGTTCCTAGTCCGATGGGGGAGGCACAGATGGCCCTGACCCAGTCTGATGGGAGAGGCACAGATGACCTTGATCTGGTGTGATGGGGGAGGAACAGATGGCCCTGACCCAGTCTAATGGGGGAGGAACAGATGAGGCCCTGATCTAATCTGAGGGGGGAAGCACACTTGGCTCTGACCCAGTCTGATGGAAGAGGCACAGAAGGCCCTGATCCAGTCTGATGGAAGAGGCACAGATGGCCCTGACCCAGTCTGATCGGGGAGACACAGATGGCCCTGATCCAGTTTGATGGGAGAGGCACAGATGACCCTGACCCAGTCTGATGGGGGAGGCACAGATGAGGCCCTGATCTAATCTGATGGAGGAAGCACAGATGGCCCTGACCCAGTCTGATGCAGGAGGAACAGATGGCGATGACCCACTCTAATGGGGGAGGCACAGATGGTCCTGACTTAGTATGATGGTGGAGGAACAAATGGCCCTGACCTAGTCTGATGAGGGAGGCACATGGCCCTGGCTGACCTAATCTGACTGGCAAGAGCACAGGGTGACAAAAGGAGCAGGGGACTCTGGAGTCCACAGAGGTGGGTTTAAATCCTCCCTTCTCTTATCAGTGGGGACTTGGGCAAGTAATGAAACATCTCTGAGCCTGTTTTTTCTATGATAAACCAAGATATCCACATCTACTCCATGGGTGCTCTCAGAGCTCCAGGGGATAAAATCTTAAAGCTGCAGGCATAGAGCGCTCAGATGTATTTGCAGCCCTGATCAACCCATGTTCGTTAAAACCTTACCATGAATGGTATGTTATCTTAGCTGCTCCTGTGAGGTGGGTAGCAAGCACCATCTCTGTCCCCTTTCACCAATGACACATTTGAGCACTGAAGAAAGGAAGGGGGCACCCCCGCATCCACAGTGAACAAGGGGGACATGGTGACAGAAGGGGAAAGGGCACCGGGCGAGGGTGGCCAGGTCACCTGCTGTCATTCACGCAGCCCGTGAAGCCTTGGGCAAGACCCTTCCTCTCTCTGGGCTTCAGTTTCCCATTGGTGCAATGTGGGGGCTGCACATTCAATCCCATTGTGGGTATCAGATTAATTTCTTCTAATGACATCTCTCCCCAAGGCTGTGCTGTGACCGGGATAAAAGCAGAACTTCTCTGGCTTCACTTCTGCCCCCGTGAATCCCTTCCCTTGGCCTGTTGGCCCACCTGCCCCACTTCTGGCCGGGACAATCTCTCTCAGACCCCTCCAATGCCACACTGCCCAAGCCCCAGCCTTTTGGCATCCACGTACAGAACTCTTTTTCCTCCACCCACGGCCTCTTGTGCACAGCTTGGGTAACACGTGAGCCCCAGAGTCATGCCCCCTCACCCAGACCACTGGTCATGCAGCTGTGAGACCCTGGGCAAGTCACTTAACTTCTCTGGGTCTCAGCTTTTCCATCTGTAAAATAGGGAAGGGCTAAGCACAAATTAAATGCTCAATCAGGGTCTCCGTGTACAGTTGCTCAGGTTGTTCACAAAATATATATATGTGGTACCCTTGTCTATGATTACAATTACCTGTTTCCCTCCTTGTTCTTGCTTCAAGTGAGCTCGGCCCTCGCTGTGCAGTGAAAGTTGGGGAAGAAGTTCCCCAGAGCTGTGCCTCTGTGCAGGGGCCGTGGGACTTGCCCCCAGCCCCAGCCCCTGCCCAGCCTTGTGCCTGTCCCTGTGGGGCCCTCTTCACCTGCCTCTCTCCCTGCCCTGTATGTGCTGCTTATAGGCACGGACCCAGAGGAGACCATTCTCCACGCCTTCAAAGTGTTCGACACTGAAGGGAAAGGTTTCGTCAAGGCCGATGTGTAAGTTTCCCCTGACTCCCCCAAAATGCTCAGGGGAATAAGCCAGCTTTGGGCTGGGGTCAGGGTGGATGGTCGCCCAGTCTCCTCTCCCAGAAGCCAGGAGCTGGGGGGCCGCTGCCCAGCCCAGTGATATCGCTTGATGTCCCTTCCCCTCTCTGGGCCTTGGTGTCCCCTTCTCTATGTGTGCGTGGAAGTAGAAATGGATAAGAAATGGTGGGTCAGGCTGGGCGCGGTGGCTCACGCCTGTAATCTCAGCACTTTGGGAAGCCGAGGTGGGCAGATCACTTGAGACCAGGAGTTTGAGACCACCCTGGCCAACACAGCAAAACCCCATCTCTACTGAAAATAATAAAAAAAATTAGCCAGGCATGGTGGTGCATGCCTGTAGTCCCAGCTACTCTGGTGGCTGAGGCAGGAGAATCGCTCGAACCCAGGAAGTGGAGGTTGCAGTGAGCCGAGATCACGCCATTGCACTCCAGACTGGGCGACAGAGTGAGACTGTCTCAAAAAAAAAAAAAAAAAGAAGAAGTGGTGGGTCACTCCAGGAGAGCTTCCTAGTGGGGTGGGTGTGGGGGCAAAGGCAGATCTTGAAGAATGACTGCAGGTTGCCCAGGCTAGGGGGGGAACAGCATTCTAGATGAGGGAACAGAGAGCTTGGAGGGCCAGGGCTTGGCATGTGCATGTTTGTTCAGAGTTGGCTGCAGCTGGAGGGTGCGGGTGGAGGTGGTGTAGGGGAGACTGAGCACAGAGCGGCAGGCGGGGCCTCTGGGGGAGCGCTCACACCCTAGCCCCTGGACCCTGCGTCTGCCCTGGGAGCATGGGAGAACCTGAGGAGGAGTTAGGCAAGGACACCATGGAGGCCAGCCTGGAGAAGGAGAGGAGAGGGTTGCAGCTCCCAGGAGGGTCATGGCCGTCGAGATGGAGTCGGGCGGACAGATAAGCAAAGAGCCAGGGGCCAGTGCCCATAGGATCCAGGGTCTGGGGAGAGGACTGAGCCAGATCGTAGCCAGCACCGCCTCGGGCAAGAGGGCAGTAAGGATTGGGGAAAGTGACCAGCTCACTTGGAATGCATGAAGGGGAAGTGGCTGCAGGCAGCTGTCTGGCAGGCACCGGGGCTGCCATCATGAGGGTAGGGGTGCCCCACCCAGTGACAGCAAGGGAACAGAGAGCCAAGAATTGCAGGCAGGAGTGGGCGGGGGAGTGGCAGCCTTCCCAGGACCCAAGATTCAGGGCTGACCTCTGAGCTGTGCCGACGCAGTCCCTTCAGAACCTTGCTGGACCTGAGGGTGGCCTGGGGCAGGTGAGATTCCTCCCCAGGCCCAGGCTTCCTGATCAATTACTGTAATGCTGCCAGCCTTCATTTTGAGGCTAGTTTTGCTGGTTTTGAGATTCTCGCATCTCAAAGGGAGAGGGCAGACGCAGCAGGGGTGGAGGTGGAGAGGGTCTGTCCCGTCTCACACATTCTCAACTCCAAGACCATGAGTCACATACTCCCCTGGGATGGGGAGGGGATGCTGAGGGTTGCTGCAGTCCACAGTCCTCCCCTTCACCCCTCCCTCGGGGTCTGTGGCTCCTACCTCCATCCTGGGGACCTGGGGAGGCATCAGAGTCACCCCCGGAGTAACCCCAAGCCCTCCCTCTACTGTCAACCACTTTCTCTCTCACCAGTGCAAGGACAAGGCTGGGAAGACCCTTTGGGGACCTAATTTGGGAACTGAAGGCACTGCCTTGGGACATGGGACCTGGATCTGTGGCTGCAGGCCAGGCAGGCCAGACAGGCCACGGTGGAGGCTCTGGTTGAAACAGAGTCTGTGAAAAGTCCCCGGCTTGGAGAGCTGGAAACTGTGACTGTCCCACAGAAACATAAATAATGGAAAATGTGCATTGGTCCTTAGCGAGGCCTGCCGCAGCCGGTGCCAGAGGACACTCTGGGTGGACGAGGCCCCACTCAGCCGTCTGATCCCATCTTTGCCCACTGAGCTCCCTTAAGAACCCTGCAGGACCCTCCAAGCTTGAGGGGGCAGGCCCTTGCAGGCCCAGGAGGACACGGACCTGGGCAGGCCTTCCTGTACCCTTGGCAGAGCACAGGCATCTTGTCTCTAAAACACTATGCAGGTGTCAGTGAACGTCACAAGCTGGAGGAAAGAGTGTGTCCAGAATCAGGCAAAAGAGGCTCTGCGGTGGGGGACCTGAGGTGTCTCCCCTCAATGATCCAGAGCTTGATTATAGTGCATGATGGGAAATCAGAGTAGCCCTCATGGTGGGGTCCCCAGGTCATTGCTTTTGGTCCCTACCTGATGCTGGGAGGAAAGCCCACTTCATGGAGGAGAAAACCGAGGTTCAGAAGCTACTTGGCCATCGGGGGGGCTGGCAGGGTCAGCCCCAGGTTGATGTCCTCCTGGTCCAGGATGTCCCCCTGCCCCCACTTGCCCCTCATCACCCCTGGGATCTGCATGTTCAAGCTGGGTATCCCGTTCCCTGAACATGACTGTGTCTCTCCCTTGAACAGCATCAAAGAAAAACTTATGACCCAGGCAGACCGCTTCAGTGAGGAGGAGGTAAACTGGGATTCTGGTGGGTCACGGCGGATTCTCTGCTCTGGCCCCCACTTGGCCTGGTGCAGGCTGACTCTCTGCTCCTTCTCAGGTCAAGCAGATGTTTGCAGCATTTCCCCCAGATGTGTGCGGCAACCTGGACTACAGAAACCTGTGCTACGTCATCACTCACGGTGAAGAGAAGGATTAGGGGATCACAAGTCTCCCCGACATTCAGGGGCAGCAAACACTGTTGTGGGGTGTGACAGGGAGCTCTTGCAGCCAGAGGCTGCAGGAAAAAGGCTTCCCTTGTCCTACGGTTGGGGACAAAGCAAGAATAAATAATGCTAATGAGGTCTGAGTTTGTGCGGTAAATGCTCCAGCGAGGGAGAAAACGAAACATTCCTATCTTGTTGGTTTTTCCAAACCTTTTTTGTTCCTCTGGCTCTGCTCAAATGTTCCCGAGGAGCTGGTGTTTAGAGCTAAT
The DNA here is from genome assembly GCF_000001405.40 of Homo sapiens. Classification (NCBI taxonomy): domain Eukaryota; kingdom Metazoa; phylum Chordata; class Mammalia; order Primates; family Hominidae; genus Homo; species Homo sapiens. The sequence continues at coordinate 101,613,198 of NC_000007.14, read as the reverse complement.
TGACAGTTTTAACGATTCCCTGCTAAGCCACGGGATATTGCCTTCATTTATGGAGCTTTTATTAAGCACCTAGTGCATGCCAGAGGCTGTGCTGGTCCCAGGGACTCTCAGAGGAGCCAGGACTGTCCCTGGGCAGGATATGGTGCTGACTGCAGTGAGGAAGGCAGAGGAGGGGGCAAAAAGTGGGGTGGGGACATCGGTGGGAGGAGAATGGAGAAGCACGGGAGAAAACTGGCTGCAAAGAGCTGGCTAGAGGTGAAGACGTCAGAAGGGAAGAGGTGGCTTCAAGGGATGTTTAGGGGGTAGGCAAGGATTTCTTAAATGGGACACACATAACTGTGATCATAAAAGTGGATAAGTTGGACTTCATCAAAATTAAAAACTTCTGCTCACCAAAAGATACAGTTAAGAATGCAAAAAGGCACCGGACGAGAAAAGATACTGGCAACGTAGATCATGACAAGATCTCATATCCAGAAGATGTATTTTTTTAAAATCCTACATATCTATAATAGAAAGATTATAACCCCAAAAAAGGTAGACGACAATAATAATATCCAAATGGCCATAAAGATCTGAAAAGAGGCCGGGCACAGTGGCTCAGGCCTGTAGTCCCAGAGCTTTGGGAGGCCGAGGCAGGAGGATTGCTTGACGCCAGGAGTTTGAGACCAGTCCCAGCAACATAGCAAGACCCCATCTCTACAAATAAAAAAAAATTTAAAAATTAGCCTGGCATGGTGGCGCATGCCTATAGTCCCAGCTATTCAGGAGGCTGAGGTGGGAGGATCACTTGAGCCCAGGAGTTGGCGGCTGCAGTGAGCTGTGATCACACCACTGCACTCCAGCCTGGACGACAGCGAGACCCTGTCTGAAAAAATAAATAAATAAATAAATAAATAAAAATAAATGATAGGGCACTCATACATGGGAATACCACATGGCAATAAGAACAAACTACTGATGTACACAACAGTTTGGTTGATTGCTCATATATACTATGTTGTATGGAAAAAGAGGCGAAAGAGTGCATACTTAAAAAAAAACTTTTTTATTGAGATACAATTCACATACCATAAAACCCCCCCCTTCTTTTTTGTTTTTTTTTAGACAGTCTCACTCTGTCACCCAGGCTGGAGTGTAGTGGCGTGATCTCGGTTCACTGCAACCTCCGCCTTCCGGGTTCAAGTGATTCTCCTGCCTCAGCCTCCCAAGTAGCTGGGATTACAGACACGTGCCACCATGCCCGGCCAACATTTGTATTTTTAATAGAGACGGGGTTCTGCCATGTTGGCCAGGCTGGTTTCGAACTCCTGACCTCAGGTGATCCAACCGCCTCGGCCTCCCAAAGTGCTGGGATTACAGGTGTGAGCCACCGCGCCCTGCCTTTTACCACTATTTACAAACAGAATATTAATCACCACAAAATGAAATTCATTAGTGGTCACTCCTTATTCTTCCTGCACTCAGCCCCTGGCAACCATGAAGCTACTACTGCCCGTCTCTATGGATTTGCCTGTTCCGGACATTCATATAAATAGGATCCTGCAATACATGGCCTTTTGTGTCTGGCATCTTTCACTTAGCATAACATTTTCATGGTTCATCCTTGTTGTAGACTTTATTTGTTTATTTATTTATTTATTTTTGAGACAGGGTTTCACTCTTGTTGCCTAGGCTGGAGTGCAGTGGCATGATCTTGGCTCACTGCAACCTCTGCCTCCTGGGTTCAAGTGATTCTCCAACCCCAGCCTCCCGAGTAGCTGAGATTACAGGCGTACGCCACCACGCCTGGTTAATTTTGTATTTTTAGTAGAGAGAGGGTTTCACCACGTTGGTCAAGTTGGTCTCGAACTCCTGACCTCAGGTGATCCATCTGCCTCAGCCTCCCAAATTGTTGGGATTACAGGCATGAGCCACCACACCTGGCTTCATTCCTTTCTGTAGCCAGATAAGATTCCATTTTATGGATAGATCACATTTTGTTTATTCATCAGTTGATGCACATTTGAGATATTTCTGTTAGCTATTATGGATAACGCTACTATGAACATTTGTGTACAAGTTTTTGTGTAAATACATGTTTTCAATTCTCTTAGGCATATACCTAGGAGTGAAATTACTGGTTCATATGGTAACTCTATATTTAACTTTCTGAGGAATTGCCAAATTGCTTTTCAAAAAGGTTACACCGTTTTGTATTCCCACCAGTGATGTACAAGGGTTTCAATTTTTCCACATTCTTGCCAACACTTGTTATTTTCTGTTTTTCTTTTCTTCCAAAATTATAACCATCTTAATGGGTATGAAGTGGTATTTCATTTGGGTTTTGATTTGCATTTCTCTAATGGATAATGACATTGAGCATCTTACCATGTTTTTATTGGCCATTTGTATCTCTTGGGAGAAATCTGTTCAGGTTCATTGCCCATTTTAAAATTGTGTTACACTTTTTTGTTGCTGAGTTTAGAAGTTCTTTATATATTCTAGATACTAGATCTTTTTATTTTAATTTATTTGTCTATTTATTTATTTTTGAGACAGGGTCTCACCCTGTCACCCAGGCTGGAGTGCAGTGGCACCATCACAGCTCACTGCAGCCTCAATCTCCCAGGCTTAAGCAATCCTCCCACCTCAGCCTCCCAAGTAGCTGGGACTATAAACATGAGCCACCCCACCTGGTTAATTTCTATATTATTTTATTTTATTATTTATTTATTTATTTGGAGAGCTGCCCAGGCTGGTCTTGAGCTCCTGGGCTCAACCAGTCTTCCCACCTTGGCTTCCCAAAGTGCTGGGATTACAGGCAAGAGCCCACCACGCCCAGCCTGGACCCTTTTAGATATGTGATTTGCAAATATTTTCTCCCATTCTGTAGGATGTCTTTGTACTCTCTTGATAGTGCCCTTTGATGTACAACAGTTTTACATTTTGATGAAGTCTATTTTAGCTATTTCTGCTCGTGCTTTGGGTGTTATATCTAAGGAACTGTTGGGCAGATGCAGTGGCGCATGCCTGTAACCCCGGCCCCTGGGAGGCCGAGGCAGACAGATCACATGAGGTCAGAAATCTGAGACCAGCCCGGCCAACATGGCCAAACATCATCTCTACTAAAAATACAAAAAAACTAGCCAGGCATGGTGGCACACACCTGTAGTCCCAGCTACTTGGGAGGCTGAGGCAGGAGAATCACTTGAGCCCAGGAGTTCAAGGCTGCAGTGAGCTGTGATTGCACCACTGCACTCCAGCCTGGGTGATAGAGAGAGATCCTGAGGCCCTGTATCAACAAAAAGAAAAGAAAAAAAAATAAAGAAAAGAAAGGAAAGGAAAGGAGGAAAGAAGAAAAGAAGGGAGAAGGGAGGAATGGAGGGAGGGAGGAATGGAGGAAGGGAGGCAGGGAGGGAGGAAGGGAGGGAGGGAGGAAGGCAGGGAGGGAGGAAGGGAGGGAGGGAGGAAGGCAGGGAGGGAGGAAGGGAGGGAGGGAGGAAGGGAGGGAGGGAGGAAGGGAGGGAGGGAGGAAGGGAGGAAGAGAGAAAGAAAGAGAAAGAGAAGAAAAGAAAAGAAAGGAGGGAAGGAAGGGAGGGAGGAAGGGAGGGAGGAAGGAAGACAGAGAAAGAAAGAAAAAGAAAAAAAGCAAGAGAGAGAGAAAAAGAGAGAGAAAGAAAGAAAGAAAGAGAGAGAGAGGGAGGGAGGGAAGGGAGGGAGGGAAGGAGGGAGGGAAAGGAAAGAAAAGTAAGAAACAAGAACCGAGTGTTTAAGGAAGAGAAGAGCAGGTCTAAGGTGTGACCCTGGAATCGGGTGGCTGAGGTTGGGGGAGCAGGTCCCTGGAGCCAAGGATTGGAGGCTGTGGGTTGAGGGGTAGAATTCAGACCCTGAGAGGCCAGGAGGAAGGAGGCCAAGGAGAGTGGCATGTTGGACCCTGCAGAGGGCCAGCCCTGGCTTTGACGGTAGCTGCTTCACCACAGGGGCCACACTCCCCTACCCCTTGGCCACAGTGAAAGGTCTCCCCTCCTCTTTCCCCACTGCTGAGCTCCTGTTCCCTCTGTGGGAGGCGGGAGAGAGAAGCACCACCATCAGTCTGGAGCTCTGGGCTCAGGACACAGGGGACAGGTACATAGCAGAGGAGCTCCTCCCTCCACCCCAAGCCTGGCTCCGCTTGCTCTCCAAGACTTTGACTTTCCTAGAAATCACGGACCGAGCCCTGTCTCTGCTGCTGAGGAACTTGTCAGACCTGTTTGTGCCCCGCAGAACCAAGCCAGCGCCAAGGTACTGCAGGCCACAGGCATCTGCTTGCCAGCTGCTCCCTGCAGCTAGGCCTGCCCACCTGCAGGAGCCCAGCTCCTCCAAGACACAGGGCCAGCCGGTAGGGAAGGCCAGAGGGACTCCACGTCAGCTCAGAGAGGAGGCCGGGGCATTCATCTCATTTATTCCTCTGTCCTCAGTGCCTCCACTTGTCTATACCTCCTCTGTACCAGTGCTCAGAGAGGGTGATCAATAACACCAGTAACACCTCACCTCTGCCCTCAATGGTCTCTGGCTGGGAGATACCAGGATGGGGGTAGGCTACAGGCATGGGAGTGATGCGGCACAAGTGGGGCCCCAGGGAAAAGAAAAGCAGGGGGCCTCTCAGAAGGCACAAGATGGCTGTGAGGCTGCTGGCGGCTCCAACTCCCTGGTCTCTGCCACTCTTGGGAGTTACACAGCATGGCCTCCTGGAGGCCCCTCTCTCCCAAGCTGTGGTTCATTGGTGGTCTCCACTGCCCCTGACCTGGGCACATGACTAGCTGCCTTCAATATCCACGCCTTTCTGTCCAGTCCTTGAGGAATACCTGGATGACCCCAGGCTCTACAGTTCTTCCTCCCGTCCCTGTAGCTGGGGTAATCCACAGAGCTGCCCTTCCAGGGGTAGAGGGCTGAGGCTCCCAAAAGCCAGAGAGAAATCAGCAAGAATGAGCATGTGGGTGGACACATCGTCTTTCCAGTGTTCTTTCTGAAAGCACCTTTCTAAAGGTACAAGAACGTGGCGGGGTGCGGTGGCTCACACCTGTAATCCCAGCACTTTGGGAGGCCAAGGTGGGAGGATTGCTTGAGCCCAGGAATTCTAGACCAGCCTCAGAAACAAAGCAAGACCCTATCTCTAAAAGAAATAATAAAACAAAACAAAACAAACAAAAGAACCCCTTGCCGGCCTCTTGAACTTCCCTGCACCACCGTGCCCTGGGCTCTGGGTTCCAGCTGCACAGTTTCATTGGGGACCCTACGTTTCCTCCTGTTGCAGAGTCTTGCTCATGCTGCTCCCTCTACCTGGAACACTCCCTGCCCCCTTTGCCCAATCCCCCCTGCATTAGTCAGGGTTCTTAGAGGTAAAGAACTAATAGGATAGATATATAATAGGATAGGATATATATATATAAAATAGGATGTGTGTATATATATATATATATGGGAGTTTATTAAGTATTAACTCACAGGATCACAAGGGAAAGAATTAATGGGATATATATATATAGAGAGAGAATTATTATATATAAAGAATTATTGTATTATATATAATATATATAATAGGATAGGATATATGTAAAATAGGATATATATATAAAGGGGAGTTTATTAAGTAGTAACTCACAGGATCACAAGGGAAAGAACTAATAAGAGAGAGAGATATATATAGATTTATATATAAAGAATTATATAATATATATTATATAACATTATATAAAATAGGATATATATATAGAGAGAGATATAGATATACATAAAGGGGAGTTTATTAAGTATTAACTCACAGGATCACAAGGTCTCACAATAGGCCGTCTGCAAGCTGAGGAGCAAGGAAACCAGTCCAAGTTCCAAAGCTGAAGAACTTGGAGTCCAATGTTCGAGGGCAGGAAGCATCCAGCACAGGAGAAGGGTGTAGGCTGGGAGGCTAGGCCACGCTAGTCTTTTCACATTCTTCTGCCTGCTTTATATTCTGGCCTCACTGGCAGCTGATTAGATAGTGCCCACCCAGATTGAGGGTGGGTCTGCCTTTCCCAGTCCACTGACTCAAATGTTAATCTCCTTTGGCAACACCCTCACAGACACACCAAGGATCAATACTTTGCATCCTTCAACCCAATCAAGTTGACACCCAGTAGTAACCATCATGCTCCCTACTCAGCTTTCTGGTCTCAGGTCAGCAGCGTATCCTAAGGCCCTGACAGCGGCATAGGCCAAATCACTTTCCATGTAGTTTCATGGCACCAAGAACTTTCACTTTTTGGTAAGTGGTGTCTGTCTTCCCCCAGAGTGCCATAAGTCCCTGAGGGAAGGGAGTAGGCTGGATTTGCCCACAGCTATGCCCCCAGCACCCTACATGGGGCCTGGCATGCAGGAGGCTCTTGGGAAATATTTGACTGTCTCCAGGACACCCAGAGAGCCAGCCCCGAATCACGGGAGTTATCTGGAAGCAGCTCTGTGGCTTTGGGCCTCCAAGACACTGCAGGGCAGAAGCTGAGGCTGGAATTGCAATTATTCCTGAGCCTCCTGGAGGCTTCAGGGTACTTTCCCTGTCTGCCTGGGCCTTAGTCTTCCCATAAGCAGAATGGAACCCCAGGGCCCCTGGTGTCTCAAGGATATGTACCCCCCAGGGCAGCAGCAAACCCAAGGCCATGGCCAGTCCTGGGCTTGCTTGGCAGCATCCAAGGTGATGCATCTTGTTATCTGGCCAAAGTGGCTCTCCTAGAATCCTTGGTAGCCCCACACTTGGCCTGGTAGGTGACAGACAGGGAACACAGGCAGGGTTGGGACAGGCCTTTGTAGCCCCAGGGAGCTGGGTACAGGGATCCGGGCCTGCCCCGGCGCCGCCGGCTCCCACAGCCAGCTGGGTCTCATTGAGAGTAATTAGCCCAGCAAGATGCCTGGGTCTTGGCATTTCATTTTTCCGCTCAGGAGCCATCAGCCGGGGGCCTTCGGACAGTGGCCCCCGCATAAATCATGAGGGGGTCGCTGTTAAGAGAAACAGCAAATTCCTTCCACCCGTGTGGCTGCTTAAATTGACTCTGGGAGCAGATTCCGTCCTGGCGCTCACTCAAGAATGGCCAAGTCCTTTGAAGGTCTTTCCAGGACGGACCCCAGGGGCTTGGAGCTGGAGGGGCGGCGACTCTCCCAGGGATCCTCTGCTGATCGCAGAAGGGTGGGGCCCCTCCCGGGACAGCGTGGCTGGTGGAGGGACCCTGCCTGGCACCGGCTTCCACCATCACTCTGTTTTTCTGGCAACCCTGGGAGCGGCTGCACCTTTTTCACAGCCAGGACATGGCTGGGGTGGAAGTGGGGACTAGGGGCTGATGGTGTCTTTAGCCTGGGACACCACACTTCAGGGCAATGAAATGTCCTCATGGAATTTCAGGCCTCAGGGGCTGGTGAAGGCATGCGGTGAGGTTCCGAGGGGGTGCCCCCATAGCTAGAGTCTGGATGGAAAATTGTACTCTATGCCTGCTGTGAGCTGAGGCCCGGGCTGGGCTAAGGATTTCAGTCTGACTGGGGGTTGGCTTGGGCCTCCGGGGATCCCAGGGGTCTGTCCGTGTCTGTTTTTCTCTTCCTGTCTCTCTCAAACACAAGGTCTCGCTTGATCAAGGTGAAGTAGAGCCCTGAGAGGGAGGGAGTTTAGGGGAGGGTGGATCCCTGCTGGCCCCGGAGGCCTGGGTTTGCATCCAGGTCTGCCACGGCTAGATGGGTGTCCCTGGGAAAGTCACCAACCTCACTGGGACTCAGCTTCTCCATTTGGAAAATGGAGACAGTGACGATGCCAAGTTTCCAGGCTGCTCTCCTCCTTCAAGCAGGCTAGGCCTGGGGATCCGAGGGTGGACAGAAACACCTCACCAGACCACACTGAGCTTATATCCAGGAGAAGGCCAACGCCATGACCAGTGAGGACATCATGATGCAAGAAGGACTCAAGGTGACAGAGAGGTAGACAGCCAGAGGACAGGCTGTGGTGGATGGAAGAGAGTGGCCCACAACTGTGTGGGCCATGGTAAAGGTTTGGCCCTTGCTGGGTGTGGTGGCTCACGTGTGTAATCCCAGCACTTTGGGAGGCTGAGGCAGGAGGACTGCTTGAGGCCAGGGGTTTGAGACCAGCCTGGGCAACATAGTGAGACCCCATCTCTGAAAAAAAAAAAAAAAAAGCTGGGTGTAGTACTGTGTGCCTGGGGTCCCAGCTACTTGGGAGACTGAGGCAAGAGTATTGACTGAGCCCAGGAATTGGAGGCTGCAGTGAGCTATGATTGTCCCACTGCACTCTAGCCTGGGTGACAGGGCAAGACCCTGTCTCTAAGGAATAAAAAAGGGACACTTTCACTCCATTGGGAGTGACATAACCAGAAATGTGATTTATTAAACCAGGATGACAAATGCCAAGTCAGGAAATGCCTGTGGAGCTGAAGAAGCACAGTGGGGATGCCCTTTTCAGCCTGGAGGGCTTCCTGGAGGAGGTGATAACTTGAAGAATGGGTGGCAGAAATGCAGACAAAGAGGAGATGATGACCAGTCTCCAAATGAAAGATGCTGAAAGGGAGTCTCCTTCCACAATGTTCTCTCCTGGTTGCATCAAGGAGAGATGCTGGATTTGGTGCAGACAGGTCTCTGACCAGCCTACTGCCCTCTTTAGCAAGGGAGCAGACACCAGGCTGAGAGCCTTCCCTAGGCCCCGGCAGCCAGCCAGAATTGAACGGCATTGTTCCGTTTTCATGGTATGCATTTTTTTTTTTTTTTTTTGAGACGGAGTCTTGCATTGTCACCCAGGCTGGAGTGCAGTGGCATGATCTCGGCTCACTGCAACCTCTGCCTCCTGGGTTCAAGCAATTCTTCTGCCTCAGCCTCCTGAGTAGCTAGGATTACAGGCACCTGCCACCACGCCTGGCTGATTTTTGTATTTTTAGTAGAGACAGGGTTTCACTATGTTGGCCAGGCTGGTCTCGAACTCCTGACCTCGTGATCCACCCACCTCAGCTTCCGAAAGTGCTGGGATTATAGGCATGACCCACTGCTCCCAGCCATGGCATGCATTTTTATGCATGTTGTCTGTATGTGGCACAGGGGACTAGCTTTTCATTTTTGATAGCAAGGTTTCTTTTTTATAAAAGCTTTCTTTAAAATAAACATATGTATAGGAGTCGATTTAAGGAAAAAGATAAATGTAAACAATATTTAGCTACAAAAAAAAAAGTCATGAAGGTGAAATGAGAATCACTGAAGTCTGGGAAAAGGCCAGGCGCGGTGGCTCACGCCTGGAATCTCAGCACTCTGGGAGGCCGAGGTGAGTGAATTACCTGAGGTCAGGAGTTCAAGACCAGCCTGGCCAACATGGTGAAACCCCGTCTCTACTAAAAATATAAAAATTAGCCGGGCATGGTGGCACATGCCTGTAATCCCAGCTACTGGGAAGACTGAGGTGGGAGAATCACTTGAACCCAGCGGGGGGCAGAGGTTGCGGTGAGCAGAGATTGCACCAGTGTACTCCAGCCTGGGCGGTAGAGTGAGACTCCGTCTCAAAAAGATAATAATAAAATAAGGCTGGGCATGGTGGCTCATGCCTGTAATCACAGCTACCTGGGAGGCTGAGGCAGGAGAATCACTTGAACCCTGGTGGTGGAGGTTGCAGTGAGCCAAGATTGTACCACTGCACTCCAGCCTAGGCGACAGAGCGAGACTCTGTAAAATAAAATAAAATTAAAAAAAAAAGTGAAGTCTGGGAAGAGCTGAATTCTGAAGAAGAGGCTGTGAGAGATTAATTTGAAGGTGGATGTTCCAGAACCTTCTGGAACACGGGTTCCAGAACTGGTGTAGCTTCACTATACCAGTGTCATCTTCCAGTCTTGAGTCCAAATCTCCTTGAATAAAGAGGCTTGATCCTGGAACCCAAACAGGCAGGGTGAGGCCAGGGAAGTGTGGCTGCTCACAGACAGACGGACACACAGCCTCCCAGCCCCGTGGGAGCTTCTGTGCTGGCACCCGCGTGACGTGGGGTTTCAGGCTAGTAGCAGGTCGTGGGGGCCCCCGAGGCTTCTTAACAGACTATGAGAGGGACTGTGTTGTGCGGGGCAGGTCCTGCCTCCTCTAGGCCCCAGACCCCTTTGTGCCGCCAGGACTCTGGCCTGACGTGGTTGGTGAGCGTGGGCCTGGCAATGGGGCTGGGAAGGAGAGGCCAGCCTGGAGCCGCCCTAATCCGGGTTTAGCTCTCACTTCAAAGCTGGTGGCTTCAGCTTCATTGGAATGTCCAGCCATGGGGGAAGGAGGGACGCGCCTGGCTCCCATCAAGCGCCAGGGAGTCACTGTGGCCTCTTGAGGGCCAGGGTGAGGGGTGGGATGGGGGTGGGGCTGGAGAGCTCAGTGAGGCATCTGGGGTGGGGAGCCCCAGCCCTGCCCCTTATAGCTGTGTGACCTCAAGGCTAGTGGTTCAACCTCTCTGAGCCTTCATATCCCTCATCAGGGAAACAGGGTTAGCGGCACCCCCTCTCCTGGGGCCATATCTGGTGCAGGGCCTGGCCCAGGGCGGGGAGACCCCAGTCTGTGCACAGCCTGGTGCGTCAACGGGCTTTTGCAGCGAGGGCGGCCCTTGTGGCTCCACAGCGCCATCTACTGACAGCTGAGCAGCCTCTCCTGGCTCCGCCTTCCCCAAAGCCTCTGGGGCTTGGGAATCTCTAGATCACAGTCGGCACAAGAGTCCACAGCGCAACTTTGGTGCAGAGAAGACTAAATTCAAGCCCCGGCTGCTTAACCTATTCGATGTTAAGTTTCCTTAAGTAAAAAAAAATAGCAGCAAACACTTAGAGAACAGTCACCGAGCCCCAGGCAGTGTGCACTAACGTGTGTAACCCTCCCAGCAACCCTGAGGAGTACATCCTATTATTATACCATTTGACAGATGAGAAGACTGAGGCCAGAGAGGGTAAGGCACCGAGTCAAGACGCCTACCTGCCTGGCCTGTCCCAGCTCTGCCGCTTACTGACTGTGCGACCTACAGAGCAGCCAAGTGAGTACAGCTGGGGCACCCGCCTTGCACGGCTGCGGGGAGGAATTACACCTGGGAACAGTGGAAACCCTTGGCTCCAGACGCTGTGATCCAGTGACTCCAGCCACCTAACGCTCGGTGCCTCTGTGTCCCCATCTTCAGTGTTTTCACACATCTGTGACGTCTTCGCTCTGAGTTGGTGGCCCCTGCCTGTCCACATGTCCCCAGCAAAGGTCCACGAAGCAATCCTCTATCCAGCCTCAGTCCTGTGTCCTCGGGGGCACTGGAAGGCAGGCAGTTGGCAGGAGGCTGGGGAGGGCGGGATATTCAGGGGGAAGAGACCTTGGTCCTGGTCCCATGTCCACGGGAGGGGACCAAGGAGGGTTGTGTGTCCCGGGCCCTAAATGGAGCGGGACACAGTCATCGGGGACCTCAGCTGTTAGACTCTGATCCACGCCTTTCTCCACATTTGTTCAAAGTGGGTTTCCTCTCCTCGCGGGCTTCCAAGTGTTCTTTAGGTGACCTGACCCAACCACTCACTCAGGAACCTGGGCAGCACCCCCAGGACAATGGGTGGCAGGGGGGTGTCCCTTTCTGTCCCCACCTGTCACTGCCTGGCTGTGTGGTCCCCTCTGCCATCCTTTGTTTCCTGGTCTGCAAATGGAATGACATTATACCTCCAGCCATTTCCACTGCCAGCACTCCCATAACCTTTCCCTCCCTCTCTGCAGCCCAGCCCATCAGGGCATTGGGTGATTCAAGGCTGCAGGTTTGAGGCCTCCAAGCACCTCCAGTGGGAGGCTTGGAGACAGACAAAGCTGTGAAGTTTGACTCCCAAAGTGGGGCAACAAGATTCCTGGCTTCCATGGATAGGGGCGGTAGAAGAGCCAAGGATGGGGCCTCGATGAGGCTCTGGATCCCTGGGACAGCCTGGAGGGACAGCCTCAGGCTCCTGCACCGTCTGGGTCCCACCTGCCCCTTTTCCACACTGCCTCCATTCAGCGAAAGGCCCCTCCTGGAATGCCCTCATCCATTCTGGTAAATACTGGTTCTTCTCCCTCCTGCCCTGCCCAGAACTTCCATCAAGCGGGCAGACGTGAGTCTCCCATAAAAGCTGGAGGCCTGGCCAGATGCAGCGGCTCACGCCTGTAATCCCAGCACTTTGGGAGGCGGAGGCACGCGGATCACTTGAGGTCTGTAGTCCAAGACCAGCCTGGCCAACATGGTGAAACCCCGTCTCTACTAAAAAAATTAGCTGGGTATGATTGTGTGCCTGTAATCCCAGCTACTCGAGAGGCTGAAGCATGGTCATTGCCTTTGGGATGGGATCTCCGGCCAGGCTGGGCCCAGAGCAGTCCTGGCTGGGGACTGAGGACTCTCACTGGCTCACCATCCAGGCAGGCCCTCCTGGACAAGAGCCGTCCCTATGCCCACCTGCCAGTGAGGTTGCCCAGTCCCTGGGTGGCCTGGGCCACCTGACACATGGCCCTCAACAGTCTACACAGCACCTGGACCTCCACTGTGAGGTGGGCCAGGCAGGCTGGAGTACCCATTTTACAGTTGAGAAAGCTGGGATTCAGAGAGAAAAGGCAGCTCTCGTTTGCACACATAGGCAGGAAGTGGCAGGATGAGCCCAAAAGTCAGGGCGGAGGACCCTGGCCCAGCACTTTCCCTACACGCTGCTGTGAAGGCTCACACCCCAGCTCAGATCAGTTTCCGGGGGACTGGGCACAGAAGGCCAGTGACAGAGAAGCCCAGAGCTGGAGCAGGGACTGATTTTTTTGAGCGCCTGTGCTGGATCTGGTAGACGGGGCTTCACGCGGTTGGTCTCTCTAAAATCTCTCTCCAGCCTTAGGGCCGGGCATGGTGGCTCACGCTGTAATCCCAGCACTTTGGGAAGCTGAGGTGGGCGGATCACTTGAGGTCAGGAGTTCAAGACCAGCCTGGCCAACACAGTGAAACCCCATCTCTACTAAAAATACAAAAATTAGCAAGGCACGGTGGCAGACACCTGTAGTCCTAGCTACTCGTGAGGCTGAGGCAGGAGAATCACTTGAACCTGGGAGGCAGAGGTTGCAGTGAGCTGAGATTGCACCACTGCACTCCAGCCTGGGCAACAGAGTGAGGCTTCATCTCAAAACAAAAACAAAAACAACAAACACCTCTCTTTAGCCTTGTGTTGCTGTGCTATTTTGTAGGGGAATAGGTGCTAATATTCCCATTCTGCAGATGAGGAAACTGAGGCTCAGATAAGCTAAGATACTTGTCCAAGGGCCACAACTGCCCACGGCTGTCTGCTCTCGAAGCCTGTCATCTTTCCACTCCAAGGATGTGGTCACACTGCCCTTTCAATTACCAGAGACTTCACTTTGCAAACCACCAGTGGGTGCCTCCTTGGACCAGGCTTATGCTAAGCACTAGGAATCGGTGTGGGCTCACACCCAGCCTCTGTTCTTGAGAAGCTGGGCAGTGGACACATCCATAAACATCCCAGGGCATGGGCTAGGCAGAGTCCCGGGGGCCTGGAGGAGGGAGAAGTCCCGGTTGCTGGGAGATGGGGAGCCATCCAGGGCACCAATGAGCCAGGCCCGCCAGGGCAGGAGGAGCTCCGAGAGGCAGTAGACAGCCTGTTGTCATCACAGTTGTTGGGAGGCCAAGCTCAGCGAGTGATCAGGAGGCAGGACCTGAGCTGAGAGAGGCTCTCAGGTCAGGTGGCAGGACCCGGGTCCTCCGGCCAGAGCAGAGTAGTCATTTCGAAGGCATGGGGAACCTCCCGTGAGGCTTCGGCCCCTGCATGGGTGCTGTGGCTTTGCCTTCCTTTTGGGGAATGGATGGAAGGCCCGTGTTGCCGTCCACAGAGGTGACGACAGAGGCCACTGCTGGTCACAGTGAGAGGCCAGTGTGTGCTCTGTCTTGCATTCCTGCCCCGCGGGTCCTTGGAAAAGCCAGAGACTGCCATCTGGTCTCTATGGGTGGAACTAAGGTCACATGCCAAGAGGGCAGAGGGCAGTGGTTTCTTGACCATCTGAGTTCCATTCCCTCTGGGTCAGTTTTGGCTTCTGGGATCTGCCCTGTGAGCTCACAGAAAAGTACGGACTCCAGCAAGCTGCAGGCCCAGTTACCCTGGGAGATTCCAGCTGAGATGGGGCCTACTACTCCCCCTGGCTGGTCCCTTCCACCAGGGTGCCAGTGGCCACTGGGCAACAAAGCCCAGAAACAAGATGAGCTGGGAGCAAAGTTCCTTTAGCTCCATCCCCCAGCTGGGCCCAGTGTGTGGGGGGCCCAGGATCTGGATGAGAGGGGGTGCCTGCCTGACGTCACCAGTCAGCTTTGCCAAAGCCGACCGACCAGAACACACAAGCTGCTGCTTCCCAGGAAGTGGGGCAGGAGGGGGCTGGGCTGTCCCTGCCACTCCAGGTGCTCGTGCAGGCTCTGGGGCCTGGTTGGGCCTGGGTCTCTTCTCCAGGGTGGACGCTCTGCCCGTCCGCCTGTGCAGTTTCACCCCTACCCAGGCTCCATCTGGGACCCTCTCTGGCCTCAGTCATTGGTCCTTGGAGCAGGGTGTCGGCCAGGCCTAGGATTTGCGTCCTCAGCACAGGGTCATCAAAGCCTTGACGAGGCCCTCCGGCGGCTTGCCAGTTTCCGAGAGGTGAGATCATACACCTGAAAGTGGGCCCGCCCGGCCCTGCGCCTTGAATGGACTTCTTGTTCTCCCAGATCCTGGCTGTCAGCGCCAGGCTTGTCAGCAGGAGGTGACTCTGTTGGCCGTTCCTGCCTGGCCAGAGGCCCTGCCAGAGGCTAGGCGAGGGTGGGAGGCAGCTCAGAGCTGGCCCTGAACAGTCCCTCCAGCTGGGAGGCCCCGTTGTCTCTGCACCCCTTGTCCCTGATAGTGGGGCATGGGAAGGAGATGCCGTATCATAGGGTCTTCCATCGTGAAATCCTAGAAGTGTCTGGTACTCAAATGCTCAGTACAAGCTGCAGGGCCCCTGTATTCAGCAGCTTGGCTCTCATGCCTTCCCGGGGGGCCCAGAGATAAATAAGGCCAATGACTACCCACGAGGTGCACCCAGCCCAGGGAGCAGAATGAGTGGTTGGGTCTCAACGTTACGACCTGGCCAGTGGGATCTTAGAGGCAAGTCCTGTATACAGAACTTCAGAGCATAGAGAAGGGAGGGAATGCAGGCTTAGAGGTGGTAGGCTGCATGAGGAAGGGTTGTCAAGCTGAGCCCTAGTGGAGGAAGATGGGCAGGGGACAAAGATGGAGACAGCTAGTGTAGGCCCTACAGTGGGAACAGTGTGGCCTGGAGCTCTGGCCAGGGCAGGACAGTGGGGGTGGGGAGGATAGAAGGGGCTGGGGGCATGGATACTGTCCTGGCCTTAGGGAATGTCCTTTTCCCACTAGGACCCCTTCCATTTCTGGTTTCTTTCTTCAAAGTCCCCTGTTCACCCCCATAATCAGAGTTTCCTTTTGATCTCTCTTTGAATGCTTTCTAGGCATTCCTCCTATGTTTGCACACTGTTGG